>NC_000015.10:26307177-26610207 GCF_000001405.40 Homo sapiens | reverse complement strand
AAACCACAATTACTTTTGCACCAACCTAATATATTAGCAGGGAAAAAAAATCTATATATGGGAAAACAGTAATTAGGGAGGGATAAGGAAGAGGAATTGGTCAACAGGAAGCAGATCACGCAATCATGATGTGTGAAGGGTCTGGCCTCTCATTGTCCAGATGTGGTGAGCCAGTATGTTTCAGTTCCTTGATACCGTCTGCAGGACCTGATGGTTGGTTTCCAGAGAAAAGAACTCAAGTAAGACAAATGTAAGTTTTTCGAGTTTGAAGATGGGGAGGGTCAATTTCTATGGTTACTCAAAAGAAACTGTCAACAACAGTTCTATGGGACAATTGGGTCAGTTTCAGAATAATTAAATCAAGTGAGTTAACGTATTTATCTAGCTAGCTAGTATTTGAACTAAACTTTTTTTATGGTAAGCACATTTCAAATTTATTCTCTCAGCAACTTTGAAATGTATAAAACTCTATTATTAACTATATTCACCATGCTCTTCAATAGAACTTAAAAATAACATATTCTTCCTGCCTAACAGATTTTTTAAAAATAATATGGGAAGTCCTTTATTTTATTATGTGACACTATATAGCAGCTGCCTAACCACACAATGTAGACATGAATAGGGAAGATGGCTGAGAAATAGCAGTACTAGTGACTCAAGTAGTTAGCTTTATACAATAAAAGGAATGAGTTTTGACTGACTTATGAGAGTTTTAAAATGCGTTTTATATCGAGTAGATTTGTTTCATGTTTTCTTAAAAGAATTATTGTATTCAACCAAAAATAAACTAGATATAGTTTGTTCACATAATGAATCTACGTTCGAAGATATGCTTACAGATTACCATTTGATAATCATTGCCCCATTCCCCCCATCCTCCATTCTCTGTAACCACTGTTCTGTTCTCTGCTTATATGAGTTCAACTGTAGATCCCACAAACAAGTGAGAATATGTGGTATTTCTTTCTGTGACTGGCGTAATTCACTTAGTATAATGTTCTCCAATTCCATCAGTGTTGTCCCAACTGACAAAATTTTTTTCTTTATTAATACTGAGTAGCATTCCATTGTGTGTGTGTGTGTGTGTGTGTGTGTGTGTGTATGTGTGTGTGTGTGTGTGTATCATTAAAAAAATCAATTTATCTGTTGATGGACACTTAGGTTGATTCCATAACATGGCTACTGTTAATAGTGCTTCAGTGAACTTGGGAGTGCTAACATCCCTTCAGCAAATTTATTTCAAATCTTTTGGGTAAATACCCAACAGTGGGATTGCTGTAGCATATGGTAATTCTATTTTAAGTTTTTTGAGTTTTCCATAATGTTTTCCATAATGACTGCACTAATTTGCATTCCTACCAACAGTGTACAAGGGTTCCCTATTTTCCACATCCTTGCCAACACTTATCTTTCATCTTTTTGATACTAGTCATTCTGACAGGTATTAGATGTTATCTCATTGTAGTTTCAATTTGTGTTTCCCTAATGATTAGTGATGTTGAACTTCTTTTCATATGTCTTGTTGGCCATTTGCATGTCTTCTTTTGAGAAATGTCTCTTTAGGTTCCTTCTCCATTTTTTAAATTGAGCTTTTTTTTGTTTTCTTGCTGTTGAGTTGTTTGACTTCCTTAAATATTTTGGATATTAACCCCTTAATGGATGGATTGCTTGCACATATGTCTTCCAGTCTGTTGGTTGTCTTTGTATAGTATTCATTGTTTTTGGTGCAGAAGCTTTTTAGTTTGATGTAGTCTCATTTGTCCTATTTTTGCATTTGTTGCATCAAATCAAATTTTAAAAATCATTACCCAGCATAATGTCATGTAGTTTTCCCCCTATGTTTTCTTTTAGTAATTTAACAGTTGCTAGTTACATTTAAGTTTTAATCAATTTTGAGTTGATTTCTGTATATGGTGTGAGATAAGGGTCCAATTTCATTCTTCTGAATATGGATATTTAGTTTTCCCAACAGCATTTATGGAAGAGATTATTCTTTTCCCATTGCATATTCTTGGCAAAAATCATATTGAAAGTACATGAATGGGTTTATTCTGGGCTCTCTAGTCTATTTCATTGGCGGATGTGCCTTTTTTTTTTTTTTTGCCAGTACCATGCTGTTTTAATTACTATAGCTTTGTAGTATAGTTTGAAATAAGGTAGTGTGATACCTCCAGCTTTGCTCCTTTTGCTATGATTGCTTTAGCTATTTTGGGTTTTTTGTTTTGGTTCCATATGAATTTTATAATTTTTGTTTCTATGGAAAACTACATCAGAATTTTGATAGGGATTACAATGAATCTATAGATCATTTTGAGTAATGTGGACATTTTAATAATAGTAATCCTTCTAATACAGATATATTTCATTTGTATCTTTTTTTATTTATTTTTGTGAATGTTATAGTTTGCAGTGTACAGGTCTTTCATTTCCTTGGTTAAATTTATTCCTAAGTATTTTATTTTATTTTATTTGAAACTATTGTAAATGGGATTGTTCCCTTGATTATTTTTTTCAGATAGTTTAGTGTTAATTTATAGAAACACTACTATTAATGTTTTTTGTAAGTTGTTTTTATATCCCGTAACTTAACTGTTTTGTTTTGTTTTGTTTTGTTTGTTTGGTGAGTTTTTTTTTAGACAGGGTCTCCCTTTGTCACCTAGGCTGGAATGCAGTGGGGCAATTATAGTTCACTGTAACCTCAAACTCCTGGGCACACAGGATCTGCCCACCTCAGGCTCCATAGTAGCTGTCACTAAAGGTGTGTGCCACCACACCTGGCTAACTTAAAAAGACTTTTTGTAGAGATGGGCCTTGTTATGTTGCTCAGGTTACTCTAGAATTTCTGGTCTTTAACAATCCTCTTGCCACATTGATTTTACTTTTAAATTAGTTATATCAGTTCTTTGGTGGAGTCTGTAGATATACATAGATAAAAGTAAAACTTAAGCCGAATTAAATGTAAGAGAGTTTAATTGAGCAATGAACAATTTGTGAATCAGGCAGCCCCTAGAATCATAGTAGATTCACAGAGACTCCAGGGGTGCCTCATGGTCAGAACAAATTTATAGACAAAAAAGGTAAAGTGAGGTACGGGAATCAGAAGTGAGGTACAGAAACAGCGAGATTGGTTACAGCTCGGCGTTTGCCTTTTTTGAATGCAGTTTGAACATTCAGTAGTCTTTGAGTGGTTGAAGTATGGCCGTGGGGATTGGCCAACACTCAGCCATTGTTAGAGGTGCATACTATTAAGTTAGGTTTTCAATTTTGTGTGACTATTAAGCTAGGTTACAGTTCATCCAGAAGGACTCAAATATAGAAGTGTAGAGTCCTTCTCAGGCCATATTTAGTTTGCTTTAACCATATCTATCTATCTATCTATCTATCTATCTATCTATCTATAGATATATCTATCTATAGATATATCTATCTATCTATAGATAGACAGATATGTATGATATATATGACAGATATATATGATTGCGTTGACAATTTACTTCTTACTTGTTCTTTTCTGATTTGCATGCCTTTTCTTTCTTTCTTTTGCCTAATTGCTCTAGCAAGGACTTCTATTATTGTGTTGAATTAAAGTGGTAAAAGTAGGCATAGCTTTCTTGCTCAATATCTTAGAGAAAAGGTTTCAACATTTTACCATTGAGTATAATGTTAACTATGGGCTTATCATATATAGCTTTATTGTGTTGGAGTATATTTCTTCTATTCCTAATATGTTGAGAATATTTTTTCAATTTTTTCAATTTTTAATTTTTGTGGGTACATAGTAGATGTCTATATTCATGGGATACATGAGATATTTTGGTCCCGGCATGCAGTACATAATAATCACATCATGGAATATTGGGTATGCATTCCCCTAAGCATTTACTCTTTGTGTTACAAACAATCCAATAATACTCTTTTAGTCATGTTTAAATGTACAATTCAATTATCCTTGACTATAGTCCCCCTGTTGTGCTATCAAATATTGTCTTATTCTATTTTTTTGTACCCATTAACCATCCCCACCTAATATGGTTTTGATCTGTGCCCCTGTCCACATCTCATGTTGAATTGTAATCTCCAGTGTTGGAGGAGGGGCCTGGTGGGAGGTGATTGGATTGCTGGGCTGATTTCCCCCTTGCTGTTCTCGTGATAGTGAGTTCTCAAGAGACCTGGTTGTTTAAAAGTGTGTGGGACCTTCCCATTTGCTCTCTCTTCCCCATGTTCTGACCATGTAAGACGTGCCTCCTTCGTATTCGACTTCCGCTGTGTTGTATGTTTCCTGAGACCTCCCTAGCAATATTTCCTGTACAGCCTGTGGAGCTGTGTGCCAATTAAACCTCTTTTCTTTATAAATTACCCAGTCTCAGGTAGTTCTTTATAACAATGCAAGAACTGACTAATACACCACCTGTTCTCTGTCTCCCTGTACCCCCACTACACTTACCATCCTTCTAGTCTCTATCTCCGTGAGTTCAATTGTTTTGATATTTAGATCTCACAAATAAGTGAGAACATGTGATGTTTGTCTTTCTATGCCTGGCTTATTTCAATTAACATGATGACCTCCAGTTTTATCCATGTTGTTGCAAATGACAGAATCTCATTCATTTTTATGACTTGGACTTATACACAAGTACTCCATTGTGTGTAAGTACAACATTTTCTTTATCCATTCATCTGTTGATGAAAACTTAGGTTGCCTCCAAATCTTGGCTGTTGTGAACTGGGTTTCAACAAACATGGAAATGCAGATAATTCTTCAATATACTGATTTTTCACCTGTTGGGTGTATACCGAGCAGTGGGATTCCTGGATCATATAGTAGATCTATTTTTAGTTTTTTGAGGCACCTCCAAATTTTTCTGCATGGTGGTTGTACTAACATACATCCCCACCAATAGTATTCGAGGTTCCCTTTTCTCTACATCCTTGCCAGCAGTTGTTATTGAATGACTTTTGGATAAAAGTTATTTTAACTGGGGTGAGATGGTATCTCATTGTAGTTTTGATTTGCATTTCTCTGATGATCAGTGATGTTGAGATTCCTTTTGTATACCTGTTTGCCATTTGAATGTCTTCTTTTGAGAAATGTCTATTCAACTCTTAGTCATGTTTTAATTAATGACACTTTGTTCTATAGAGTTGTTTGAGCACCTTATACATGCTGGCTATTATTCTCTTATCAAATGGGTAGTTTGCAAATATTTTCTCCTGTTTTGTGGCTTATTCTGTTACTTTGTTGATTGTTTCCTTTGCTGTGCAGAAGCTTTTTAACTTGATGTGATCCCATTTGTCCCTTTTTGCTTTGTTTACCTGGCTTGTGGGGTGTCACTCAATATTTTCTTTTTCCCAGACCAATGTCCTGGAGAGTTTCTCCAGTGTTGTCCTTTAGCAGTTTCATAGTATCAGGTCTTGTATTTAAGTGTTTAATCCATTTTGATTTGATTTTTATATAAGGTGCGAGATAGGGGTCAAGTTTCGTTCTTCTGCATCCGGTTATCCAGTTTTCCCAGGACCATACATTGAAGAGACTGCCTCTTTTCCAGTGTATATCATGGCAGCTTTGTCAAAAATGAGTTTACTGTAGATGTATAGATTTATTTCTGGGTTCTGTATTCTATTCTGTTGGTCTGTATGTCTGTTTTTATGCCAGTACTATTCTGTTTTGATTACTCTAGCTCTATATTATAATTTAAAGTCAGGTAATATGATTTCTCCAATTTTGTTCCTTTTGCTTAGGATAGCGTGGGCTATTCTGAGCTTCTTATGATTCCATATAAATTTTAGGATTGTTTTTTCTATTTCTGTGAAGAATGTCATTGGTATTTCAATAGAGATTACATTGAATCTGTAGATTGCTTTGGGTAATATGGACATTTTAACAATAATGATTCTTCCAATCCATGAACATGGAATACCTTTTCATTGTTTTGTGTCCTCTTCAATTTATTTTATCAATGTTTTATAATTTTCATTGCAGAGATCTTTCATTTCTTTGATTAAGGTAATTCATAGGTATTTAATTTTATTTGTGGCTATTGTTAATGGGATTTTTTAAATTTCTTTTTTAGATTGTTCACTGTTGCCATATAGAAGTGCTACTTGTTTAGTATGTTGATTTTGTATCCTGCAACTTTACTGAATTTAGCAGTAAACAAATAGTTTTTTCATGGAGTCTCAAGGTTTTCCAATTATAAGATTATACCATCTGCAAACAAGGATAATTTGACTTCTTCCTTTCTAATTTGGATGTCTTTTATTTTTCTCTTGTTTGATTTCTGTAGCTAGGACTTACAGTACTATGTTGAACACCAGTGGTGAAAGTGAGATTCCTTATCATGTTCCAGATCTAAGAGGTGAGGCTTTCAGTTTTTCCCCATTCAGTATGATACTAACTTAGGGCTTGATATATCAGGCTTTTCTTATGTTCAGGTATGTTCCTTCTATCTTAGTTTTTTTAGTGCTTTTTTATCATGAAGGGATGTTGAATTTTATGCAATGATTTTTTAGCATCAGTGGAAATGATGATATAGTTTTTGTCCTTCATTCTGTTGACACAGTGTGTCACATTGATTAATTTGCATATGTTGAACCATCCTTGCATCTCTGGAATAAATACCATTTGGTCTTGATAAATGATTGTTTTAACATATTCTTGAATTTCGTTTCCTAGTATTTTGTTGAATATTTTTGCATCAATATTCATTAGAAATATTGGCCTTTAGTTATTTTTTGTTTGTTTTATTTTTTGTTTTTGTATATATTTTTCTGGTTTTGGTATCAGGGTGATACTGGCTTCAGAGAATGAGTTTGGAAGTATTTCCTTCTTTATTTTTTGGAACAGTTTGAGTATGATTTACATTAGTTGTTCTTTCAACATTTGGTAGAATTCAGCAGTGAAGCCATTGGGTCCCAGGCTTTTCTTTACTGAGAGACTTTTTATTGTGACTTCAATCTTGTTACCTGTTATTCATCTGTTAGGTTTTGGATTTCTTCGTGGTTCAATCTTGGTAGGTTGTGTCTAGAAATTTATCAGTTTCTTTTAGATTTTTCAGTTTATTGGTAAATAGTTGCTTATAGTAGCCACTGATGATCCTTTGAATTTCTGCAACATCAGTTGTAATGTCTCCTTTTTCATCTCTGATTTTATTTATTTTCATCTTCCCTCTCTTTTTTTGTAGTTAGTCTGGCTAAAGGTTTGTCAATTTTGTTTCTCTTTTAAAAAAACTTTTAGTTTCATTGAACTTTTGTATTGCTTTCTTCATTTCAAATTCATTTAGTTCTGCTCTGATCTTTATTATTTCTTTTCTTCTATTAATTTGGGGTTTTGTTTGCTCTTGCTTTTCTAGTAAAGATACATCAGTGGAAATGGTTATTTAGTTGAAGTTTTTCTTTTTTGATGTAGACACTTACAGCTATAAATTTCCCTTTTAGTACTTACTGCTTTTGCTATATACCATAGGTTTTGGTATGTTGTGTTCCCATTATTATTTGTTTCAAGACATTTTTCAGTTTCTTTCTTAATTTCTTCATTGACCCACTGGTCATTCAGGAACCTATTGTTCAGTTTCTGTGTGCTTATATAGTTTCCAAAATTCCTCTTATTATTGATTCGTAGTTTTATTCTGTTGTGGTCACAGAAGATGCTTGGTATTATTTCAGTTTCTTTCAACGTTTTAAACTTGGTTTGTGACCCTAACATATGATCTATCCCTAAGAATGATCCAAGTGCTGAGAAGAAAAATGTGTATTCTGTAGTCATTGAATGAAATGTTCTATAAATATTTATTAAATCCATCTTTGTTCTATAGTGCAGATTAAGTCTTATGTTTCTTTGTTGATCTTCTATCGGGGAGATTTGTCCAATGCTGAACATGGCTTGTTGAAGTCTTTAGTGATTTCTGTAAGGACGCCTATCTCTCTCTTTGGCTCTTATAATATTTGTTTATGCATCTGGATGCTCCAGTATTGGATTCATATATGTTTGCAATCATTAGTTTCTCTTGATAAGTTGACCCCTTTATTATTATATAGTGACCTTCTTTGTCTCTTCTTATATGTTTTGTCTAGGAATATAATTTGTCTGATATATGTACAGGTACTCTTGCTCTTATTTGGTTTGCACTGGCATGGAGTATCTTCTTCCATTCCTTCATTTTCAGTCTGTATGTGTCTTTATAATAAAGTGTATTTCTTGCAGGCAATAGATCATTAGGTCTTGTGTTCTCAACCATTCAGCCACTCTATGTATTTTGATTACATCATTTATTCCCTTTACCTTCAATGTTATTATTGATTAATATGGACTTACTCTTGCCATTTTGTTGTTTTCTGGTTCTTTTGGAGTCTTCTCTTCCTTCTTTCTTCTTTCCTGTCTTCCTTTTTGTGAAGGTGATTTGCTCTAGTAGTATGATTTAGTTTCTCGATTTTTATTTTTTATGTATCATTGTACATTTTTTGATTTGAGGTTGCTATGAAGCTTGCAAATACTGTCTTATAACTCATTATTTTAAGAGGATGACAACTTAACACTATTGCATGAACAAACAAAACAGTTGAAAATAAAACTTTGTCTCCACTTGGTAACTTTTTGTTATTTCTCTTTTTTTGAATAGTTAATCCATTTATATTTGAGGTAATTATTGATAGGTAAGATCTTACTACCATCATCATGTTAGTTATTTTCTGGTTATTTTGTAGATACTTTGTTTCTTTCTTCCTTTTTTGTTGTCCTCCTTTGTGGTGGCTTTCTGTAGTAGTATGCCTTGAATCCTTTCAATTTTTTTTTTTTCTTTGAGACGGAGTTTCGCTGTGTCGCCCAGGCTGGAGAGCAGTGGCGCGATCTCAGCTCACTGCCACCTCTGCCTCCCGGGTTCAAGCAATTCTCCTGCCTCAGACTCCTGAGTAGCTAGGATTACAGGTGCCTGGCTAAGTTTTGTATTTTTAGTGGGGACCGGGTTTTGCCATGTTGGCCGGGCTGGTTTCAAACTCGACCTCAGGTGATCTGCCCGCCTCGGCCTCCCAAAGTGCTGGGCTTACAGTTGTGAGCCACTGCACCTGGCCAAATCCTTTCTATTTTTATTTTGAGCTTCTTCTAAAGATTTTTGCTTTGTGCTTACCATGAGCCTTACGTAGAACATCTTATACTTACAGCATCTCATTTGAAGCTGATAACAGCCAATTTTGATTACATACGACTGTACACTTTTACTCCCCCCCACACACATTTTATGCTTCGATGTCAGAATTTACCTCATTTCGTGATGTGTTTTCCCTGACAATTTATGGTAGCTATAGTTGTTGTTAATAGTTTTGTTATTTAACCCTCATACTAGAGATAACATCTTACACATCATCATTACTAACCTAGAGTATTCTGAATTTGATACTGTTTTACTTATATCATTGAGTTTTATTCCTTCATATGTTGTATATTACTACTTTTTGGCTTTTTGTTTCAGTTTAAAGAATTCCCTGTAGCAATTCCTGTAAGGCAGAGCTAGGGGATAGTGATGTCTTTTACATTTGTTTGTCTGGGAAAGCTTTTATTTCTTTGTCGTTTCTAAATGACAGCTTAACTGGATAAATATTCTTGGTTGATAGTTTTCTTCCTTTATCATTTTGAATATATCATACCACTCTTTCTTAGAATGCAGGGTTTCTGTTGATAAGTCTGCTGATAGTCGTATTGGCACCTCTTATATGCGATATGTTTCTTATCTCTGGATGCTTTTCTTCTTTTTCTTTGTTTTTGATAATTGGTAGTTTGATTATTATATGTCTTAGTGTACTTTATTTGGGGTTGAATTTGATTGGTGACTTCTGTATTTCCTTCTGTATCTATTACTAGATTAAGAACGTTTTCAGCCACTATTTTTTAAAATATGCTTTCTGGCTTTTTTTTCTCTTCTACTTCTGCAAATCCTATTATGTGACTGTTTAGTCTCTTGATGATGTTCTATGATACCCAGAAGCTTTCTTCATTCTTTTTAAATCTTTTGTTGTTCTTGTTTATCTGACTGGATAATTTCAAATATTTTGTCTTCCAGCTTACTGATTCTTTCTTCTGCTTGGTACAGTCTGCTGTTGAAATTTTCTATTAAATTTTTTAGTTCAATCATTGTAGTCTTTATCTTACAGATTTGTATCTGGTTCTTTTCTATTCATTCTATTTCTTTGTCAGTGTTTTGCTTTGAGTATTATTTTTCATATTGTATTAAATTTTATCTCTCTATATTGTTTTAGTTCACTGAACTTCTTTCTGAATATTATTCTTAATACTTTACTAGTCATTTTATAATCTCCATTTCTTGAGGGTTCATTGTTGGAGCTTTATTAATTCTTTTAGAGGTGTCATGATTTCTCGATTCTTTTTAATCCTTGTGTCCTTCCATTGTGGTCTGCACATTTGAGGAGATAGCTCTTCTTCTGGCCTTTACAGGTGTTTTTGTTTTTGTTGTTGTTTTGTTTGTTTTTCTGTTTGGCAGTGATAGACCTTCACTATCTCATCCTCTCTGCCTTCTAGCCTGTGATTCTGAAAGGCCAGCTCATGACAACCTTGCACAGGCAGAGCTTTTCAATTCTGTGGTTGATGGGTCTCTGCCTTTGCTTTGAGGTTGAATGAAGCTGCTGACTGTGCTCTACTCTCTGGTGAGGCTACTGGCTGGACTCTGCTATCAGGCAGAGCTGCTGGCTGGTTACTGTGATGGTTCCTGGTCAGGCTGGTTATGGACTGTATTCCCTGGCTGGGCCCTTTTGCTATTTGGGATCTGTAGTTGAGCAGGGCTGCAGGCCAGGCCCTGAGTTTAGGTGGGGTCACTGTTTAGGATGGGTGGAGCCCATCCTGATGTGGAATCACCTTTTTGTTGAGTTCAGTAGCTGTTTGACCTCCCAGCTCAAGCTGGAGGAGCTGGATGCTGATGGAAAGGTCTAGCCCCTTTCCATCTCTGGAATGTGCAAAGATAGAAGTTTCCTTACCAGGTGGGGTCATTGAGTGGACTTTTGGCTAAATGGAACACTGCTTGACTTTCTGGTTTAAGCTAGTCTAGCCCCTTCACTTTTCTAAAGTGCATAGAAGTGGGAGTCTCCCTTCCTGGGCAAGGTCATTGCGCAGGCTTTTTGGCTGAGTGGAATCATCTTGACTTCCTGGGTCAAGCTGGTCTAGCTTCCACACTTCTCCAAAATGTGCAGAGGTGGGAGTCTCCCTGCCTGGGCAGTGTCATTGGGTAGGCCCTGAGGCTGAGCATGTTGACTAGCCATCTAGAAACTCGAGCTAGGTTAAACTTCCCACTCTGTTTCTGAAGGCAACCAAATCAGCTTTGTGGCTAGTATATGAGGTGTGGTTTGGTGCCACAGCTGGGAGAAACAGAAGTACCACCCAGATTTGTTTGCTGGTGACTATGACCTCTGCCTCTTTTCTTTGTTTCTATCTAACCCTGGGCAATCTAGCCATGTTATTTCCCCCTAATGTTCTTTGTGAGGTGAAACTAGGGTGAGCTTCCTGGGAAGCCTTTCCAAATGCTTGGAAAATGGGATGACTGCCTCCAATTTTCTTTTCCCCATGTAGAATATGTGTGCCCATAGAAATCCTTTTTCATCTGGCATCCTGCTGACTTGGGGAAGGGGAGTGCAGTCAAAGTAAGACCTTTCTTTTTACTCTTCTAATTTGGATTTCAATCAGTTCTGCAGACCAAATGGATGTCTCAGGCTTGTTTCAATATTGAAATTTTCAAAAGGATGTTCCGGTCTGTAGACAGTGGCTATTTGATCTTTCTCTGTGGGGTGGAGGGGTGAAGGTGTAGTCTGGCATCCTATTCCACCACTTGGTGACATCACTTCCCCCACCCAATCCATTCAGTTTCTGGGATAAATCCTATTTTATGTTGATGGGTAATCCTCTTATAAAAACTTCAATTTCGCTTTGCTCTTGGTTAATTTACCTTTTTTGTTTTTTTGCTTAAAAATTCTTATTCGACCAGTTTATTGATTAAAAAAAAAACTTGTGATCTAGTCATAATGCAGTTATACCCTACTATTAAACTTTGTTCAGGGAGGTGTAAAATTTCTCTACCTTGGTGAAATTTGGACAGATCTCATGGTTTTCTGCCAATGTTTTGGTAAAAGTTGTTTTCTATCTTTATGTTACACAGGTATTCTCAGTTCAGTGTTTAATACTAAATTCAGATTTAGCATTAACATTTTCCCTTTCCACAGCCCATTTGTACTTCAGGCTGGAAGCCTGCAGTGGCAAAGAGCAGGGACTTGGGGCTTCTCAACCTCTCTGCCTTCTACTTTCTCTTTTCCCTACCCCTACCCAGTATGATAAATTACATATGACTTCCCTAATTTTAAAGATTTAATTTTGAGGGTGGAGAAAAAATGGATAAGAAGTTTTACATTAACTGATACTGTTTCCTGGTGGCTTCATACTCTGACTTGGAAAATATTGAAAATTAACTCTTCTCAGAGCTTTCCAGCAAATTCCTTGACTGAAGTTAGGTATTGGTGGTGGAGCCAGTAGGCAGGTTTTCTATTCCATGGAATGTATTGGGGCTTTTGTTAGCTCTAAGAATGTATCCTTCATGGTCATCTTCCATTTCTCTGCTCATCTAGGCAGCTCTATTGTAGAGGATCCATGATAAATCCAGGACCTCCATTTCATCCATGTAGCTCATGTGTGTGCAACAGGAAATGTGCCTGCATTCTTCGTAATCTGAAAGGCCAATTCCTATTCAGTCTCCTCTATCTTGTCACCTTAACAACACTTTTCTCAGGTGTAAAGTAGGCACCATTACTCCTTGTATGCCACTTGGAAGGTGCCAATCTTCCTTCAAGATGTGTGTAAACTCTCCCAAGAAATCTATTTCCAAGTTCCCTCTTTGTCATTTAACATCATGGCTTGGCTGAAGTTTCTAAGAAACATGAGCCAATTTATTAAAATTTCCTAGATAAACTATCCAATGTAGAGGTGGTAGTAGGAAGCCCTGCAATGGTTTGAATGTCCCCTCCAAAACTCCTTGAGTTCCAAAACTCACTGAATCCCCAGTGTGGCAGCATGGAGAGGTGGGGCCTTTAAGAGGTGATTGGATCATGATGGCTCTGTCCTCATGAATGGATTAATCCATTTATAGATTAATGGATTATGGGTATTCATGGGAGAGGAACTGGTGGCTTTATAAGAAGAGGAAGGGAAATCTGAACTAGCACATGAGCCTGCTCAGCCCCCCTTGCTGTATTATACACTACACTGCCTCGAGACTCTTCAGAGAGTTCCCTCTAGCAACATGGTTCTCACTTTCTTCAGATGCACGTTCTCTACCTTGGACTTACCAACCTCCATCACTGTAAGAAAGAAATTTCATTTCTTATAAATTACCCAGTTTCATGTATTCTGTTACAAGCAACAGAAAATGAACTAATGAAGGTTGTCTCACCCATTTATCTGTGATATATACCATATACAGTCTTTTAAATATAGTAACAGATTATATATGTCTTCTTTTTTTGTGTGTTTTGTCCTAACATGAATCAAGTAGATTTCTCTCTTTTTTTATGTTCTGCAGTGGATTATATTATATGGGAAATTTCTATACCTGAAAGGGTTGATATTCCTTTAAGTATTTAAAGGTTTACCCATAAATGTATAATTTATATGAAATATTTTTGGGGGGAATGTTTTATAAATGCATGCTACTTTGTAAAAGATCTTGAATAACATTTTCCACCCTGACACACAGGGCTTCAGTTTCTGCAATACTTAATGGGTCTCTAGGTTTTCTGCTTGCATTAGCCAGGACAATTCATGTTTTTCAGGAAGATGTCATTTTTATTTGGCCTTTCTAATCATTAGCATGCACATGTACATTGCTTTTTCTTATGTTTTAAGCTTCTTAGAACATTCTGTTATATTCCCTTTTTCATTTATAACTGTTTGTTCGTATCAAGAAATATCTATTTTATTTATATTTTTAAAGAACTAGGCTTTGACTTTATATCATAATTCTATTCACTAAATTCCTATCTATCTTTGTAAACACCCTCCTTATCTTGCCTGTAAAGACCCTTCTCTTGCTTTGGAAACACCCTCCCTCTCCTGCCGTGATCAACCCTGATGTTGGGTAGTTCTGCAGTGGGCACGTCTGTACATGCCTACCCCCAAAGGCTGAGGAAGCTGAGAGGCTAAAGAAAGAGGCTGACAAATCCAGTTTGTTAGAAAGACACATTTAATGAGAACTTACGAACAGGGGCCATGTCTTTGTCTCAGGCAGCAGTGAGACAAGATGGTGGATCCTCACACCATTACCCTCAAGATCCAGGGCTTATATAGCATAGGGAGGGAATGCATAGGACAATCGAAGTTGACCTCTCAGGGAGAGGCAAGAATGCTGTGTGAATCTGCTTAAGGGCAGGATTTATGGTCCAGGCTCTTTTGACCTAAAGTCAAGATTTATGGTAACAGTAGAAAAAGTAGAAATCTTAGAGGCATTCCTGGAACAGGGGTTAATCAGAAGTCAGAATGGCAGATTACCATCCAAAATGGGGTTGCTTTAGGCTCCACTTGGATGGTAACATCAGCAAAGTGGCAGACTAAAAAGCTCCAAGCTCTTGTCCCCTCACAAAAACATCAAAATAAAACAAAACAAAAACTAGAAGCTGTCTGAACCAACCTTGTAGAAGCTCTGGAAATCAGTTTAAGGCTCACAGTAACCAGTCAAATGCCCAATCAAGAAAAAAGCTATATTAAAAACAATAGGAAAGTTTTGTGGCATTTTTCACTTGCCATTTCCCCCACCCATATCCTAGGGCAGGGGTTGTTTTGGTTTTGAGCAGGCAGCAGCCTAGTTCCCAGTGCTCCCTCTCCTACCAGAGGGAGCAGAGCAGATCTTATTTGCAAATTATTGTGTACAGATGTTCTAAACTGTCTGGAGGATGCCTGAAAGACTGAAGCAAGATGTTCATCTCAGCTTTGCCTAACTCAGAATGCAAGTAAGAGAAGGGGCAGGCAGTGCTCATTAAGGCTACAGGGTGAAGACAAACCTAAAGATGCCTGGGTTGGGAGGTTTTGGATGGAAGCATAAAATACACCATCTAAGGCTCAAAAGAGAAGCTGGGATGAGACTCTTAGAGAAATTAGGTCATGCAAAAGCAGCCACATATGTAGAAGTACTTAAAACTCCATGCACATGCCTAGACAAGAAGTATGCTCAGAAAAGTCCTAAGGAACCTCCAATTTTTGCTTTTGGCCAATCCCTAGGCTTAGAGGAAAGTGTGCCCTAGCACATAGGCAGTCTGCAAAGACTGAGAAAGAATGCTGTTCTCTTTTTCATTTGTGTGTTTTTTCTTCGTTTGTTTCAGCTCTTGGCACTTAAAGAAATTCTTGTTAAAACATTTTCCAGGCATGGTGGCTCATGCGTGTAATCTTAGTGCTTTAGGAGGCTGAGGTGGGAGTATCAGTTGAGACCATGAGTTTTAGACCAGCCTGGGCAATGTAACAAGACCCCATCTCTACCAAATAAATAAGTAAATAATAATAAAGAAAAAATCTAGCCAGGCATGTTGGTGCAGGACTGTAGTCCCAGCTACTGGGGAGGCTAACACAGGAAGGTCACTTGAGCCCAGGTGTTTGAAGCTACAGTGAGCTGTGGTCATGCCACTACACTCAGCCTAGGCAATAGAGTGGGATTGCATCTCTGACAAATACATACATAGATAAATAAATTTAAAACATTCTCTAAACATGAGCTAAAGCAACAGAGACTTCACTGATTAAACTTGACAAGAAATAATCTTTTCAAAAAAAGTTTTGAAATGATTCAAAACAAATGGACTCATAAAGTTAAAAGCAGCAAATCCTGGGCAAAGGAAAGAATCTGATTTTCAGAGTGACCGCATTATAATGATGAAATGCCCAAGTTTCAGGGGAAAAAAAATCACAAAGCATACAAAGAAAGAGGAAAACATGGCTTAGTCAAAGGAACAAAATAAATTGGCAGAAATCTAATTATTGGACTTACTTGATAAAGACTTTAAATAATCTCTTTATTCAAAGAGGTAAGGGAAAACATGGACAAAGAACTAAAGGAAATAGGAAAAAAGACAATAGCCATCCTAATGTGTGTGATATAGTACTTCATTGTGGTTTTGACTTGCATTTCCTTAAACCACAATGAGATACTACATCACACACATTAGGATGGCTATTATATATATATATATATATATATTTTAAAATGAGAAGAACAAATGTTGTCAAAATCAAGAAAAAATAGGCACTTAGGGATTGCTGATGGGAATTTAAAATGATTCAGTCACTGTGGAAAGCAGTATGGTGGTTCCTCAAAATTTAAACGTAAAATTAACATATGATCCACAATTCCACTTCTAGGTATATTCAAAAGAAGTGACCCAAACAGATATTTTTACGCCAATGTTTATAGTGGGATTATTCATAGTAGCCAAAAGGTAGAAACAACCCAAATGTCTGCCAACAGATGAATGGATAAATAAAATATGGTATATCCATATAATGGAATTTTTTCAGTTTTAAAATTGTATGAAATTCTTGTACATGCTACACCATGGGTGAACCTTGAAAAAAATATAGTAATTGAACTAAACCAGGCAGAAAAAGACAAATATTTCATTTATATGATTTCACTTATGTGTGGTGACCCATAGAATAGGTCAATTCATAGAGACAGTATGTGAACAGGTTACTGGGCCTGGGGTTAGGGTAATCGATGTTATTGTTTAAAAGGTACAGAGTTTCTGTTTGAGATGATGAAAAAGTTCTGGAAATGGATAGTAGTGTTGGTCGCACACCAATGTGAATGCACTGAATTATATACTTAAAAATCACTAAAATGGTACATTTTATATTGTGTGTATTGTATTTTAATTAAAATTTTTTTGATTGTTTCATGTTTAAGTGTAATTTGCTAATTTGGTTGCTGTTTGGTCCTGCTCTAATAAATCTCAGTTACATATCCATTTTATCCCCTCAGTATCTATCATCTCCTCTGTTTTCAAAGCTTCTGCCTTTGAGTAGGTTTTACAAGTTTGCCCTCTCCTTTCTACTCAAAATAGGGTCATCCAGACCAGCATCAGCATCACCTGGGAATGTTATCTGGGAATTTCGAATGAAAGACCCACCCAATTCCAGAATCTGAATTTTTTTTGTTTTTTCTTTTTTGACGGGAGTCTCACTCTGTTGCCCAGGCTGGAGTGCAGTGGTGTGATCTCGGCTCACTGTAACCTCCACCTCCCAGGTTCAAGCAATTCTCCTGCCTCAGCCTCCCAAGTAGCTGGGACTAAAGGCATGTGCCACCATGCCCAGCTAATTGTTTTGTATTTTTAGTAGAGATGGGGTTTCACCATGTTAGCCAGGATGGTCTCAAACTCCTGACCTTGTGATCCACCCGCCTCGGCCTCCCAAAGTGCTGGGACAGAATCCGAATTTTAATAAGGTCCTTTAATAACGTATGTGCCCATTAAAATGTAAGAAGCTTTCCATGCCATTAAAGGATTTTCAGCCATGTTAATTCTATTCCCTTGCCTTCAGTACAGATTTCAATTTGGCATTTGTGGCTAGGATTTCTTGCATTCATCTCTCAGTGTTGCAGCTTCTTCTCTCTGTCTGTGCCTTCATTTCAGAATGTTCTTTTGCCTCCCCGTTCTTCTTGAAAAGAGGCCATATCCACTCATACATTTAGTAACCAGACACAGGTCATCTAAATTTTTCAACTTTAGCTTTTTCTATGCTTCCATTGCTTTTCATAGAACATCTCTTCTTCTATTCAGAATGTTTATGCTTTGGTGGGACAGATTCATAGAAACAAAGTGACTTTCTAGTGCCAATATGGATGTGGTGATCTTGACTTCAGTTTCACTCTCATATTGGAGGCTGTAGCCTCTAGGATATAAATGTGAAGATCAGGTTAAGGTGATCCATTTGTTACGCCTAATTGTCACTTAATTAGGGTAGGTCTTTCTGTCTGGCTGCTGAGTTATAACTAAACCT
This sequence comes from Homo sapiens, assembly GCF_000001405.40. Lineage (NCBI taxonomy): Eukaryota > Metazoa > Chordata > Mammalia > Primates > Hominidae > Homo > Homo sapiens. The sequence continues at coordinate 26,592,185 of NC_000015.10, read as the reverse complement.
TGAAATCAGACACACTTTGGGTAGAGTCTTGAGTGACATTTTCTACCCCAGCATGCAGGGCTTCCTCCAGCTGTGACAGCTTACGTTCAAGCCTCTGGGTTCCATGCATTTGACCATATCCCCCCAACTACATTCATCCAGGGAGTCATGTTCTCTGAGGCTAGAGACACAGATAGCAAGCTATTATTTTTGTGCTGTCTGATGGAGCTTTCTGTGGTAATGGGGGTAGTCCGTAATCTGCATAGTACAGTAGCTACCAGCCAGTCACAGAGGGCTGTTGAGCACTTGATATGTGACTAGAACATCGGAGGAGCTACATTTTTAATATTATTTCATTTAAGTTGATTTAAAATAATTAATTCTAAATGTAGATATAAATAGTCACACATGGTTGGTGGTTACTGTTTTGGACAATGCAGTTCTAGATTGTGAAACCCCCAAGTGCCATAATTAGATCCAGATAGTTGGAGTGACTCAAAGTACTTTAGTGATTCTTTCAAGCTGTTTTCTCTCTTCCTCTTCGGAGGGTTGAACCTGCGGTGTAGTCCTTAAGAACTTCTCATTCCACCCTCTGGGCAGTTCCTTTCAGGTATTCTAGAATCTGGCATACCCCTTTCGTTCTGGCTTGAGCACTATTGCCAGTTTGCGGCTTTGTGTAGCGTGTTGCCAAATTCTTTGAAAATCAAGAGGAGGTACATTGGGCCTGTCTCATTTGCCTGATGGGACTACTCATTCACCAAAATTAGGATTCCTAAATGGTAGTGGAGTTATGCTTCAATATAGAAACAGATGTCCCTCTTTTAGAAAAATGCTGTTTGCTAAGGGTTTTGCTATCTTATGACACTCCTCAGAAGTATCAGGTTGTGATCCCTACGTAGCGATAAGAGAATTTATGCTTCTGTATGTTTGCAGTTACTTGTGTTGACTATCGTATCGGTTATCTATTGCCGCAAGAGTGCTGTGTAACAATCAGCTAGAAAGCCTCAATGCATACAATAACCCCAAAGTGCTCATTGCTTGTGTGTCTGGGTTGTTAATGAGCATCTCTGCTGATTCTGGCTGGCTCTCTCACAGGCTGGGTATGGGAGACCCATTAGCTTACCCAGGGTAGTCTCTGAAAAGATGAATGGTCACCTCAGTCCTGCTCTCTGTGTTCATTCTCCTGAAACCAGCAGACTCTTCTGGGCATGGCTTTCTCACAGCAGAGGAAGAAGCAGAAAAGCCTAGAAAAAGAATGCATCTTAGGGCCTAAGCATGGGGCTGGCACGTGGTCACTTCCAGCCTTTATATTAGATAAAGCAAGTCACAAAGTTGGCGCACATTCAGGAGGCAGGCAAACAGCCAGCTCCTCTTTGGTGAGTAGAGTTGTAATGACATGGCTGGGAGAGTGGATTCTGGAAAGAGGAAAGGAATTGGCTGCTAACATAGTCAACTTACCACAATCATTTTCCCAGCAACATCTTCAAGGAGTTCCCATAGCAAAAGCCTTTGGATAGTTCTATGAATGTGTTTTCTTATGTATTTTGTAAAGTAAAACAAAAATCGGGATAAACGAAACATTGGCCTATGTCCTGTGACTTCTTCACATTGAATAACAAGCATTTGCTCAAGGAAAATGCTTGGTCTGAATTATTTGACTTAGGTCCAACATCCTAGCATCTGAGTTCCTTTTCCTGGTAAAATGATAGCTGCCTCCACCAGCCAGTGCATCCTGCATCAGAGGAACGATGAATGAAGATGAGAGTGAGTTGCCGTAGGGTGACTGCAAAGGGCCAAATGGTTACCTGTGAAGCAATGCCTTGGCTGTGGTGCTAACCCGTGGCCACAAATACAACTCTCGCCCAGATTTCTGGAACATTTGGGCATCTCGAGTGCAAGCCAGAAGTCACACCAAAGGAGCTACTAACTTGCTTCCAGGTCCTGCTAGCTTAACAAGATTGTGATCAGAGATCCAGGACTCCCCTGAAGGCGGCATTTCATGTGGTCTTCGCTGCAGCTGAAGCCATAAAGCTCTCGCACACTGATGTTGGATTCAATTCTGCAGGATTGAATTCTGCAGGTAAGAATTGAATTCTGCAACATAAAGATTCACGGAGACCACTTGACCATAAAAATAGGGGATTCTTATCCAAGCCTCTTGACCGGTGACCCCGTGGAGGTTCTCAACAGAGTCCATAACCATGCACAGCCAGGACTCATGCTGGGAGTGCTTGTTAGCGGGAATGTGTCCCCGCTGACTCTTACATTTGGGACATTAAAGCCAAGAAGGACTAAACCAACTCCTTCTCTTTCCACATTTTGCTCGAGTCCCACACTTCAGCTTATGCCTGGTCCTCTTATCTTGAAAGTCATTTGTTCTGAGAATATTTACAGGACACTTACTCTGCGTGTGTGGTTGGGGTTGCTGCCGTTCTAGGTACTGGGGAGAGAACCGTGGACAGGAGCAATAAAGTCCTGCTCTTGTGGGCTCACCTGGGGGTGAGTGAGGGGCCAGCAAGCTAACAAATAATGGACATTCTGATTTGTAGGTGTAATGAAATGTAATGAAAACATTCAAAAGGAGGAAGCTGAGGAGAGATAGAGACCAAGATTGTTTAGTTCCAGAAGCTTCTCTGAGAAAGCTGGTCCAGGACCTTGGCATACAGTGACCAGCCAGGGAAATCAGAATCAGTGCTTGCAATGGACATTTTAATCTGTTCTCTCCAGTGTTTACAGTGAATCAAAACTATTCATACAAATGGGGGAAGAGATTGTGTGCATTGCTGGATTCACTCTAAGCATGAATCCCAGACTCTGACCATATCCAGCCTTTCCCAGCAACACTGACAAGGAGCACTTTTATACCTAAGTCAACAGGTAGATGTTTCAGACAAATGTTTGCAGAAGTGAGCAAGTCCCTGACCATCAGACAGCAACATTTACACAGCAGTCCTTATGAAGAGAAGTTTGTATTTATGCAATTCATGAAGAGTTTGCATCTGCCCTTATTATGATTTATCAATGTGTGAATATTTTAAAAATGGAAATGCTAATGCCAGAAAGTATTTCACAAGCTTAATACAACTGAGACAAAATGAAAACCCTTCAACACACTGACATCCGTGGATCTTGACATCCTTGACTCAGGCGTGCAGGGAACGGTCTCTAAGGGTAGTTGAAGACAGCGTCCAAAGACAGTGCGTCACCAGAATCTCAAAATATGATTTTACACTTACTAGAGATAGTGCTCTCCTTACAACTTCAAGTTTATTTCTTACATGTTAATACTTTTAATTCTTAATCATATCTTTAGACATGTATTATTTGTAAAAGCAGGAATGATCTAATAAATGACCCTATTCCACAATGGGTGGGAAGCTGTTGGATTAAATGTCACTATAATTACTGTAGGAATAGCATGTAGAATATTTATTTTCGGCATTTACTCATTATATTTCCAATTTGACATATCTAATGAGAATGTTATGAATATATATGTATATATATGCCTATAATATGTGTAAGTATCAATATTTATATCTCTGTCTACATAAATTTATCAACCTTATTGCTCTTCATTCAAAACAAGATTCTCATTTCCTGAGTAGGCCTTTAAAAGTTGAATGTATCTTGTATGTTTAAGGTAAAAGAGGTAATATAGATGTAGCAGAGCATAGGGTTCAAACTGCTTGGATCTGAATGCCGCATCTGCCTTCCAGTGGCATTGGGAACGTGGTCAAGCTGCTTACTCTTTCCAAACCTTGGTTCACTCATCTGCACAATGGATATAATAATAACAATACCTCTATAATATGGTTGTTGTGAGAGTAAACACGTGTGTATTAAAGTACTTGGCACAGAACTGGGCACTGAGCAACTGCTCAACTGGTGTTCCATAAAGTACAGATATGACTGGTGGTTGTCCTGGGCACTGAGATGATGAATTAGCACCATCCCTGTAACGTTGTCCAGTTCTCTAGTCCTCAGTCCTCTGTCTCTTTGTCGACTTTTTTGTTTGTTTTTTCTCTCTACTTTCAGCATTCTCAAAGTATGACTGTAAAGAAAGGATATATTGGACACAGGCGTGTCTTCTGTCACTTGGCCATTATCTTCCTCTGCTTCTCTATCAGAAACATACCTCGTAGTCACAGAGACCCTAAGCACTGCTGTCTCTCAATCATAAAACAAAAAATAAACAATCGAAAGAAAAAAAAGGAACCTACTGAAGAGTAATACTGAGAGAGCCTCACCCAGTCCTATTGGATTCCGATTGCTGAGCTTCACCACTTAGGAATAACAGTGGAATTCTCAGATCACAGAGGGCTGGAGAAGGTGGCACTAGATGTTTGTTAAATTATTCTGTCAGAACGAAAAATATATATATTTATTAGGGAAAATATAAAACCATGTGTGTGAGTGTTGGGGATTACACAAGTGGAGCCCAGATGTCACTGTGGCCTATCTGCCCTTGGTTGATCTCCGTGCACTAGGCTTGAACTCTCAGTTCTACCGTCTGTGAAATTCCTCAACCCTTCTGTAACCCTTCTCAACCTTAACGCAACTCCTGCACAAGCTTTGAGAAGCTGCTCCCTGGAGAGGTGGAGCACACATTCGATGATTTCTGCAACATCCCAGGGTCGATTCACTCAAAAGGCCCACTCTCCCAGCCTGTGATGAGTTTAGCCAACTTGGATGAGGATTTTGTGGCTTAGGGAGGGGCATGCTCCTGCTCCACAGCCTACTTTATTCGCTCTGCTCCCCACCCCTACTCTCTCTCTTTTTGCCTTTTTATCCCAGCTGTTCAGCTACTTCTTCTATCTTGATGGTTACCTTTTGCCGCATGAGCAAGAGCAAGCTCATGTGCCTCACTCTTCACTCTGAGAGGGTTTTCTGAGTATTTCTTCCAAATAAAGAAAAGTAGTGAGTAGATGTGTCTACTTTATTCCTCACATAAAAAGAAAAAAGTGGCTCCATTTTTTTAATTGTAAATTGACAGTGTATAATTGTATAGATTTATGGGTTCTGTGAAGAGGGAGTTGCGTGGCGGAACAATGTATGGGGCACAAAATGATGTTACGATTTATGAATCTAATGTGAAATAATTAAATCAAGCTAGTTAACATATCCATCACCTCAAATTATTAACATTTTTTTGTGGCAAGAACATTTGAAGTTTACTTAGCAATTTGAAATGTACAATACTCTACTGCTAACTATATTCACCATGTTCTGCAATAGAATGCACAAAAAGAGAAAACATATTCTCCCTGTTTGAAATTGTCTACCCTTTGCTCATCACCTCCCCATTTTCCCTCCTCCAGCTTCTGCCACCACCATTCTACTCTCTACTTCTATAAGTTCATTGTTTTAATTCCACAAATAAGTGAAAATGTGATATTTGTCTTTCTGGGCCTGACTTATTTCACTTAGCATAATGTTCTCCAATTCCATCAATGTTGTCACAAATTTCAGAATTTCCTTCTTCGCTTTCTCTCTCTCTCTTTTTTTTTTTTTTTTTTTGAGATGGAGTCTTACTCACTTTGTCGCCCAGGCTGGAGTGCAGTGGCCCCATCTCAGCTCACTGAAATGGGGCTCCATTTTATAGCCAGCATTATAACAGAATGAGAAGACCTGGACAGCTACTGTACTTGGTGTACTTGGTGGGAAAAGGGCATGCTGTCACCAATTCTTCTAGCCTCAGGTTCCCCTTCTCCCTCCAATAATGTGACCACTGCACATGGTGTCCCCGAACAATTTGGGCATGTTTATGTGTATGTATGCGTGTGTGTGTGTGTGTGTGTGTGTGTGTTAGGGGTGGTTTGAAAAGTGAATAAGAAAACAGTAAGAAACAGTAATTTCAATCATTGACTCAGTTCAAGTGAATAGGTACCAAAATATATAAGAAAATTAAGCCAGGCGCGGTGGCTCACGCCTGTAATCCCAGCACTTTAGGAGACCAAGGCGGGTGGATCGGGGTCAGGAGATCGAGACCATCCTGGCTAACACGGTGAAACCCTGTCTCTTCTAAAAATGCAAAAAAATTAGCTGGGCGTGGTGGCAGGCGCCTGTAGTCCCATCTACTTGGGAGGCTGAGGCAGGAGAATGGTGTGAACCTGGGAGATGGAGCTTGCAGTGAGCCAAGATTGCGCCACTGCACTCAAGCCTGGGCGACAGAGCAAGACTCCGTAGCAAAAACAAACAAACAAACAAACAAAAAGAAAATTAAAAAATTTGAACATTGTCAGTGAAGGTTCTTTTCTTCTTCATAAAGATTCATAATTTTAGCAGAACTCTATTCTAATTTTGCATTATAGGCATCTTGTGTGGTTATTGGGTTGTCAATCTGCCATAACACATGCCAGAGTTGAAAGGTGTGAGTCTGGAACTTCAGTTGGCTAGAATGTTAAATGCTGTAGAAAAATATGCCAAAGAGCTATGTGTTGATTTGGGATCACAGAATGTAATGCACTCCTTGACTCCATGGATAAGGGGAAGTGTTATGACATTTGGAAGGAACACACTTTCACCATTGGTATGGATTTTATTGATGATGTCTGCATGGTGCATGCATGCTATTTGCATAAAAAATTAAGCATTGACCTGTGTGCTAAATATGTTGGCATTATCCCTCACTGCTTCTCTCAATCTTTGGAAAGTAGAATGTTGCTCAACCTGCTTGCTTAACCAGATGCTAATGGAAGGACATACTTTATCACCTGAGTTTAGGGTAAATGACACAAGTCCATCAGTATTGGCACATGTCTAGTGTTTTACAGGTGTTTGGATTAGGATCTGTTGGTAAGAGTCGGGCTTGCTCATTACCTGCAGCATTAGTAGGTTTGTTGTGAATATTCATAATGAAGATCATTCAGAAAAAGCTCAACACTGGGCTTCAAGAAAGATGAAACCTGAAGGACAGCTGGGGATTGAAGGTGACTCTAGGGATCTCAGGAGAAAGCATTCTCACATTTTCATTCTTACTCCCCATCACTGAATGGGCATAGCCAGGACTGCCAGTTACACAACTCCTGCACAGGCTTTCAGAAGCTGCTCCCTGGAGAGGTGGAGCACACATTCAGCAAGGCCACCCGCTGTGGCCTGGGGCACAACTACGACTGCAACCTCAACTCTACTTGCTGTACCTTCTCTCCCTCTATGATGCTTTCTCATCCTTTGCTCTCCAGTTTGAAAACAGCATCACAAGCCTGTAAACCATGGCCTTGCAGATGCACTTCCACTCTTATCTTTACTGTTCAATTCATTCCTATGGAAGAGAGTCTCTTTAGCTCCACTCTGCCTTTCAACTCAGGCCATGTCATGTATCTCTCACCCACTAATGGCTTGCTGTCTTTGACTCAGGAACCCACCACAGTCCAGTCACCTTTGACAGTGGTGGGGAAAGGGTGGGGTTCTAGAGATATGTAGTGTAAAATATAATAACCCTAATAGTTGCGTTTTCAAAGAAGCAGCTGTGAGTAAGTTGGTCTCCCTAAGAGAAGGCTGCAGGCAGAGTAGGAAGTGGACTTGACATTTCTAGAAGTATTGTTTCTCAGTGTAGGGTTGGCTTAACCATTGCATGGTGGAGCCTTAACTGCTTTTGGGAAGTAATTATTTCCATAGCTTTAGCTGGCCCCAAGAGAACTTACCCACCCAATTTTGGTTCATAATTGATAAAATAGGAGCCAAATATTTGTTTTGAAAAGATAGATGATCACACAGTAAAACAATTTCTGTAATAGCAGAATCCAGCCCAACAGACAACTATAATAAAATAGAAAGAAGCAGAGGTGAGGTTTAGAGTTCCAAAGTGTATCTGTAGCTACTTTAACACTTCCCGTGGAAAGTCAAAGACCTCAGTCTTAACCTAATTGGTGGTGTCCCACACATAGGCTCTGTCTGTAGTAGAGAGGCTAGAGAGCCTATAGACAAGAAGAGAAACAAAAATTGAAGGTAAGAACTCCCTTGGAAACCCCTTTCTCTGCCACTGATTATCCAAAGTCAATAAGACCTAGTAAGTTTTTGGTACAATATGGTGACTATAGCTAATAACAAAGTGCTGTATACTCAAAAATTGCAAGAGGGTAGATTTTGCATTTTCGTCACACACAAAAAGAGCTAAATGGGTGATACAGGCCAGGTGCGGTGGCTCACGCCTGTAATCTCAGCACTTTGGGAGGCCGAGGCAGGCGGATCACGAGGTCAAGAGGTCGAGACCATCCTGGCTAACATGGTGAAACCCCGTCTGTACTAAAAAATACAAAAAAATTAGCTGGGCGTGGTGGCAGGCGCCTGTAGTCCCAGCTACTCGGGAGGCTGAGGCAGGAGAACGGCGTGAACCTGGGAGTTGGAGCTTGCAGTGATCTGAGATCATGCCAGTGCACTCCAGCCTGGGCGACAGAGCAAGACTCTGATCAAAAAAAAAAAAAAATAGGTGATACAATACATTTGTTAATTACCTCAATTTAACTATTTCACAGTGTATATATATTTCAAAACATCATGCTGTATATTACAAATGTATACAATTTTTATGTCAATCAAAAAATAAATGATTAAAAATATATAATAAAATAAAGTTTTGTGTTTTTTTTTTCCTTGATAAATCTGGTCTATATTATGCTGAAAAGAGTTTCTTATTTACTCAAGTTTCTCTCTATATATAGTGAATGATGTTTAGCCAGGCGTACTTTGGGCAGGGTTCCCACAGGGGCTTACTCGTTTATCTAAGAGGAGTCTCCCTGATACATTTCTCAGCCCTTCTTTAATATCTTCCCTCACCCTGTGTATTTCAGAATCACCACGACAGCAGCATGCATGATGGACCTCAGGAGATACCCCCTGGACGAGCAGAACTGCACTCTGGAAATTGAAAGCTGTGTGTATCCGTATCTGTGTTTCTTTCTCCTCCTATTTGTACTTTTGATCCTTTTGTCATTATTTAGCATCTTTTTTCAAGGCATCCATAATTTTTTTGACATAGAAAGAGGGGAAGACACAGAGAGAGAAACACAGAGAGAGAGAGAGACTCAGTATAAAAGAGTTCTTCATTCTAATCTGATTAAGAGAGTCTGTTTGCTGCGCTGAAATAGAAGAAAACAAATGCCCCTCATTTCGGTCCATTCAGTGAGAGGAGAGCAAACACCGAGATGCTATTTTCCTACAATATGCTTCATCACTCATGAGTGGCTGCACTGCTGGGACCCTGGGCGGTCAGAGTAAAACTCATTTCCCATCAGGAACTCGGCTTGACAAGCAGGCTATTTCTGCATCTCGGCAATTTTCTTCAATTTGAGTAGTATTCAGATGCTTTATTGATAATTCAGCATTGAGTACTCCTATATGAGAGATGAGAACTGCATCCATAACATCTAACAATGTCCCTCCTGCTACCTAAACTACACCTCCTGGCATATCAGGATATGGTTTTTGTTGTTGCTTATCTTGGCCTATTATGAACTGGTTTATAACTAGTCTCAATTGGATTTAGGCTTGTCAATATTTATACTGAATTTTAGGGGGATAAATGACTTTGACTTTGCAGTCCCACTTGAAACAATTGTGGTAAGAAGCGAATGTCTTTGTGAATGAACATATTGAGAAACTGCACTGGTGGTAGGCTAGTGTAGATCCTGGGTGAGGCTGGCCCCATGGTGCCCCTCACTTCCACCCTACATCACTGTCGTGTTTTCTGAGAGCTGTGCTTTCACAGAATAAGAAAGACATAAGCCATGTCAAGTGATGCAAAGTTGAATTCTCTGGGGACTTTTACCTTAGAGGACAGAAGGCTCAGGGAAAAGATGATTTCCCAGTATTTGAAGGATGATCTTAAGAAGTTAACTGGCTTCAGTGTGGCCAGAGAGCACAACTCCAGTGAGGGCACAACTCCAGTGGAGGAAGTTTCAGGAAGGCCAATTTGGAATCTAAGTAAGGCAGCAGCTCCTGTTTCAACTGTCAAGTCACACAGTGCATGACTCCTGAGAGAGAGGACTCTGCCGCTGTGGTGTATGGGCAGTGGTGTATGATGAGCAGGAAGATCTGCTGTAGAAGAGGTTCTCTCCATGTGTGAGGTCCCTTCTCTGCAGAGAATCATGGTTTAATCATTTGAGTGGAAGAAGGGATTCTCCTGATTTTCTTCTGGTCTGACTACACATGTCTCCATATTGGGAATAGATAAAAGAAAAATGGTGTCTTTATTTCCACACTTGAGGGCAAATTCATCAACCCAAAGTTTATCCAACAAATACTTACTGGACATTATGTAGGCACGGTTGTAAGCAAAGGGATATTTAGAGATGACAGACAAAACACCTGCCTTTGTGGAGCTTATAATCCACAAAAGACAGGAAGCCATTAGACCAAAATCAAATAGTGGTAGTGCTTTGAAGAAAGTAAAGTCTGATAAAAGCATAGTGAGTGATTGCGAGGTTGCCTGTGAGATGGAATGCCAGGGAAGGCTTCTGCAAAAGGTTTTATTTCAGCCAAGATGCAAATGTGGGAAAGAATGAGCTATGTGAAGATCTGGAGGTGTGTCCCTGCACAGGACCCAGGAGCCCTGGGCAGAGCACGCTGGTCTGAGCTGCAATAAGAGACCAGTGAGGCCTGGCTGGGTGAATGAGAAAGGAGGGATGAAGGCCCAGGGGTCAGGCCTGTAGGTTCTTGAGGTTCTTGTAAGGAGTTTGTACTTGTTTTGCTATTAATAATTTCACTAGGAAGCATTTGCAAGTTTTAAGTAGAGTCTGCCACTTACCATGTGGAAAGATGCATGTTTTATTAAAGAGAGGAGAGTAGGTAGGACCAGGAAGGTGGCATTAGCTGTGGGGAGCAACTCTTCCCCACCCTACAGCTTTGGTCCATTTGTTTGACTAACATTAAATATTGAGTGAATATTTTTTCTTATATTTTATGTTCAAATTAAAAAGTCTTATATTGAGATAATATTGTTCTCGCAATCTCTGCTTTAAATGATCTTATTGACAAAATTGACCTAATGTTTTAGGAGACTCCTGGGTGTTACAAGTAAGAATGCACCTATTGCCCCACTTACTCATCCTCAAGAAGCCATGATGAATCACGCTGTAAATATGAGCACTGTGCTAAAGCTGGATTTGGAGCTATAATCCAGCTAACGACCACTGTTCTTTCTGATGAGACCACCTGTGCCCATCTCTAAGGGTCAGGAATATCCCAAGAACAGGCATTTCTAAGGTTGGCAAACTTCGTGGCCAGGAAGAGCTGATAAAACCATCCAAATATGCCAAGGAGAACATTCCTTTTGCTCTGAGCTTACCTCATGTAATCAACCACTGGTGAAATTCACCTTCAGTATTTGAACTTTGAACTCTCTCAGAAGCTCTTGAGAGGAGTATGCCTTTCTGGAATTCTTCATACTTCAATTCTCATTCTCTTAAAACTATCTTATTCATTGCAGTTGAGATACATTTTAAATTCATCTCTGTGTGGTGTCTGGGTCAGCTCTGAAGTTACACTTCGCAAATAGAACTCTGGTCAGAGCACCCATTCTCCCCAGCCTCTCGACTTTTCAGTACCAACCTGGTACAAATAAAATGGCAGCAGTAACATGAGAATATTGGAAAGTTAGTTCTTTGATGACACTTCCCCTAGACAAGCACATTAAGCAAATCTACTCAAAACATAGCAGAGCCGCAACCTCCATGTTAATGATAGTTTATTTAGCCGTGCATTTATACGAAATGGTGATGTTTGCTGTCTCCCTGCTTCTCTCTTGGCAGATGGCTACACCACGGATGACATTGAGTTTTACTGGCGAGGCGGGGACAAGGCTGTTACCGGAGTGGAAAGGATTGAGCTCCCGCAGTTCTCCATCGTGGAGCACCGTCTGGTCTCGAGGAATGTTGTCTTCGCCACAGGTGAGTCCTGCATCCACTTATAGTCCCTTCAGGGGCACTGGCTCCATGGGCGTGACTGGAGTGACAAAATGTGCTGCCATAGACTCACAGCACAGGATCATCGGAAGGAGTGCTGTTATCATTCACACATCACACACACCCCTCCTCTCTGTATCTAAAGGAGAGTGATAGGCTTTGATGGGGAGGAAGGCTCACCTGAGAAGAAGATGCTCTCTGGGACTGGTTATTGAAAAGACCGAGGATGAATTTCACCAATCAATGTTTGATAACATAAGAATCTCCCATCTTTGGGCAGACAACAGGTCATTGATGACCTTGGAGGCAGGAAGGAAGAGGAAGGAAAGAGGATGACCAGAGGAGGTAGGTGCTGTTCTCCTCCCAAGAGTAAGCTGCCTTTGCTCCACTGGGGTTAGCAGCCAGCCTTAGTGGTCCAGGAACTTGCGCCACCTCCAGTCCGCCTTGCCCCATTAGACATGGTCATCTTCTCCTGATGTTACCTGATGAAGGTTGCCTTAGCCTGGGTTTCCTTGTCATCTTTATATCAACTGCCCCAAGATTGAGATGGCGTCTTCTGCTCCTCAGTCTGTTCTTGCACAGGTTTTTACTAAATTACTAAATGTATATTTTGCAGTGTGCAGTGCTGACTGTGCTTACTGAATGCTGTGCATTGTAATTGGTATAATAAATGAAAGTGCTTTGTAAAATGTAAAGCATTTCAGAGATCACCAACTCTTGGTTGAAAATGCTAAGAGAAGGCAGAGCTGTTCATGTAGCTTGAACAAAGAGTGCATAAAAATTGACCCCAGTCCTGTGATGACAACCATGAAGCCAGTGAATGGGTTGGTTGAATGCTCCTGACCCATGGCCACCAGCTTCGCCTTCATGTGGCTAGCTCCGACTCATTCTTAGGCTTCATCTGGCGCTACTTCCTCTGGGAAGCCTTTTCAACCTGCTTGACCCGGCACAGCCCCCCAGGCTGGATTAAGTGGCTGGGGTGCATCTCCACAGGGCAGTACTGACCACCTTCCAGCTCTGCTCACAGCTCACGGTGCCTGCATCTGCAAGGGCACACCTCCCTGAGGAGGGACCTGCGTCAGTCATGCGTGGTTCATCCTCTCCCCACCCCCATCTTGAGTAATGCCCAATGTGTCCTGGGTGTGTGGCAGTTGTCACTGAGTAAGTAATTGATCAGTCAAGGTCACCAGCAACGTTCCCTCCTCTCCACCCCAGCCCCTAAGAGCCAAAGTACATGATAAGTAGATGGAAAAGCCTGAATTTTTAAGACACCAATCAGATCCTTTTTCTATGCAGTGCCACTTTATCCTCCACCTCAAGAGGTCTTGCAGATGTCCCTGCATTCTCCGGAGAAGACGCACTGAGAGGTTTACCTCAGGGAGAAATGAGAGCCAGCAGGAACTTGGGCTTATCATTAAGAAATAGTGTCCACAACCAAGAACGTTGGCCTGTGAGGCATTGAAAAAAATGATATGTTACTTCTAAAACTGGGTTTCAAAGTGTTCCATGCCCTGAGTGGTAGGAGCTAAAGGTCTGCTCAGAACAGAGGCTAGCACACTCACTGTGGAGTAATCCTGCCCATGCAGCCTTTGCCTAGAAAGTTGCAGAAATGGCCATGAGCGTGCTGCTATGAGGATTTCTTACTGCATTTTCATGCAGCCTCATTAGAAAGCCAGGTGAGGTGTTTGTAGAGGGTATGCTGCTTCCGTGGGGGACCACAGCCACTTAGAATGACTTCCTGAATCCACTAACTTGAAAGCACTTAGAACCACCTTCCTCCAGGTGCAATCCCCATCTTTCTTTTCAGTCTGTATGTGGTAGAACACATCCTAAAAATGTCTGGAGAAAATAGGCACTACAGGTATGTGGCAGAACACTTAAACTATTCACAGACCCATGGGGCTACCAGAATGCAGTATCATGTCTTCCTTCCAGCACATACTGAGTCCTGCATTTATTGGGTGTAGCGCAAGAGCTCCACATCAGTCAGTTACAAAATCTCCCAACTTTCAAAAGCTTGCACTTTAAAGTTATTCTAATTCACCTGTGCATGAAGAAATGGCATAAGTTGCAGTGTTCTAAAGATATTTTAATATTAAATGTTATCCTAATTTATTTTCCTTTCCACAAGTATTCTGAATTAATAAGAATGTGACTAGTAAACAAGATTGAAGGACTTTCTAGCCTGAGAGAGTATTCCCGAAAAAGGGGATTAGAGGCTGGGCACAGTGGTTCACACCTGTAATCCCAACGCTTCGGGAGATCAAGGCAAGAGGGTCAGTTGAGGCCAGGGGTTCCTGCCCAGCCTGTGAAACACAGTGAGACCTCATCACTATAAAAAATAAAAGATTTAGTCAGGCCACGGTGGCAGCATCTGTGGTCCCAGCTATTCAGGAGGCTGAAGTGGGAGGATCGCTTGAACCCAGGAGTTTGAGGCTGCAGTGAGCTATGATTGTACCACTGCAGTCCAGCCTGCAAGATGCTGTCTCCCCAGAAAAAGGGTGTTGGGGGGAGCTAGAAAAGAACAAACACTCTGGAAGTTTATTAGGACCAGACTATGATGTCACCAGGCGGTAGGAATTTTTCAGCTCCCCTATAATCTTATGGGACCCTGTCCATTGACCTACAGGTCGTTACGAGGGGCACGACTGTAACTTGTTTTTCTCCCCCTGCAGATGACTTTGTGATTTTTCTGTTTGTTTTTGGTTTTCCAAAACTATGATGTACCAAGTTGCAGCTTTCTCTGTGATTATTCTTCTTGGAGTTTTTTGTTTGTTTTGTTTGTTTTTTTCAGACAAAGTCTCACTCCATCACCCAGGCTGGAGTGCAGTGGCACGATTTCCTCTCACAGCAACCTCTGCCTCCTGGGTTCAAGCGATTCTCCTGCCTCAGCCTCCCTAGTAGCTGGAATTGCAAGCACATGCCACCATGCCTGGCTAAATTTTGTATTTTTAGTAGAGACGGGGTTTCGCTGTGTTGGCCAGGCTGGTCTCGAACTCCTGACCTCAAGTGATCTGCCTGCCTCAGCCTGCCAAAGTGCTGGGATTGCAGTTGTGAGTCACTGCACCTGGCCCTTCTTGGAGTTTATGGACCTTCTTGAATCTCTGGTTGGATGTGTGTCTGAGGGTTTGGAGCATCACTGGCCATCATCTCCTTAAGGGCTGCCTCTGCCCCATTCTCTCTTCTTCTAGAACCCCAATTACACACGTACCCGATCTTGTCATCATATCCTGTCTATCTTGCTCATTTCTTTCTGTATGTTGCATTTCATTTTCTTCTCAAGCTTCATGCTGGAAATGCTCTTTTGGTGTATCTTTTAGAGAGGATCTATGCTTGCTTCTACTAGACAGCTGGAGGCATTAGCAATCTAGGATAAGCTTCATCTACTTTCTAGGGTATGAGTAATTCTGAGTTCAGGCTCAGTCTTTGAACACGCATAAGTCCGTCTGGTTTATCTGTACATCTTGAGCAAAACTTTCCGTGTAAGTATAACCAACCCAAGCTGTAGGAGGTTTATTGTGGCCCCCTTCTTGATGGCCTCTATGTCCAGTGCCTGCCCCCTTAGTCCCCTGAGTCTTGGATGTTCTAATTAGCTTCTCATCTTTCCCTTATGAAAACTGCAGGTATCTGAAACATGGAGCTCTTCTCTCTTTTTTCTTTCTCTCTCACATCTTGATACAGATTTCTTACTGGCTTTTTATCTCTCCATTAAAATCTCTCCAGATTTAAATAAATCCTCAAGCAGATTTATTTAAATTCTGTCCATTTTTTCCAGTCGGTTTCAGTAGATTCTATAATACCCAAACCCATGTTTTATTTTTCACTCCTCTTTATATTTCTCAGAAAAGTTTCCAGTTGTTTTGATATGTAATTCTTATTTAATTTGCACTACTAATACATGAGCGTAAAAAAGAAGAAAATTTAGGAAACCTTTTTTAAAATTTCATTTCAGGAAATTCTGTATTTTTCTGAAAACATTATAAAGAGGAAACATTTATCCAGAATACTCTGTTGTTGAAGAAAGCACTATAAAGCTCAGTCAGGATATTTGAGCCGTTGGCTGTAACAGTTACAAGCTGTGAAAACGTGAGCAAAGCGCTTGCATAACAGACAGATTACGGGATCAGGTTAAAAGAAATACTGAATTAAATTTATTTCAACAAACATATTCAGCTAAAAATCAAAGAGCTCCTCAAATATCACTGTGAACACACTGATCAACAGATTGAAACTTCAGCTTTGTACTGGTCTTGAAAATGTGTCCCGCTCACCAGCAAAATGTGGGATATACAGTTTTTGCCAAATCTGAAATTTACTTGTCACTTTAGAGTTGTCTTTGAACGGAAAGATTGAGATTTTCGCAAGATATGTGGAGAACAGATGATTTAATATGCTTCTTTAATTTTGTGCTGTTTGTCTTTCTCTTCCTTTTTTCTTTGGTACATTTGGACAGTGATATATTCTGACTTTATTTCAAAATACTTTGGCTAAGATTGGAAGAAAAAGAGAAGGGTGCAAAATGAATAATGATGAGACATTTCAGTTAAGATATGTGAATTTTCTTTTTTTCAAAAATCAGTTTTCAAAATACTGCTTTATTTTCTTATTAATGATCATGACAAATTATAAATTTTTTTAAAAGTCCACCTGTCACACTGTTTGTAAATACATGCACTCAGCTTTCTCTTTAAGAGTCCATTTGTGAACTCCAGGCTTTAGTCTGCTTAACTAAAGCCTAGGATCCAATTATTGCCCATTCAGTCTATAAATACTATCTACTAGAGGTATAGAAAAGATAGATGAAACATTAAAAGGAAGAATTACCATCTGTCTTTTATTTGTAATTTAATTTGACCTTAAATTCCAGAGAAAAATTTCTATTTCTTTTCTCCCCATTGACTTTTGTTACTGGGATCCCTAGAGACAATTCACCTGTGCTTCCTAGCCGGTTACAATCCCTAATCTCTCAGTCCAAAATGCTGGACCAGAGCGTGCTCACTCCCAGGGCCAAGGCAGCGCTTAACTGGTTCTCTTTTTGCTGTGACATCACTTTTTATAAGGGCTTCTGACATATGAAACATGTCTCATTACAGAAGACAGACTTCTTCAGAAATTCATTGCCTTAAATCTTTTTTGCAAAAAGAGTTTTTAACTACCTTCATCCTTTTGAATTGCCTTTAAGACCTCCAGCAAAAGTTTAAAACTGTGCTCAATGGTGAAATCTCTGATTACAGAATCATGAACAGAGAAAGCACCAAAGTAGGAGGAAAAGAAAAGAAAGAAGGAACTTGTATTTATTGAGAGTGTACTTTGGGTCAGATAGCATGTCTTATAGTTGATGTGAATTTGATTGCCAGTAAAAATACATGTAGTAAACATTTTTTTTCCTTATAATGGATCTATTGAGATACAATTCGCATACCATACAATTTACCCATTTAAAGGGCACATTCAGTGGTGTTTAGTATATTTGCAGAGTTGTCCAACCATGACCAAAATCAATTTTAGAATATTTTTATCACCCCAAAAAGAAGCCCTGTATCCATTAGCAGTCTCTTCCCATTTCTCCCAACCCTAGACAACCACTAATCTAGTTTCTCCTTCTATGGATTTGTCTCTTCAGTACATTTCATATCAGTGGAATCATTTGTGTGGTCTTTCGTGTCTGGTCTTTCACTTGCATGGTTTTCAAGGTTCATCCATGTTGTGCCATGAATCAGTACTTCATTCCTTTTTATTGCCGAAGAAATATACTGCATTTTCTTTATCTGTTCATCAGCTGATGAACATTTGGCTTGTCTTCCCTTTGGGCTACTAGCTATAAGGCTGCTATGAACATTCAGGTATAAGTTTTAGTGTAGATATATGTTTTAATTTCTTTTAGGAAATTAACTCATATACTTAGGAGTGGAATTCCTGGGTCATATAGGGTAACATCCTTTTGAGGAACTATCAGACTATTTTCTAAAGTGGTGGCCTGATAATATTCCTACGGGAAGTATAGGAGGGTTCCAATTTCTCCATATTCTCACCAACACTAGTTATTTTCTGTCTTTTTTATTGTGGCCATAGGGTATGGTGTGGTATCTCATTGTGGTCTTGACATGCATTTCCCTAATGACTAAATGATGTTGACTATCTTTTCATATGCTATTTTGGCTGTTTCTCTATCTTTGGAAAAATATCTATTCAAAGCCTCTTCCCAGTTAAACAATTTCAGTTATTTGTCTTTTTTATAAGCATTCTTTTCTTTGAGACAGGGTCTTAGTCTGTCGCCCGGGCTGGAGTGCAGTGGCACAATCTTGGCTCACTGCAGCCTCAATCTCCTGGGCTCAAGAGATCCTCTCATCTCAGACTCCTAAGTACCTAGGACTATAGGCGTGTGCCACCATGCCCAGCTAATTTTTGTATTTTTTTGTAAAGATGGAGTCTCACTGTTTTGCCCAGGCTGGTCTTGAACTCCTGGGTTCAAGCAATCCTCCCGCCCTGGCCTCCCAAAGTGCTGAGATTGCAGGCATGAGCCACCCAACCAGCCGCATTCTTTATGTATTTTGGATATAAGTTCCTTATCAGATACATGATTTGCAAATATTTTCTCCCATTCTGTAGGTTGTCTTGACGGTACACTTTGGAGCATAACTGTTTTTAATTTTTATGAAGTATAATTTAATGTTTTGCCACTTATGGTGTTCTTGCCTTGATTTTACACACAAGGAAAGAGAGGATAGTAACCTTCTCAAAAAGGAGTATCCCAAATAATGGAGAGGCTGGATTGTTGAAACAAACATCCCTGTTCTTTGCTGCACTGTTATATGGTTCAATGCTGGTTTTTCTGTGGAGGATTAGAAAGGACTCATTGTCTGGTTGAGACAATATTTCAAACAATTTTTTTTAAAACCCCAATCCCATTTTTCTTCTCTCTCTTTTCTATTTCTTATATTTCCTTTTCTTAATGGGTTTTTTCAACACATAATAAGATGACTAGTAATGGGAGTAAAAATTAGAAACACTATTTTTAATTTTAGGCTGCATTATAAAGTAAAAGATAGATAATAAATGAATCATATAGCATGATAATGGGCCCAGAACGGCTCTAAGTGAGAGCTCACAAAGCTTCCCAGGCTGCAGTGGGAGTGCCTCACCATGGCAGCTTAATGGGAAGAGGAGCATGTGATAAGTGAGCTCTGCTGCATTTGCTGAAATACCAGCTTATTAGTTCACAGATGCATTTGAGTGGCTCTTAGCACTCTACAAAGCTGGCATGACCTTCTGTGTTCACATTTTTAATGAGTTCTTCAAAAATATTAATGCCTAGAGAATGATATAAATTCAGGCTGGATTAGAGACCCAGAGCTGTGTTTTTGGCATAATGGTGACTGCATCTGGGGAGAAAGGGCCGGGATCAGCATCTTCACTAGGTAGTTTTGCCAAGGAATCCCTGCCTTGGAACAATGCACTTGTGCCCAGGGACTGTGCCTCTGTCTGTTGGCTCAGCATCTGCCTGGGGACCTGACCACGTCTGCACTGGCACACAGACATTAGGGCTTCAGCGCATTTCAGTTGTAAATTCAAGCTTCTGTTTCATTTTAAAAGGGATGTCTTAGTGCAGCTGACTCATTACTTCTCAACTTCAAGTTATTTGCCACTAGCTGTGATCACTTGGGAGTTTTCCACATAGATACCGCATATTTCATGGCATTCCATCCTGCCAGTGTAAGGACCTTGTCTACCGGAGCTACAAAAATACTTTTATGTACTCTTTAAGATGCACATCAAATGGGAAAAGCCTTTGCCTAGCAGAATAGATCTACTACGTCAGATAATTCTTGGGTTGACTAACATTCCGAGGTCTCTGTCTCGTGGCATCTTGAATGGCTCTGCTGGGTCCGTTACCTTGAAAGCTCTCCTTCATCCCTGCCTGAAGGAATCCTATTCAACCATGAATGTCTCATACACCAGAGGTGCATACAATGTGAAACCTCTCCTAAATCACTTAGGCGTGTGCCCTAGCATATTTTTATACCTCCAGGATAGTGCACGCCACAGCTTTATGGAGGCCAGTTCTGAATGAATCTGTCTGACATGGGTCAGGAGCTATAAATAGTTGGGAAGGTAAACTGTGCTTTTATTCACCTTCGTTGTTTGCCCCACTTACTGTTTCCACCTCAGAGACTAGGATGTGTGGGGCATGCGCCGGATACCGGAACATTTTGCTGATTGGAAATGGCATTTTCCTTTTTTTTTTTTTTTTTTTTTCTTGAGACGGAGTCTCGCTCTGTCGCCAGGCTGGAGTGCAGTAGCTCAATTTCGGCTCACTGCAACCTCCGCCTCCCAGGTTCAAACGATCTCCTGCCTCAGCCTCTTGAGTGCTGGGATTATAGGCACCCGCCACCACGCCTGGCTAATTTTTGTATTTTTAGTAGAGATGGGGTTTCACCATGTTGGCCAGGATGGTCTCGATCTCTTGACCTCGCGATTCACCTGCCTTGACTTCCCAAAGGCATTCTACTTTTAACAAATAGAATGTATTTGCTAAACAAATGCAAAAGAAAATGGTATATTTTCTTACTTCCAAATTCTGTGTCAATGAGTATCTTGGCGAATTTCCAGAGAGTAATGTGTTTTTGAAATCAGTTTCGTATTCTCTTCTTCAAGGTCCCTAATGATCGTCCAAGTGTTTGTTTGACTGTACAGTCATGGCAGTCAATAGTGGTTTCTACTGCCCACAGTTTCCCTGAAGATGTACTTTGGAAAATGTTTAAGAAAGTTGACTTGGCAAATGGAAAGTTGGAGGATATAGTAAATTACATTATCATTCAAAAATATTTGCTGCTCTTCTCTGGGAGACGATTAAACATTCCCGTTCTCCTGACATAAAAGTTGGCAATGAGACTTGCTCTGGCCACAGAAACATGATGGGAAGTATGTATAGCTCTTCTACCAGAGGCCAACAGTGTTGCAGACAGAGGGAGCTAAGTGGATATATTTTTTATAGGAAAAATTTTTGTTACAAACTACTGAGATTTGGGGGCTGTTTGTTACTGTAGCATAAGCCAACATGTCCTGACTGATGCAGACTGTTCCATGTATGGTGGATTATAGTAAGATTTACCTGAAGCAAAGAGAAGCAAATAAGTGATAAGAAAGGTCTGAGGTTGCCATGAAATTGCAGATTAAGAGCCAATATTGAAGTTACTTCAGTAAAGATATTGAAGTTACCATGGGATTTCAAGCTACAATTCAATAAGGATGTTGAGCCTTTTGTGTATTAAGCTCAACTAAAGAGTCATATAAAGAAACTAAATACTCCTATTTTCATTCATTCAGCCTTCAGAAGTATTTATTCATAACCTATGATGGTTTTGACATTTACCTAGGCATTGTAGTATATAAAAAAAATTACCTCACAAATTCTGCCCTGGGGACTGTACAGCTTATTAAGGAAGATCTTACCTTTGTAAATATTTATAATTATAATAATATGAATGAGAAAAAAAATTCAAGAGGGTGATTACTTACATTTGGAAGGAGGAAAAAGAAAGGATTCATGGAAGATGGGGCTTTGACCAAGACCTTGAGGTATAGATAAGGAAAGACGCATCTTCAAAACTGGGATGTGAGTCAGCAGAGGCAGGAAATAGAGATGAATATTTTGAGGCAGTGAGAACCTCTTTGACTAAAAAATGTTATACTTAATGCAGAAACATGGTGGAAAATAAAACTGAAGTTAATTTGGGAAAAGATGGAGAAACTGAAATTCCTGGATGCGTGTTTTGATGTTTGTGGGAAGCAATGAGCCGTAGAAGATTTTGACTGTGGCATGACAGTGAGCATCATTTCCATGTTTCCCAAATGTGCCCAAGTCGCGCAAGGCCCAGAGCCAGGAGGGCGAGGCCCGCGAGGAGGGTCTGGCCCCCGTGCATGGTGCGCAGGCCCATGATCCACATTTACAAGAAACGGAGTCTAAAAACAACAGAACTGTGTGAAATGTATATGAAGGGAAGCCTCATTCTACTGATGGTGTTGGAGAAACCGGTTTGCTGTTTGTGGAACCAAAATCCACATATGTTTTCACCTCATGTCAAACTCTGAAATAATTGCCAACCCTCAAAATAGGTTTGCAGGTAGATCTGTATTGTGAACTTACCTAAGGCTAAACACAAGTTTTAACAATCACAAGGGAAAAAGTGAAATGGATAGAAGTAATTGCATACAAAAAGTTAGGGATCTGTGTGTCCTCCACTCAAAGCCATTACAAGGTTTACAACAGCAACTGGGAGAATGCTTGCAGAGAATACAAGCGAGGATTAGCATATAAAGTGTTTCAATGAAAAGGTAAAAACCATCAGAGGAAACAGAAATGAGAAAAATAAATGAGTAATCAGATAACTTACAAGATTAAATATAGAGAACAAACAAACATTTAGGAAGTATTCAATTTTTAAAAAAGTAATTGAAAGGACAAGGTTTTCCCAAGGGATTTAGCAAAAACTATTTATAAGAGATAATGTATAATGTCATATTTGCAAGGTGTGCTAGGCACTTTTATTAATCTGCTGATAGTGGCAGCGGCATACATTGGTTTCATACATTTGCAAAGTAATTTGACAATATTTATCAAAAGCTTTAACCTTTGGCCTAGCAATCCCTCCTTTGGCATATTCATCCTCAAGAAGTAAGTCTAAATATGGAAAACCGGCTCTGCACAAATATATCCTTAAGAGTACTATTTATAGTTTTATAAAAATTGAAAACACCTAAATCTACAGCATTCAGGAATCTGTATTTATAGAGTCCTTGTGGTGATATTTGATGGATCATTAGGAAGAATCGAAAATTGTGTTTACAAATAATTTGTAGCCACTCTAAAAATTATTATGCTATGATGACATGTGATATATGCATTTGATCAGAGCTGTGTAAGAGAAATTCTACACAGACACACACAAAGACTGGAGGAAATTTCTGAGACTGTCAGCCTTGAAGTGCTGGGTATGTTTGGTGATTTCTTTTCTCTTTTATATAATCCTGGCTGCAAATGTGGTTGATGCTAAGGTAGGAGGCCTAGACATAAAATCGTTCATCTCCTGCATAATGGTAGTAGTCATACGAGTGAATCAGACTGCCAAAGAGAAGAATCTAGGGACAGACACAGAAAGGGACATGGAATAAAGCCTGTAGAATGCATATATTTAGGGGCAGGAGGAGAATAGGAGCCTGCCAGGCTTGGAGTAGGAGGAGATCAGGAAAGGTGAGGCCTCTTGGAGTTTAGGGTGTGGGCAGCTTCAGAAAGAAGGCACCTGCTAGTGTGGGGGAGCAATCAGAGGAGCTGATTAGAGAGGGTCATTGGGTTCTCACTGGCTGGCCCTCAGGCAGCTCCATCAGAATCCAGAAAACAAGGAGTGGTAGGATTGGAACTGAGAAAGTGGCCTATTGAAACAAACGGGGAAACAAGGCCACACTTGCCTTGCTCTAAGAAAAGCAAAATAGGCCGGGCTCAGTGGCTCATGCCTGTAATCCCAGCACTTTGGGAGGCCGAGGTGGGTGGATCACAAAGTCGGGAGTTCAAGACCAGTCTGGCCAATATGGTGAAACCCTGTCTCTACTAAACATACAAAACCAAAAAAAAAAAAAAAAACCTAGCTGGGCATGGTGGCAGGCACCTGTAGTCCCACCTACTCGGGAGGCTGAGGCAAGAGAATCGCCTGAACCAGGGAGGTGGAGGTTGCAGTGAGCCAAGATCGTGCCACTGCCCTCCAGCCTGGGTGACAGAGCGAGACTCCATCTCAAAAAAAAAAAAAAAGAAAGGAAAACAAAATAAGACAGAAAAGGCAAATATAGCGCTGAATGTGGCATGATAAATGGCATATTTTCTCACTCTGTCATGGTGGTGGTGGTAGGATTCCAAAATGTGTTGAGTGGAATGTTCACATCCGAGAATTAACACTGGGACTCATGGGCAAGAAGGCAGACAGGTGCTCCTTTGAGACTCTCGTTAATGCCTCTTCTGTGGCCGAAGCAGAAGCCCTCAGTGTGCACCACTGCTTTCTCCGGGACTGGACTTGCTTCTCTGCCTCTCTCATTCTTAGGGTGCCCCTGAGCTAGCCCAGTCACTCTAGGGGCAATGCCTCTAACATCTGTATTCAGGGCTGAACTCCAGGTGGGCTGAAAGGACAACTGGTAAAAGCCTTTCTTGCCCAGTAAAGCCTTGAGCCACATCTCCGCTGTCTACAAGGAAGAAGGGGATAATCATTCATTAAAGAATAAACAAGGTATTTGGCATTATTCTGGATTCTAAGCTAAAAACTAATACGTTTTTCCAAGTTCTCAACCGAGCGTTTAGCCTTAGAAGAGCATCCTCATCACTATCTTATAAATAGACCGAAAAGCACCCCCCTCCTAATTCTTCTATAAATACCGCTAGCAGACAGAAGCAAACTGCTTGGTGGTGGGTCACCCCTTTATTCGCAGACTTTTCCATTGCCTGTTGTTGACCTATGGAAGTCAAAGCAAACTCTTTAGTCTGCCATGTTGTTTCTCCAGTGTAATATCCTTGTCTGTTTCCCATAGGTGCCTATCCTCGACTGTCACTGAGCTTTCGGTTGAAGAGGAACATTGGATACTTCATTCTTCAGACTTATATGCCCTCTATACTGATAACGATTCTGTCGTGGGTGTCCTTCTGGATCAATTATGATGCATCTGCTGCTAGAGTTGCCCTCGGTATGTGCTATTTTTAAGTGATATTTAAATGTAAAGTAACCGTATCATTACAGTATTAAGAGAGTTCAAAGGCTGTAGTTCAACTACCATTTTTTGACAGCGTGACACAAGCATTGCCTGTATAGTCACTTTTTATCTTGAAACACTAATTTCACGCACGATTCCCTTGATGTGTTAATTTAATTACAAGGCTCAAATGTGAATTTTCATGCCCATGAAAGGGAAAATATGCTTGCAGAATATTTGCATGATAAAACTATTTTTGACACTAATTTTAAAGCAAGGTTTAACATCTCCTGTTCAAAATTATTCCATGGCCCAGAAAGAAGACTTGATTAATTGTGCATTCTTCTTTTTTAAGTCAGAAAAATAGTCAAATATTACAGCATAGAATTGGAATTACACAATTTAATGAGCATTAAAATATGGAATTCAATTCTGAATGATTGCCAAAGGCTCTAGTGATCTTTCCTGACCATTGGTTATTTGACAGCTGGATTATTAGCTGATGTACAATATGTATTATAGGTTCCAATATTATTTTTAGCATTTTGATTATTAAGGGAAGGCTTATATTTTCAGAAACATTATTCTCTATTCAGCTGATTAATATGAAACTGCATAGAAAAAATAATTATTTAAATACGTTTATGTAAGTACAGAGCTGATGCAATCTGCAATCCATCCCTTTGGATAGGGTTGAATTTATTTCCTGAAAGTGAACGTATCAGTAGTACTTATAAAAATTGATGGAAAAGAATTATCAACACATTATCTGGCAAAGTACCTTACAAAAAAACATAAGAATTCAGGGTTCCAGTTATCCCTTCTTTCCTGTTCTTTTTTTTTGAGACAGAGTCTCACTCTGTCACCCAAGCTGGAGTGCAGTGGCATAATTGCGATTACGGCTCACTGCAGCCTCAACCTCCTGAACTCAAGTGATCCTCTCAACTCTACCTCCTGGACAGTGGGGACAACAGGCACACACCACCACACTTGGCTAATTTTTTAATTTTTTGTAGAGATGGGGTTTCGCCATGTGTCCCAGACTGGTCTTGAACTCTTGGCCTCAAGCGATCTGCCCACCTCAGCCTCCCAGAGTGCTAGGAGTATATGCGTGAGCCACCACACCCAGCCCTTTTTCTGTTTACCAACTTTTCCCAGGACTTTAAATTGAATAACGTGTTTTCTTTTCTAATAAAATGTAAGTACATGTGTGTATATGGATGACAAACATGTGACTTGCATAGTTGTAATCAAGATCAGATTTATTTCCCAGGAAATAACACATAATTATGGCTTGAGAAAATCAGGTAGCTATTCCTAAGGGTGTTAAGTGGATAAGAAAACCACTCTATGAAGAGTAAAGCTGCAAAAAACTGAAAGTGCTGTTTTAATTGTTATGTATTTCTAATAGGTATCATAAGCACAGTTCTCTAAAAAAAGAAAAAAAATCTCCAGGACTTTTCTACAGCCTGCAGATCTTCCCCAGTAATGTCAGTCTTTATGTAGCTTTTACTTTAAAAATACGTATATTGCTAGATTACTCTTTGTTAAACTCTTTTTTCACTTGGAAAATTCAAAGATACATTTGTAGAGGCAGATCTAAATTATGCAGAGCTGTTAGCTTATACAATTTCAAGCACCCCCTTTTAAGAAAAATAATATGAAATATACAAATACAAAGTTGCTGGGACCCCTCCCCAAGCCTAGAAGAGGCGTATGAAAGTGGAGACCGATCTGAAGCATCTGCTACAGAGAATTTGCCGTCACTGCGATAGTTAGTGAAATATGAGTACCAAGGAACCATGATTATCTGACATCACAAGGGGTGGGGTGTACTGAAAATGTGCATATCTGAATTTCCCAGCCATTACAGATTCTGTCCCTCCCTAATTGTAAAGTATTGCCTTCTACAGTATTAAATCGTTAATACCCCGGAAGTGAGTTACATTCAACCCAATTTCATTAAGTTATATGAAAGTAGATTCCACTTTTTCTTCATGACAGCATTATTAATATAAACAAACTGTGCCTCTGTGGCTTTGCTGGGATAAAGGCATGGGCTGGCTAGGGTTGCTGAGGCTTCAACATTGGAGGATTGACGCTTGTGCTCTGGGAGGCAAGCATGAGAGCCAGAGTGAAGGGGATATTCACTAGAGTTAGGGTGACCCCGAGGTCAAGAGGGCAGCTGTGATCTTAGGGCTGTGGGTCTGGCCAGACAAGAACCCAACAGATCCAGCTCTCAGAGTATGACTGACACCTGCACATGCATTCCCTCTGTCCCTCCTGCCAATACAAGACTGAGTCTAGATCTACAGTCACTGGGAAATGTCAGTTGGTGAATTCAGAAAAAGTATGACGCAGTGTCAGGAGCACTGAGTAACATCATCATCATCATCATCATCATCAATACAACAGACAAGATTAATAAAGGCTGAAAATTATCACATAGTTAGGTGCCACATTCTCTGCTAAGGCCATTCATGTAGTTTATCTGTTCTGGAGAAGACTCACAGCACAGTACGAAGTATTATTGCTCCAGTTTTACAGAGCACAAAAATAGAATACAGAGAAGCTAAGTAACTGGTACGAAGTCATATAATTACCAAGTTTCAGAAGAAAGATTTCAATCCAGTTAGTATGACTTCCAGACCTTCTCCCTTAACTACTGCATATAATTCCTAAAGTGTCAGTAAAACTACAGTAAAGAGTTATTTGGTCTACTATGTTGTAAAAGTCATGGATTTGTTTAAGAAAAGAAAAAAGCTAACCAAACATTATGAACTCTTATTATTGAGGAATCCCTCATAACTGTTAAGATGCTACTGAGCTCCATAGGATACAGCTATAGTTTGGAGGGCTTTCATTGGAGAAATCCCCCTTCCTGCCACCCCTTCCCAAGCACCTAGTCTTATAGCACAGCTTTGAAATGCTTACAGTGCTTTTTGCATTCATCCTAAGGGACTGCACTGTGATCAATACACATTGCTTCTAAATGCATGATAAAGGTGCTGCCTCTGCATAGCTAGGACGGGTGGGGCTCGGCAGAGGCCTCTATTGAGGGCTCACCCTTGGGCTCTGGGCACTGTTGGACCTGGACTCAACGCGGGAGGGACTCAGGGCCTGTTCTGCTGGCTCTTCAGACAGCCGTGCTCCTCGGCTGCTCTGTGGGCTTCAGCATGATATGCTTCTGCTGCCCAGGGTCTGACCATCAGATACATTGAACTGTTAGCGTTAACGACCACCAAACTTTAAAGTGGGAAGTTGTAATTAGATGGCCTCCCTCAAAACCCTCAGTGAATACAGGTTGGGTGTCCCTTATTCAAAATGCCTGGGACCAGAAGTGTTTTGAAAATCAGATTTTTTTCTACTTTTGGAGTATCTGCATTATACTTAGTTTGAGCATCCCTAATCCAAAAATCCAAAATCTGAAATGCTCCAATTAGCATTTCCTTTGAGCACCATGGAGGTGCTCAAAACGTTCCAGATTTTGGAACATTTCAGATTTTGGATTTTTAGGTTAGAGATGCTCAATCTGCAAAAGTACTGATACTTCTAAAGGTAAAAACGTATACTGATAAAATTTAGGCCAGATTATTTTTATCATGAGGAGGAGAAACAAAATATTTTGACTAAATAATGCAAAGAAATTATATTTTTATTTCATATTCATTTTTATAAATACAGCTTTCAAATACAATATTTCATACATAATCTAAATGACAAATAAGTTGAGGCTAGCAATTTACAGAAAGACTTACAAGCCTGGTGAACGTACAAAAAAACACGAAAGCCACCACCCAGCCATTTCCTGTACTGCAGCTGGATGATTTCCCTTTAGAGAGCAGAAGGTCAAGGCAAGGCCAGGAAGCCTAGAGGCTACCGAAGAATGATTTTTCTGTAATGATGATAGTCATATGATTATTTGTTGTTAGTGTTAACAGTGCCGGTTACTATTTATTGGCACATCAGAGCTTTTCAGCCATTGCCATTAGATTTCCAACAGCTCGAAATGATGGCTACAGACCCACAGAGGCAGAGCTGGGCTTTGGGTCTGGGCCATGTGGCTCCCCTTTACAGGCTGTGGACCACCACAACACACCACCATCCACAGTATCCCCCATAGCAGGTAAAGCAATAGAAGGACTTAGTAAATGCATTGGCCTCTTAAGCTAAGAACTCATGTGGCATGTGGGTCCAAACTAGAAAGACCTGAAGTACTCACTGTGAAATCTTATTGTTAGGGATTCCTGAGCCTGTGCCAATCAGCCTGGATCCAGGGTCCTAGCCCAGGTCCCTCTGGGGTTCATTTACCAGGCTGAGTGCCTGTGAGATGTGCTGGCTGTACCTATTCCTGTGTGCCTTCAGCCCATTGTCTGGGACATCTGCCGAGGCCTGTGTCATACATGTCCATTCAAAATAGCCAGCAGGAGAGGCAAAGTCGTGACTAAAGCAAAGCGCTCGGTCTTCCCAAATCCAAGTTGAAGGGGGAGAGACGGTAGTGGCAACAACATTACAAACTTTTTGAATAATGGTGAGAATGCCTAATTTTGTAGCATTTATGTGGTGTTTTCACATTTATTTGTAAACAGTAATTATCCCATTGCCATTTTCAAATTTAAAAAGTCCCCAGGTGCACATGAATGTGATGTTAAAAGAGAATCTTAAAATATTCTGACATCTTGGATTTCCATACATTCCGTCAGCAACCATGGTTTGCAGTTCTACATAAAAAGAGTTTCTCAAGTCTTCAGTTCTCTTCTTAGCTTTTAGTAGCAGTTCAGAGCTCAGTGGAGGGAGCGCTTGTGTTGGAGATGGAAGACTGGGCTGTCTAGCTTGCTCTCCAGCTGATTCCCAGGCCAGCTGAGCTCTGCAGTCTCAAGGTTCTCCCTGTGGGACACAGAGGATGAGGATGCTGCCTCCCAGGATAGGATGGGAAATCAGAGGGCATGAAATTGGAATGCTTAGTAAATTCAAACTCTGCCCTGGAGGGCTGGGCTGGGACCATGTGCAGAATGGCCTGGGCTCCGTCCCAGAGTACATATCTGGACAGTGCTGAAATGTAGGGCTGGCACTACCTCTTGGCCTCAGTGATGTCATGTGGGTTTTGGGTTACTGAGGATGAAGGATTATGGTTAAGCTCTCTCCTTTGAAAGTCTCCTTTTTCAGGGAAGCCTGACAAAGCAATGCGGAGGAACCTATTCTCTTTATTGGGTCCTGAAACCCACATCTTCACATTCAGTGGCATCAGTGGCATACGTAGAAAAGAGCTCAGCCCTCAAAGCTGTCTTGCTTCCTTGAGACATATTAATATGTCAAAAATACAGTCTCCAAGAGAGCGCGTCAGCTGCAGTACTACCATCCCACCCTACCACAAGGGAGTGATCCGTGCCTTTCCTGTAAGCGCAGCGTAACTTAACTCCACAAGCTCTGGGCATGTCACTGACTTGCCTCCTGGTGTCTATGGCCTCAGATGATTCAGTGCAGAATCTTATGTCTATTGCTATGGGAGGGAGAATTGCAATACATGGTCCACACATGGTTTTAGACTAAATTGAGCTCTATTTGGGAAACAATGAGATCATCCATACAATACTATGTAAAGAATTCAACATAACGACATTTAAAAAAAGGATCTGATGAGTTGCGCCAGAGTATGGTGGGATTCTATAAGATGAATGAAATCATTAACCCTTAACTTGAGCAAACATTTCCTAAGCAGCTTGTGTACAGATTCTTTCTTAGTTGAGGAGGGAAGTCGCTCTCTGAGATCATCTTCCCTCAGAAGCTTCACTCAGCTATTTCTTTCTCTTTGAGCTCAGGACTGGATCTCATGGCTAATAATTTTAAAAATCATTGCCTCATTCCTCTTGCTTCCAATAAGCATTGTAGTAGGAATTATTTTCTTCTCACAGGCTGCCTCACTGAGCTCTCGCTCATAGCCTTGCCTCTGCAGCCACAGACACCTCAAATTCATTCTTTTTCCTGGAGGTTTCTCATCTAGACACTTTGTGCTTTATGCTAAATTCTGGGCTTATTTTTATTTTTTCCAGCATTCATAAAAACCACATTCTTTTTTCCTGCTCTACATATCTCTTCTTCTACTCTCAAAATTCCATCGTGTGTGATAGCAAGGTGTAGTGGGCAGGGGGGTGGGTGGGGGAGGGAGATGCCCTGCACGGCTTCACTTCCCCAGAGTACAGATGTCAGCTTGCTGTTCTGAGTGGTGACGTGCGGTGCAAATGACAAGATGTATGCTCTGTTGCATTCCAGTCACCCCACAGTATTCAACCCCTTATCTCTGACTACTTAAAGCTGTTTGAGAAAACATAAAAGGAAAGTGAAAAGTGAAGACCAATGTGGCAAAGTTTCAGCCTCTCACCACTTTGTTTCTTTTCTAGGGATCACAACTGTGCTGACAATGACAACCATCAACACCCACCTTCGGGAGACCTTGCCCAAAATCCCCTATGTCAAAGCCATTGACATGTACCTTATGGGCTGCTTCGTCTTTGTGTTCCTGGCCCTTCTGGAGTATGCCTTTGTCAACTACATTTTCTTTGGAAGAGGCCCTCAAAGGCAGAAGAAGCTTGCAGAAAAGACAGCCAAGGCAAAGAATGACCGTTCAAAGAGCGAAAGCAACCGGGTAGGCTCTCCACCACCTTGACCCCACCTGGTCCCTGCAGCTCAGCAGCTACTGCATTTACTTGCATGATATTTCTTTGTTTTTTCCCCAGTAGTGTATGTCAAGCCACACACCCTTCTTGTACTTGTGATATAGCCCTTATGACATGGCACCCAGGTGTTTTTTATTCAGGGGTTGCTCAAACCAGTCCAGTGGAGTCCTGGCCATCTAGCTAGGACTGGCCAGAGTTCACTGAAACCAGTGGTTGTAGGCTTACACAAAGAGGACTGTTGGATTGGCCAACAAAATTGACTTTTGACATTTCCGTGCACATTGACCCTGGCCCGGTTGCTTTTTGCCCAGGTAAAGCATGCCCAACAGTCACTTTCATTACTCCAGTCTACCCTCAGGGCACAGACCTAGGCTTTCTTCCTCTCACCAGTAAGCCCCTTAAAACAGCGTCTATCTGGATGGGCAGCCTATTGAGAAGTGGAGTGCATTCTTGAATTTGGGTGAGGGCATTTGGACTGGGGCTGGTTAATCTCTGGCCTGGTGTTGAACACAAGGGAGAGGGTCAACATGGAGCTGGCAATGAAAGACTCCCTTGCCCTTTCTGAATTCTCCACTTACAGAAGTGAGTAACAGGGCCTAATGGTTTTTTAAATATACTTGCATCAGCTTTGTGTAGGACTTGGGCAGGCTTGATGATCATAATCTGAAATATTTCCTTGTGCATGTCACAGGGTTTCCTATAAAACCAATATTAGTGTTGATGCTGGAGAAGCCAAAATCATCTATAGTTTCCTACAAAGAGAACAAAACCTGTGGGTCTGGAAAGAATGAAACGCTGGGGTGGAGAGTGTGAATTTGTTCTACGGAAGCATTTTTCCAAAATGTTTCAATATTCCTTTAGTTGTAAAATTATCAATTTGATGATCCAGCATGCTGCCATTCTTTGCACTGGAGCAGGCACACCATCTTTTGTCCACCTGCCCAGTGGCCACAGTCTTCTAGAGAAAAAGCAAAGTCCAAAAGGAATGCACAAGGCAGGAGCAGTGCTCTTTCTGGAAGCTCTCATAGATCTGCCGTGGCCCTGGCCCCTCCCGGTTGTGTTCTGCAAAAAGCCAGGGTTGGGCAGACCTAGACACTTTGTTTTATGAAGTCCATGAACTTTCTAAAGCCCTTGCACACCCTCCTCCAGCCCAGCCCAACTCAGCAATGCTGTTACATCCTTCCAACCACAAAGCCACTTTATCTTTAGATGTCATTTCAGCTTATATAAAAGCAGTATGTTATTGTGATTATAAACAACATTTGAATGAAAGCACATTATAGTTCCAATATAATTTTTAAAATTTATCTTTCCACCTCTTCTATCCCCTCAAATCCTCAAGTATATATTTCTACCTGTTTACATGTTGGGTTTCTTCCCACATTTTTTTTTTAATTCTTCTTGTTAAACTTACTGTTAGGCCATTGTTCTGTTGCTATAAAGGAATACCTGAGACTGGGAAATTTACAAAGAAAAGAGGTTTAATTGGTTCACAGTTCTGCAGGTTTTACAGGAAGCATGGCAATAATGTCTGCCCGGCTTTTGAGGTGGTTTCAGGAAGCTCACAATCATGGTGGAAGTCAAAGCAGGAGCTGCAGGCAACTTACATGGCAAAAGTAGGAACAAGGAGGAGGGGAAGATGCCACATACTTTGAAACAGCCAGATCATCTCATGAGAAGTCACTGACTATCACAGACAGCACCAAAGGGATGGTGCTCAACAATTCATGAGGAATCTGTGTCCCCACCCAAATCTCACGTCAAATTGTAATCCCCAGTGTTGGAGGTGGGGCCTGGTGGGAGATGATTGGATCATGAGGGCGGTTTATCATGAATGGTTTAATACCACAATACCACCCTGCCTGGTTCTGTCCTCGTGAGATGTGCCTGCTCCCCCTTTACCTTCTGCCATGATTATAAGTTTCCTGGGGCTTCCCCAGAAGCCAAGAGGTGCCAGCACCATGCTTCCTGTACAGCTTGCAGAACTGTGATCCAGTTAAACCTCTTTCTTTATAAATTACCCAGTCTCAGGTATTTCTTTCTTTCTTTCTTTTTTTTTTTTGAGATGGAGTTTCGCTCTTGTTGCCCAGGCTGGAGTGTGATGGCGTGATCTTGGCTCACAGGCACCTGCCACCGCGCCCAGCTAATTTTTATATTTTTAGTAGAGACAGGGTTTTGCCATGTTGGCCAGGCTGGTCTCCAACTCCTGACCTCAGATGATCCACCTGCCTTGGCCTCCCAAAGTGCTGGGATTACAGGCGTGAGCCACTGTGCCTGGCCCAGTCTCAGGCATTTCTTTATAGCAATGAGAGAATGGCCTAATACACCTCCCACCAGGCCCCACCTCCAGTACTGGGGATTACAGTTCAACATGAGATTTGGGCAGGGACACAGATCCAAACCATATCACATACTTATTTCTCAAGCCTATGGAGGTTTTCTTGCTCTATCCTGTGCCCTCCATGCCTTTATGGGTCCACACCTCCCAGCGAACACAGTAGCTCCTTGGAGGACTGCCTGTGCCCATAGACCTGGCAGAGGCCCACGAACATTCATGAACCCATGGAAGCACATTAAGTGAATGTAAATGGCTCCTTCCTTTCAGCACAGCATAAATAGAGTTGGTCAGAAAACTGAGGGTCTGTGAATAAAACCAGATTTTTCACAGGCAAAACTATCTTGAATTTCTTAGTGGAAAATATACTTAGTATCATACTGTTATGTTTCTAAATAGGTCCACATCCTACTAGGAACACACAATACACTTTGGTCATGCTGTTTCCAAGGAAACTAGAATTCATCACATCATTATTGTTTCCATCACAGAGGCACACGTATCCACACATACACATACACATACAACGCTGTCTTTCCAAATTTCCTCTTAATTTAAACAGGTTATAAATTTTTTTCTTCTAAATGTGACTGTTTAAAACAGTCAAACTGTGGTGCTGCAGAAATACCTTTATGGGTACGAGGCTTAAAATCTAAGATAAAAAGACAAAAAAACTCTAGCATCCATAGAGAAAATTAGCAGGATGTAGAAAAAGTATATTATAAATTAAATGCAAAAGAAATTTTTCGTTGATTCATGAATCCATGTTTATTGTTTGGTTTTTCAAAAATCTGTTTCTCTGTTTTCTCGGCAATCTTAGTAAGGCCTTTATATGTTTACATGGTTAAGAATCTGTATTGTAGATCGGTACTTAAGGTTTGAAGTCAACGTATGATTATGTGTATGCTAATTCTAAATGCATATTTGATGCTCCTAAAGATAAACATTAAAAATTGTTCCTGAGTACACCTAAGACTTTAGTGATAATGTTTAAGTAGAAATGTAACTCCCAAAAAGTTTATATCAAGTAATGTGGATGAAAGAAAGGAACATGAGAAAAGAATCAAATTTTACGTGAAACAGAAGTGGTACTGTATACACAACCTAACAGCTTCTACAGTTTCTTTTTTTAACTATCATCTTAGCTTCAAGGGTACATGTGCAGGTTTGTTATATGGCTAAAGTGCATGTCACAAGGGTTTGGTGTACCGATTATTTCCTCACCCAGGTAATGAGCATAGTGCCCAAAAGGTAGTTTTTTGATCCTCTTCGTCCTCTCACCCTTCACACTCAAGGGGTCCCTGGTGTCTGCTGTTTCCTTTTTTTCGTCCATTCATACTCAGTGTTTAGCTCCTACTTATAAGTGAGAACATGAGGTATTTGTTTTTCTGCTCCTGTGTTAGTTACCTTAGGATAATGTCCTCCAGCTCCATCCATGTTGTTGCAGAGGACATGATCTTCTTTTTATGGCTGCATAGTATTCCATGGTGTATATGTACCCCACTTTCTTTATCCGGTCCACTGTTCATGGGCATTTAGATTGATACTCTGTCTTTACTATTGTGAATAATGCTGTGATGTGTCAGGGATAGCACCTGGGATTGCATCTCAGTGTGGCCAACAACACCCAGCAGCTTCGCCCTGACTGACAGCTGCTGGCTCCACAGCAGGGACTTGGCTTGTCATTGTCTTTCTTGAGACCACTTTCTGTGTCCTGTAAGGCATCTCAAGAGAAAACAGTACCCTTATGGACACTGTAGGCCACCAGCAACTGCCTCTTGGTACTATGGTTTTAGTGACCCTACTGTAAAACCATGAGTAGGTTTTCCTTATATTTAGTATTTATGCCATATTTTAACCTAATAATTGATTCATGAATGCTTAAGACATTCACATATTCACTTAGTATCTCCCCAGACTAGTGGTACCATGTAAGCCTTGACCTTAATTTATTTGTGCATACCATCTGTTTGTTCCTGAGTTGTTTCTATACCCAAGAGTTCATCTTTGGTTGTAATTCATGCATTATGGTTACAAGCCTTGCGATATTTTACAAGTTGACCAATTAGTATTTGAATTTCATGAGGTGGTAGAGAGTCATAATTCTTGGCAAGGAATCAGAGCTGCAGACTCAACATCATTCTTACTAAAGAGCAAGATTTCATTCTTCACGTGGCAAGTCCTTTCTCATTCTTCTAAAACGACAGTATTTTACTTAACTAGAAGCTGGAAGAAAATTAGAGAATGAGATATCAACTGTGTGCCAATCTGGTGACATATTTTAGGAAAAAACAAAAAATCTCTCTGTGCTATATTCTGAATGAGATGTTTTTAGTCGTTGAATGTTTGCACCTGTCAAGGTTATAGAGCAGGAAGAAAAACTTCATTGAAATCAATGGTTCTAATTATAGTAGATATGAGATGAACCCTTCAAAATAAAGAGTATTCATGAAATGATTTAAAAATTGCAAGTCATCTGTCATTCTATGAAGGGCATTTCAGCCTTGTATTTCACCCACAATCGCTTCTTTCTACTTTAAGACGTAAACTCTAGATGATAGAAAAAGACTTTCTCTTGGAAATATCTGTTTAAGTTATTTGGCTCCTAAGATTTAACAGATTTTTAGTAACCCTTTAGTTCTTTCAGAAAAAAAAATCCATGAGTAATTTTTGTGGAAATTTTCTACATACTGGTTCATGCTTAAATGAAAACCATACAAACATAAAACCATAAATAAAGCAGCCAAACTATTTAACACTAAGATCTTATTAATTCAATATATATTCAGGTTCCTTTTCACACTAGAATGAGAGTTACCTGCACTGTTGTTTCCGTTACAAGTGTTCACCCACTCTGAAATAAGAATAATGTAAAATTGTATTGGTTCTTGAGTTCTTTCTCACATGTGCTATGTCCTAAGACAGCTACCAGTTAGTCATACATGTCCAAAGCCCCCAAGAGCACTGTAGTTTTGTAAATTATTAACAACATAGGTGGGGAGGTGGGTTTGACTTCCCTCAGTCTAAGTTTCCTTCACTAGAGTTCAAGGGCACAGCCTTAGAGACCCACGTTCGTGAGGTCGTCTCCCAAACACAACAGTGGCCACAGCGCTGGGGAAGACAGGACATGGATTCATACAGATTTGTATCTAAATCTTGAAAACTCAAGTCAACATTCATTTTACCCGATGTCTTGTGTCTTCATTCTCCCTGTGCAGTTCCTGAAGTCCCCACCTACATGATGACCCATTCCCCTTCCATTGTCCTGTCCTCTCTACCTAGAATGCCTTTCTTCTTGGTCCACATTTTCCCTCCAAGATCTAAGCCAGATGTTTTCCTCCATGACATTTTCCTTGGTTGTTTTTTGTTTTGTTTTGTTTTTATGACGGAGTCTCGCTCTGTCGCCCAGGCTGGAGTGCAGTGGCGCGATCTCAGCTCACTGCAACCTCTGCCTCCTGGGTTTAAGCGATTCTCCTGCCTCAGCCTCCCAAGTAACTGGGACTACAGGCACCTGCCACCACACCCAGCTAATTTATATATATATATTTTTAGTAGAGACAGGGTTTCATCATGTTGGCCAGGATGATCTTGATCTCCTGACCTCGTGATCCGCCCGCCTCAGCCTCCCAAAGTGCCGGGATTACAGGCGTGAGCCACTGTGCCCAGCCAACAGTTTCCTTGACTTTTTTTGCCTACCACTTATCTGCATCCTGCCCCATCACTCCCTGCTCTAAGCAGTTGGTTTTATTTCTGTTCTCCCAACTTATGGGGCACATGCTTTATACTTGTGAAAATGGCAGATCACTCACGTCCCATGTGCCCAGCAAGCTTTGCCTCCTAGACAGCATCTGACTCTCTGCATCTTCCAAAATATGCACACCCATGACGCGGACGTGGTACACGTGCTCTTGTAACATCTGTCCATGAATGAGTGCTATTTGTCATGGATTTGGTCACACTGGAGAGGTATGTTTTTTCCACTTTCCTAGTGGGAAGAGAGGACAAGGCTTATAAATGTCATCTTTATAAAGCCGGGTAAAACTGAGTCATTAGAATCGTCAAAGTTCATCTGACTAAACAGATTGCAAAATACTCCCCTTTCTTCCTTTAAGAAAAGACATTCCTCCCCTTGGTATTTCACTCCACGAATTTGTTAATTCTGGTCTACTAGATTTTGATAAAAGGAGCTTTTTATATGTTATCACTAGAAAAGAGATGGTATTTAAAACTGTGTTTAGGCCAGGTGCGGTGGCTCAAGCCTGTAATCCCAGCACTTTGGGAGTTGGAGGCGGGAGGATCACTTGAGCCTGGGAATTCCAGATCAGCCTAGGCAACAAAGAGAGACCTTGTTTCTACTATATATATATATATATAGTATATATATATATACTTTATATATATATACTTTATATATATATATACTTTATATATATATATACACACACACTTTATATATATACACACACTTTATACATATATACACTTTATATATATACACACTTTATATATAAATAAATATAAATAAATAAATATATATATATATAAATAGTCAGGTGTCAGCTACTCGGGAGGCTGAGGTAAGAGGATCACTTGAGCCCTGGTATTTGGGGCTGCTGTGAGCTATGGTCACGCCACTGGACTCAAGCCTAGGCAACAGAGCAAGACCCTGTCTCTAAAAAGTAATAATTATCAATGTGTTTAAAAGGCAACATGCAGTATTTTTTCAAATGCACTTGTTGATTATTTAAGGTCTCATCAGTTAGACCCCTTGAGGGTGAGGACCTTCTTGTGTTCACTTTGTGCTCCTGACTAAGGACAGGGCAAGATGGTGACATGTAGCAGCCACATGGTAATGTTTTAATGAATGGTCTCGAACAATCCCAGCCCCTTCGTGGAAGTGCATTCTCCAGTGAGGCATCGCACGTCCTGAAGTGGATGACTGGGCTTTTTTTCATCTCACAGTTTTGTTATTTAAAACATTGCATTGTCTGTAGAGAACATTTTTCTAAAGCTAAATAATGCTTTCTGTTTTTTTCTGTCTTCAGGAAAACGATTTCACTTTTCTGATATCGTAATTCCCAAACCATTTAGTATTATTGAAAAGAACAAATTCTGCGTTACTACGCAGTGGCTCACGCCTGTGATCCTAGCACTTTGGGAGGCCGAGGCAGGAGGATCACAAGGTGAGGAGATGGAGACCATCCTGGCTAACATGGTGAAACCCCGTCTCTACTAAAAATACAAAAAATTTGCCGGGCGCAGTGTTGGGCGCCTGTAGTCCCAGCTACTTGGGAGGCTGAGGCGGGAGAATGGTGTGAACCTGGGAGGCAAAGCTTGCAGTGAGCCGAGATCGCGCCACTGCACTCCAGCCTGGGTGACAGAGCGAGACTCTGTCTCAAAAAAACAAAACAAAACAAAAAACACCTATAAGCATCTTCCACCTTTGATTATCTTCTGACTCAACATCAGATAGATTTTAAACATATAAGCTTACCATTTAAGTAGAACTGTTTAAGATGCTGGACATTCTAATACAATCGAATTGAGCTTATTTGATAAATGACCTCAATTTATCAAATCCCTTTTCATGGTAACCAAATATGCTTTCTCTCATGATTCAAAATCAGACATATTTGGTGGGGTACCAAGCATATTTGTTGCAGTAAATGGAATGAATGGAACACCCCAAATGAACAGGAACACATTGGTTGAACCCCCCTCCCAGGCCCTCTCCACAACAACATTCCCAGTGTGAGCCAGGCAGCTCATTCTCTCCACCCACTTCTTTCCTTTGTGGCACAAGGTACGGTAGAAGATGCTGGAAGGAGATAAAGACCAGTGGACAAGCTTCTGTCCTGGAGAATCTTGCTGTGAATCGTTCTTCTTGCAAAGACCAGCTGGGCTGCCCAGTCAAGCCCTCCTCCCTGCAGCATCCAGGGCAGGTTCAGGTTACCCCTTCTTAGGGATAGTGAATGACTACTCTTGGGCAGGAAGATGTGGCCCTAGCACTCCCACAGCTAGCCCTAGGTGGCCTGCACAAGGGACATGCTACTGCCATGGGCACCTGTTTCAGCCACACCTGAATTTAACTGTTGGGCTTCTCCTGCCATATCCTCTTGGTACAATGAGAAACTCTGTCTCCCAAACCAAGGAATGCTTCCATTGTCTCAAAGACATGCAGACACACTTTGTCATTTAAAGAGTTTTGCTGCTAATCATCCCGTGGAAAGAAAACAGAAAGGACAGATGCATAACAGAAGGCTGGGTGTGGTGGCTCACACTTGTAATCCCAGCACTTTGGGAGGCCGAGGCGGGAGGATCACCTGAGGTCGGGAGTTTGAGACCAGCCTGACCAACATGGAGAAACCCCATCTCTACTAAAAATACAAAATTAGCTGGGTGTGGTGGCACATGCCTGTAATCCCAGCTACTTGGGAGGCTGAGGCAAGGAGAATCGCTTGAACCCAGGAGGAGGAGGTTGCGGTGAGCTGAGATTGTGCCACTGCACTCCTGCCTGGGCAACAAGAGTGAAACTCTATCTCAAAAAAAAAAAAAAAGTCAAAATTTCACCAAGGTCTGACATTCCAGGTGCTTTTGAGATACAAGCTCCATTAGAATTTTCCTTCTGCTGGATAAAAAATATAAGAAAATGCCCTCCTCACCTCCCCACATCACGTGTCTCCATGAAGGGCCTTCTTCCAGCACAGGTGGTGTGATCTCGGTCCATTCCCATCTCCAAGCACTCAGCCTGGCTGTCCTCCATTCTAAGGAGACCACTCCGTCTAGTGGAGGACAGATGAGGTCACTATCTGACAACTTCTAAACCAATGCTGCCTGTAAACTATAAGGAAGACCCCGCGGTGACACTCTTCATCCTATAACTGTAGGATGTAGCATTGGTTTAGAAGCACTGGCACCACCTGGACTCATGGCACACTTGCTGCAGTGTGGACGCTCCTGCTAGGAGCTCACAGGGGACAGGAGTGCATGGGCCGGGGTGGGATTGGAGTGCTGAGTGACTTTCCACTACTTCCCCAGCCCCTGAGCTGCGGAGATTCAGCACTGGGCAGGCGAAGGCCCAGCGTTGCTGCTGTGGGCATGCCGTGTGTGTCTCGAGGCTTAAGGAAAACCTCAAGATATGTTGCAGTGGCCGAGGGAGCAGTTATTCACGGGCTTCAGGCATTTCCATTCCAGACTCCACTAAAGGAAACAGAAACCATTGCAGGGCGCTCTCCCTGGGGCCCCTCTCTGCACTCTCTTCTCAAATTCAATTTCTTATAGCTTGAGTTGCACTTCAGAAGTCTATGACTTTCTACCTAGAAAGTACTCTTCTTCCTGTTTCCTAAAGAGTTAAATTGAAATTCTTTCACATGACATACAAAAAACAAAAACCTCACTGGCCTAAATCTAATCTGTGCTTCCACCCAGCACTAGGTGTACTTTCCTACTATGATAAGAGGATACGAAAGTGATAATGACAGTGATGATGACAGTGACCTCATCTGTCTCAGGCTTAGTATGTGCTGGGAACGGTGTTTGCCTTTCTCAAAATATTTCAGGTGCTCTTCAAGCCTTTGCTTTTGATGTTTTTGCTGCATTTTGTCTGAAAAATTTCTACTCGTTCTTTGAGGCACAATGCAAATGTATCTTCCCTCTCACCTCCTATAGTAGTTTTGATTGCCACTGTAACAGATTACCACAAATTTAGTAGCTTCAAATAAGACCGTGTTTTATCTCATGATTCTGTTAGGCCACACGTGCAGGTACAGTGAGACTTGGCTGGGTCCTTCCCTTAGGGTGTCAGGAGGCTGAAATTAAAGTATTGGCAATCTGTGCTCCTTTCCTTTCTGCAGGCTCTGGGGTTAACTGTGCTTCCAGAATCATTCAGGTGCTTGGTCAAATACAGCTCCCTGTCGTAAACTGAGATCCCCATTGCCTTGGCTGGATCTTATGGTAGTTCTGTTTTTAGTTATTTGAGAAACCTCCATACTGTTTTCCATAATGGCTGTACTAATTTATATTCCCACCAATGGTGTTTAAGAGATCCTATTTCTTGGCTGTCTTGCCAGCACCTGTTATTTTTGTCTTTTTGATAGTAGCCATTCTAACTGCGGTGAGATGATATCTCATGTGGCTTTGATTTGCATTTTCCTGATGAGTGATATTGAGCATTTTTTTCAAGTGCCTGTTGGCCTTTTGTATGTCTTCCTTTAAGACATGTCTATTCAGATCCTTTGTCCACTTTCTAATGGGATTATTTGATTTTGGGCTGTCAGCTGGAGCCCATCTTTGCTCCTATCAGCTGCCTTGTTTCTTCTTATGTTTTCCCTACAGCCTTTCCATCAAGGGTGACTCAAGTCCTCAGTTTTTGAGTTCCTCTGCTTTTATCTCTCTGACTTTTTCTCCTGCTTCCTGTTGGAGAAAGTTCTCTACTTTTGAAGGTGTGATGAGATCGAACCCACCTGGACAATCCAGGGTCATCTTCCTATCTTAGGGTATGTGCCCTTAATGACATGCACAAAGTCACTTTTGCATAGGGTTACATACTCACAGAATCTGGTGAGTATGGTGAGCTTGGTACTGAGCAATGAATGGGCTCACTGCCTGATGTGCTGGAAACCAATACGATGGCACCAGATTTTGAGTAAATAAAAGTTTTATTGCAAGTCAACTGGCAAGGAGATAGGAGGAAATGCTCAAATCTCTTTCCTGGAACTGGGGTTTGGGGCAGGTTTTATAGGCAGAGGGTAATGAGGCGTGTTCTGATTGGATCTTGCAATGAGGTGATGCTGGGAGGTATGGTCTGACTGCATCCTGCCATGGGCTCAATCTGATTGGATGCTGGATCCTGCCATGTGGTGGTTGCTTCTTAACTCTTCAGTCTGAGCACTTAGGTTCCACTCATGGTTGTATGCTTGGTTCATCTGGGCATGCTTAGGTTACATGACCTTCAACCTAGGGGTTCATGGCAACTGAAAATAACTCACCATGTTATTACACAAGGTTGAACCAGACTGGGTTGATCCTGTGGTTACAACCTCCCTGGGGGCCATTACCCTGATGACCACCTCACTTTCCCCAAGCATAATGAAGTGACCCAGAATGGTGTTACCAAACCTGTAGACATCTGAGAGTCCTCTTTGGTGCCTTTCCACCACAGTCTGAGTGGTCCCTGGATGTGTGCAGCCCTTCCTGTGTCACAGCCCCCTTGAAGTCTGAGGCCATCCCACCGGCGGTCTTATCCCTACTTGGAACTCCATACAGGCCCGGCGCCTTCTCAGGCAGGACTCCTCTCACCACCTCACCTCCTGCTTATCTAGCTGGATGCCATTGATGAAATTAAAGTGTATGCAGAAGGCGGGAAGACACAAATTAATACGGCAATAAATTATTCCTACACAAAATAACTGTGTTTTGTGAAAGATTCATGGAGGAAGCCACAGACACTTAATCTATTACAGGAACACGGGGTAGGCTTTCCACAGCCTAAAACAGGACAAAGAAAATGGCCCTCCAGGCAAAGAAAGGGAAGAGAGATAGGGAAGTGTGGGGCTTGCTGGAGTGAAAGCCCAGGGGACTGTGGAATGGTCCTTGGGGCTGTGGCAGGGATGGGTACAGCTCAGAAAGCAGATGCTACTAGTTCATTTAAGAAAGGACTCTACTGGGGCCCCCAGCCCCAGGATGTTCTGTGAAAGGTTGAAAGTTCCAGTGCAGACCAACCCACAAACAGAATGGACCTTTGGCATCATCATGAAATGTCTGAAGTTAAATTTGGCACAGAATAAAATGCTATCATTGTAAAGTTTGGCTCCATTGTGGGAAGGGAATTTCGTCTATTTTATATATAGCCCTTCAAAAAGAAGTCTCCTGCCAGAACCAGTATTGGGCAAGGAGAGCCTACCTGAGTTGGGGTTGGGGGGTGTCTGTATCTACTCCACGGAAGTCATCAGGAATGATCTTCGATCACAGGACTATTCATGTGTTTCTCTGTAGTAATTTGGGTGTGTTATATCATCAGAAAAGGGAACAAGATGACTTCCAAAGACAAATGGGAGAATATAGTTTTTATTCAAAGTATAGTTGTGAAAATGGTTAGAGCACCTAAGTTAACATCTTGAAAATCATTTGTACTTTAATCTTTTCAGTAAGGATTTGTATCCATAATGTGAAATTGCAATTTGAAAAAGCCCCTCCCCCTTATTTCATCTAATCTCTTACATGAGCATTTTTAGATCAAGGAAATAAAAATCTCTCAACTGCAATTAACCTCCAAAATGACATTTTCCAATAAAACGGAGTGCTGGATTTGACAGATGTACAGTTTCTCGTAAAACATGCAACATGTGATGGCATGACATCATTCTGTCCGGGATCTGCATAGGGAAATTATGCTGCTGGCTGTCTAACCATGTGCATTTTCCGTCCAATTAGGTGGATGCTCATGGAAATATTCTGTTGACATCGCTGGAAGTTCACAATGAAATGAATGAGGTCTCAGGCGGCATTGGCGATACCAGGAATTCAGCAATATCCTTTGACAACTCAGGAATCCAGTACAGGAAACAGAGCATGCCTCGAGAAGGGCATGGGCGATTCCTGGGGGACAGAAGCCTCCCGCACAAGAAGACCCATCTACGGAGGAGGTCTTCACAGCTCAAAATTAAAATACCTGATCTAACCGATGTGAATGCCATAGACAGATGGTCCAGGATCGTGTTTCCATTCACTTTTTCTCTTTTCAACTTAGTTTACTGGCTGTACTATGTTAACTGAGTGACTGTACTTGATTTTTCAAAGACTTCATTTAACACTGAGTGAAATATTACTCTGCCTGTCAAGTTTTTATACCTGTACACACACAGACACACAAGCAGACACACACATATATACATACGCAATTGTATATATATGTGAACTTTCTCAGCATATATATAAAATACACGTGTATATGAGGATGTATGTGTATATGTTTATACACACAGGAGTCAGTGCCCATGTGTATGGAAGACAAATACACATACATATATACATTTTGCAGCTATGGACAATTTACCACAGGATGCATATTAAAGAAAGTCATAGTTTTTTTCTTTTTTAATTGAAAGGGACAAGTATCATCTAAATATTATGCCTTGAGAATGAGGGCGTGAAACACAATATCATCCCCAAATGTGTCTTGTATTATCATAAGTTAGATGTTTTAGTTTAAAAATCAGAAAGACATTCTTAGTTAATCTTTGAAAACTCATACAGTGGTATTGCTAGTTTAAAATGAGTCACTTACTT
The DNA here is from genome assembly GCF_000001405.40 of Homo sapiens. NCBI lineage: Eukaryota > Metazoa > Chordata > Mammalia > Primates > Hominidae > Homo > Homo sapiens. Next base: position 26,547,279 of record NC_000015.10, on the reverse strand, counting down.
CATATCCTCTCGTTCAGTTTAGTAAGCAAAGGCTTCTTGGCTTCTCTGGTGATGGGGTTTGTTTTCATCGGGCATACGTTTTCTGCAATGGTTTAGTGGCTGGGGTGAGCCACTGGCAGTGTGCTTACCTGTTGTCTGAAACATAGATAGATCCCACGTTGATGTCTGAACGACCGTCTTTTGAAAACTCATCGGGAGTGAATGGCATCTCGTTGTAAGTACTCTAATATACAGTGTGTAGTTTGTTTCTGTTGTTCACTTGGAGTGGATCCAGCTTCACTGTCATGTGCGAACACAGTGACACGTTTGGCCAGTGACATTTCAATCACTGAAAATGTGCTCTACATCTCGTATGGATTTCTAGGCCTGATATCCAACAGAAAGCATAGACGTCTCAGGTTATTCGTTACTCTAAGGTAAAACCATCTAGGATGATTTTCCCCCTTGCAGTTATGTTATCATTCTTATAACATTGTATGTTAATAGAAAATATATTTGCATAATATGCATATATATGTATATTTACCAAGATTTTGTTTCTTACGCTTGCTATCATGGCAGCATGCGATGTCATATTTTCCTTTATGTGATGTAACTACTTTCTGTTATCTAGAAATTAAGATTGAAGCTAAAACACTTCTACTGTTCAATTTCAGAAACTAAGAATCATCCTCATGCCTTTATTTCTGTATCTGACATATTTCATAAGCACATCCAACTACTCCTAGACTGACTAGGATTCTGCAGGAACATGACCCGTACACACCACGCGTCACCCAACGACCCATGACCGTTCTCTGAGGCAAAGGAGGGCAACCTGACAGCAAACACAGTCACTGTTGGTTCCTTCTGATCCACAGCCTCATCAGTATTTGGACTTTTTAAAGCTCGTAGAAACAAGACAAGGTGCACCGGTTTCATAGACGCAACCTTAACTTACTATTTAGATGAGATCTTTCTAAAGAAAAAAAAAAGAGATGATATATTTTTTGTAAACAATATTTCTATCACAGGCATCCATAAACTGAAATGACTACAGTTGTGCAAACAGGTGTCACAGTGAAGTTGAGCATTTGGAGAAAAAAATAAAAAGCAAAATTTGCAGGAAGAACTGCTAAATTAATACTTTATCCCAAAATGCCACGTATGCCTCACCCTCTCTGTTCTATCCAAAACCAAGGACCAGAGTGCTCCAATGGTAGGCCCCAGTTGTCTCGATGTAGGTAGAGGCACCACCCTCCCCGAGGATGCGTGTGGTGTGGACTATCCCCATGAGCTGACCACTACTTGATTTTTCTTTGGTGGCCGTAACAACCTTTAATTTGTGGGCATCTGCAACAGTTCAAAACCCACCATCAGATAAAACATAATCCACAAAATCTCACGCTAGAGGCAATTACCTACTTTTAGACCCTTTTCCCTCTTTCATTCCTATCTTTTTCCTCCTAATCGCTGCTCTCTGGTTTTATTTTCATCTGGAGACTAGCCAGGGATTTCTTTGGCTTTGGCTTTTCTCTGACCATTTTTTCCATGGGTAACAATGGGGGATCCTAAAAGTTAAACAGATTGGGAAAAACCTTGTTAAGTGGCCTTATCATTATTATCATGTTAAAGAAAAAAAATACATTTGCAAAGACCTTATCCCTTTCAATACTTCAGGTATCTTTTTCTGTATCCAGTAATTAAAGGTGTGAGGTCCACATGCAGAAGAGGGACCCCAAAATGTAAATGGATGTGGACAAAAACAGTCAATGGTCTATTTAAGTGTATAATTTATACTATTCAGAACTGTGACATTAATTCTTTCTGGGAGAAAAGTGATTTAAAACTTTTTTGATGCATAGTTGAGGTACCCAAATATCAAAGGCAGAGACCCCATGGGGCTCCAAAGAGCTGCAGTCTCCTTCCCAAGGTTTTCTGGATATAAATTTGCATGGTATAGTCATAATAGCTTTTGAGCTTTTTATATGCATTTGGCACCAAGACTGGGATCCACAACTTTGTAGACACTGCGATGAAGTTAACATATTAGCTATACTATAAATAGTGTTTGTAACTACACACACACACACACACACACACACAAATACATACATATATTCTGTAAAAACAAAAAAAAACTTTTTAAGATCCTTGGGTATGTGTTTGCTTTACTCCATTTCAGAAGAAAATTACTTTTCTTCTAACAAAATTATTTTATAGCTTCTCCATTTTTAAAACTTGTGAGAGCATTGAGAAGAGAACTCTGACTGTGTTAACAGAAGAGAGTTGAATTGGAGTCTCTGTTGTGTTAAAATGACCTCTCGTTACTCCACAGTAGTTATTTGAGCCAGTGACTGAGTCGCGTTGAGGAATTCTGAACCCGGACCTCTGACGTTGTTGGGAGGTGGCTGTTACCCACACCCAGACCTCTTGAGTAAGGACAGAAACGTTATCATTGGGGATATAATGAGATTTCTTTCTTAACAATTGAAAGTAATAAAGAGTTAATTTTCTCAGTAGTCCTGTCTTTCCAAAATGCGCCACAGGGGCTCAAGATCTACAGAAGAATCTTGTTATGACAGTTTGTTATTACCCATATTCAGATATCCTTGAGATAATGGAAGAGCCCTGCTACATAACTCCCTACAGAGAAAGACTGATAGACTTGAGTAGTCCTTAAAACAAGTGTTATTCCTGTTCACCAACCCCGGGACTGTGGAGGGGTTTCACTGTCTATACCATGCGACATCCATTTCCCCTGAATCTCAAACGAACTAGAAAGTATGTCATGATAATATTTCCATTAGATTTGGAAGCTACCTGTACATCTGCAATATTGTGTTTTTAACGCCAGCACCCAGAACTTTGACATGTTCAGTCACTCCCTGAAAGGCACTTCTCTCTTGTCCAAACACAGCGTTGACATTTTTACTGAGGAGATCATCTCAAAGGTGATGCCAAACGAGTCTGGGGCTGGTTTTAAGGGGACAGGCACATTGCAGTTGTAGGTGTTCATTTTCAGCATCTAGTAGATAATCCATTGGTGTTTGTCCCACCATTGGTGTATTCTAACAAGAATGTGTCCAACTTTGAATCTCCTGGCTTGAAAGTATAAACCATCACTTAATTCTTATTTTAACTCTCCACCTGAAAACCAGTTCATATTTCTGGCCATTTTATGTAAGCAAAACTGAACAATTGGTGAAACATTTTGTTACTCTTGGAATTGACTCTGGCTGTCAGTGTGAGCCATTAGAGTAACATCGAATCTTGGGGCAAAGAACTGCCCAGGTGAATTAAATTTTTCCAGGACACTAGCTAGTGTGCCTTGGATTGATTACCTCTTCTACTGCATTGAAAGGCGCCATGTTTTCCTGAAATACTAAATTCCCAACACCTGGGTAAACAATGACCTTCCAGAGAGTGGCTCCCGTATGCCTCTCCCTAGGACCAACCCCATGAACATGTTTTGTCACGTTTGTCTCATGTTTCTACTTCACAAGTCAGTGAGTGTGTTTAAGGTAAGTACAGGATTATTCTAGTAGGAATAGGCGATTGCTGTCATAATCAATTCTCATGTTGATTTCATTTTATTGTAAAGATAAATTTAAACCCAGTTTTGCTTAAGCACATTGATGTAATTTTTTGGTATTATTTGACATGAAAAAACAGCAAAATTGAGTGATAGATACAATATGAAACTTGTTGATGAATGAATTCAAATTTATTAAAAAAGGAGTAACTGACCTAAATGTGAAGACTGATTTTTTTTTCTTCCTTGGCTATCTTGTGAAGATGGTGTGGTTATTTTAATTCTAGTCATTCTTGCACATGCCCTTTTGGGTTATGCTGAAAGTAAAAAAAAATAAGCCCGAAGTTGACTGCATGTGAGATCAATTGAACTATGACTTAAAAAAACGAAAATCACAATTTATCCTCAACTTCAAAGGACAACTAGACACACAGAGATCTAACTTGTCCCTGTCTTCAAATAGGTATTTTAAGCAAGTAATATTTTTATATTAAAAGTCAGGGAGCCACCCTACCTATAAGCTCTGGCCAAGGTGGTATTGATCCTTATCTTGAGTTCTTTAGGCAATTTCTTTGTTTTTTTTCTCCAGTGAGAAAGTACCAAGCAATGTCTCAGAACTAATTAATTAATTAATTCAGATCCTTGGACACTTTAGGTAGAACTTTTATTGAGAAATATATTTCTAGGCCTCCAGAGAAGCTGTTGGTTCACCTGCAAACACCTTAAAAGGAAGGTTCCCCAATGGTGGTTTAAGTCTCACAAAATGTCCTCAGGCTTACCTCCAAATTTCCTAACTGTTAAGCAAAATAATGCAGATTCTTTGGGAATTCTTTACAGGTCCTGTTTTCATTCTTTTTTTCCATTGTTTGGACAAGTTTTTTACATTTCTGGTCTACTTGGGGACCCCAACTTGGACATATTCCACACTAATTCTTCGTCTAAGGCTGGAACATCACGAATGGGGACAGTTCTCACCCATTTCACTAGGTTAAAACCTTATCCATCCCAGGGGACAATCTTAAATTACCATAACCACAGAAGAAAGGATTTTCAAATACTGACTGGATTTCTAAAAGCTTTTTCTTTAAAGAGTATTCTTCTTTTAATTGGTGGAGGAAGCCTCCCTGCATGTGGGGCCCAGTGATACCCAGACCATGTCTGCACAGCCTCCTCACTCCTGTCTCATCACTGCCCTGCTCACACCCACGTGTGACACCGTCTTACAATTTCTGCTCTAACTTCCTTTTTACTGGCTTCTAAAGGATAGGGTTTATGAGCCCTCCTATGAATGGGAACATTATTCTTCAAAGAAGACAGACTCTTTGGAACCTGTGATACCATTTTTAAGGTAGGACACGCAGCCCCATGTTGCTAAACCAGTAATGGTTATTGATTGAGGTACTCCTGGCATTAGAGGGACTTGTGCTTCATGGCCCTTGGCTTTTATAGAAACAAGTTCCAGTTAGAATCAACAGGCAAGCAATGTAGAGGGTACTTGTAAGTAAAATGCAATTCATTGAAATGGCAAGTTGGGTGTGGGTGTGGGTCTGTGCATCTTGAAACCAAATAGGAAACTAGTTAGTGGCTCTCATAACCAGCTGGTTTTAGGAAAATGTCTTCATAACCTGCATCTCCATTTCTTATTTCACTAGATATGGGAATTTGTCTCTTGACTTCCCATTTTTTTAGATAAAGATACAATGCCCCCATCCTTCCATGTGTTTCTCTTTCTCTTTTCCACCTCCCACCTTCTGTTTGCTGTAACTATAGTTTTACATTATCTAGGTGGAAAGCATTTACACTGAGATCATAAAATTATATTTCAGTATTTAATATTATGTTTACAGATTGATCCTAAAAGTTGAAAACTAACAACAACCCACATTATTGAGCTGTACTATGTAAGTATGGTTCAAGGTTTAGTATTTTGTTTGAATGTGTAAAGATAAACATTAGAAGAAGAAGAAGAACAGAAATACTGTAGTGCTTTTAGCCTGGAAAGTGGAATTTGTTGATGGCATGTGAAAAAAGAGATGTTCTATCAGCTGTTACTTCGTTGTCAAGATCCAGAACTTTTACATTTGGCACTCTAACTATACTTCAGCCTTGAGGGGTTTACTTATAAATAAACTCTAAAAGTTACAAACAAATTAACAACTGTGATGTTATTAAGATTATATAAATATTATTGAAAGCAGAGCTAAGCAGTTTGCTTGGGTTTCTTTCTCACCTTTAGAAGTCCAATGTCTCAACTTTGGGCTATATTCCTAAGATTGAAGTCAAATGAATTATTTTTCTTACATTCCTTCAGTTGATCCAAACCACATGACATTTATGTTTGCATCAAGACCTTCTTAGGTTTCATTTCACTCTGTCACCCACAAATATCTATTCTGGGGTTTCTAATTTGCATTCTTTTTTAATGAAGAGAGACGTATGTGCTTTCTTGACTGTGTGCATAATATTACCACCACTTCAGTCATTAAATTTATTATTGGGAACCTTTTCCATTTTCCTTCATGAAAATATTCTTCTTGGCATTGACTAACTTCCCGTACAAATTAGGATTGTTGCAAACTAATTCCTCGTTATAAATCTCATCCCGTGATTTATTTTCACTAAACTCCTATATTCCGTAATTTTTAAATATCGTTCATGTTTTTCCTTTTTTCTGGTTTTGTCCCCATTTTGCCTAATTTCATCTTCAGTTAATGTCTCAGGAAGAGCATAGGTGACCGGAGGTTTTGAGGCTTCATGCGTCTCTTGACTCTTCCTTTGGTCCTTCATGTTTAATTGGTAGTTAGCAAGGTATTGACTTGTGTGTTGGAAAGTAATCTCCCTAGAACTTTGAAATCCTTGCACCATTGTATTTTATCATTCAATGATGCTGATAACAGGCTTGATGTCAGATGATCCTATTTGCTTATAGGTTACTCACCCCCAACTTCTCACTTCCTCACTATCCCCACCCAACCAACCCTGGCCAAGTGAGGTTTTTCTGGTATTTCATAAAGGTGAATTTAGTATGAATCTTTTGTTTATGGTGTTGGATCCTGAGCGAAACTCTCATCCTAAAGATCTGCATCTCTTAGCTCTAAACATTTTTCTTCTATTACTTTTTAGAAAATTTCTTCTGCCTCTTACTAGTCTGATTTTGCACTTAATGGTTTGATTCTTAATATATAGTCTTTCTGTCCTGTTCTAGATTTTTTTTTTTGTCTGTTAGCTATGTTTTCTGGGAAATTGTTTTTATCTTTCAACAATTCTATTTTATTTTCTAAATGGCATTTTTAAATTATAAATGACACACAAAAACCGCACATATTTAAAGTGTGTAATTTAATAAACTTTGACATCATGAAACAATCTTCACAATCAAAATAGAAAACATTCGTCCCCACCAAAATTTTACTAGCATCACTTTATAATATCTCCACCCCACTCTAAGCCTTCCAATCCTGTCTCCAAGCAACAACAAATGTGCTTTCAACAATTGATACACTAGGGATAAGTTTGCATTTTCTAAAATCTTATATAAATGAAATCAAATAGTACACACTCTTTTTTCTCTACCCTTTGACTCAGCATAGGTATATAAGATTCATCCATGTTGTTGTGTGATCAGCAGCTCAGTTTTATCACCGAGTTGTATGCATTGTATGACTACACAACAATTTGTTATCCATTCACCTGTTGATAGACATTTGGGTTGTTTCTACTTTTTGACTCTTGAATATAAAGCTGCTATGAACATCCATGCACAAGTCTTTGCATACTTCTGTGCTTTCATTTTTCACTTGATCTTAGCTAAAAGGCCGAAAAGTGAAATGCTTTCATTTTTCTTGGCTAAAGACACAAGAAAGGATCTTATGGTGGTATATGTTTAACTTTTTATGAAACTACCAAACTGTTTTTCAAACTAGTTTCACCATTGCACATTTTACCATTTGTGTTTGAGAATTTCAATTCCTCCACATATTCTCCAATACTTGGTGTGGTCAATCTTTCAAATTTTAGCCATTCTAAGAGTTGTGTAGTGGTATTTCTTTTAGTTACAATTGGTATTTTATTATTAATTAATGATATTAAGCATCTTTCCTTATGTTTACTTGCCTGTTTACATCTTCTGTCCATTTTAATTGGTTTGTTTCTTATTGTGTTTTGAGAGTTCTTCACATATTTTGGATACAAATCCATTATAAGATATATGCTTCGCTTTGTAACTTTTCCCTCCTATTCCTTGGCTTCTCTTTTATTCTCTCAGCAGTTTTTCAGAGAGTATAAGGTTTTAATTTTGATGAAGCCCAAATTATTTTTCTCTTATGGGTTATGCATTTGGTATTGTATTTAAGAAATCTTTTCCTGACCAAAGGTCCTCAAGAATTTTCCTTATATTTTTTTCTAGAAGCTTTATAGCTTTAGGTATCACATTTAGACTTATGATACATTTTGAGTTAACATTTGCATATACTGTGAGATATAAATGAAAGTTCATTTTCTACATATGCATACCCAATTGTTAAACACCATTTGTTAAATAAGAAAAAACTATCCTTTCCCTGCTGAGTTGACTTTGCATCCTTGCTGAAAATCAATTGTCTGTATACATATGTTGGTTCATATCTAGACTCTCCTGTTCCACATGGCTATGTTGCAGTCAATGTCACACTGTCTTAACCTGTGGTTTTATAATAAGGCTTAAAGTCATGTAGTGTTAGTTTATCAAATTTGTTATTCTTTTTCAAACGAGTTTCAGCTATTTTAGGACCTTTTCATTTCCTTAAGAAGTTTAGAACTGGCTTGGTAATATACACACACAAAAAAAAGCCTTCTGGGAATTTGATTGGAACTGCATTGAATTTATAGATTTGTGGAGAATTGCTACCCTAACAATGTTAAGTCTTCTGGCCCATAAACACTGTTTACCTCTCCACTGTGCATCATTGCCAGAGTTTCTCAGCCTTGGCACGTTGACATTTTGGACTGAGTAACTTTTTGTTGTGGGGAACTGTTCAGCAGCATCCCTGGCCTCTACTCATCATATTCCAGTTGCATAACTTGTTTTCCCCATCCCCAGGTGTGACAACCAAAAATGTTTCCAGACATTGCCAAATGTCCCCTGAAGCAAAAAAAAAAAAAAACCAAAAACTGACTGAAAACCACTAGCTTAAGTCTTTTAACATTTCTCTCAGCAGTAGTTTTCGGGTTTTTTTTTTTTTTTTCTGGACGGGGTTTCGCTCTTAGTTGCCCAGGCTGGAGTGCAATGGCGTGATCTCGGCTCACTGCAACTCCTGCTTCCTGGGTTCAAGTGATTCTACTGCCTCAGCCTCCCAAGTAGTTGGGATTACAGGCATGCACCACCACACCCAGCTAATTTTGTGTTTTTAATAGAGACAGGGTTTCTCCATGTTGGTCAGGCTAGTCGTGAACTCCCGACCTCAGGTGATCTGCCCGCCTTGGCCTCCCAAAGTGCTGGGATTATAGGCGTGAGCCACCGCGCCCTGCCAGTTTTCAGTTTCCAGTGTAGAGACCTTGTATACCTTTTGTCAGATTTATTCCTATTATTTTATATTTAGGGGTGTTACTGTAAATGCTAATTTTTAAATTTCAATTTCTCATTGTTGCTGGTATGTAGAAATGCAGTTGACTTTTGTATATTGACCTGTATTTTGAAATAGTACTAAACTCACTAATTAGTTCTAGTAGCTCTTTAAAGTGACTCCCTCAGATTTTTTACATAGACAGTATTGCTGTCTCTAAATAAAGAGAATTTTACTTTTTTCTTGCCAGTCTGGATGCCTTTTATTTCTGTTTCTTGCTTTATTTCATCAGCAAGAACCTCCAGTACAATGCTGAATAGAAATGGCAATAATGTTCTGGCCTGGTTCCTGACGTGACAGAGAAAGCATTTAGTCTCCCACAATGAAGTTAGTGTTTGCTGTAGGTTTTCATACACGCCCTTCATCAGATTGACAAAGTTCCCTTCTTGTCTTAGTTTTCTGAGTGCATTTCATCAGGAATGCATATTAGATTTTTTCAAATGCTTCTACTCCTAATGAGTTGATGATAAAGCTGTTTTTCTTTTTTTCATGTGATGAATTATATTGATTGGTTTTTGAATGTATACATATATATACATACATACATACATTTTATATATATATATACTTTAAGTTCTGGGATACATGTGCAGTACGAGCAGGTTTGTTACATAGGTACACACGTGCCATGGTGATTTGCTGCACCTATCAACCCATCATCTACGTTAGGTATTTCTCCTAATGCTATCCCTCCACTAGCCCCCCATCCCCTGACAGGCCCTGGTGTGTGATGTTCTCCTCCCTGTGTCCATGTGTTCTCATTGTTCAAGTCCCACTTATGAGTGACAACATGCAGTGTTTGGTTTTCTGTTCCCGTGTTAGTTTGCTGAGAATGATGTTTTCCAGCTTCATCCATGTCCCTGCAAAGGACATGAACTCATGTTTTTTATGGCTGCATAGTATTCCATGGTGCATATGTGCCACATTTTCTTTACCCAGTCTAACAATAATGGGCATTTGGGTTGGTTCCAAGTCTTTGCTATTGTGAATTGTGCTGCAATAAACATACATGTGCATGTGTCTTTATAGCAGAATGATTTATAATCCTTTGAGTATATACCCAGTAATGGGATTGCTGGGTCAAATGGTATTTCTAGTTCTAGATCCTTGAGGAGTCACCACACTGTCTTCCACAATGGTTGAACTAATTTACACTCCCACCAACAGTGTAAAATCTTTCCTATTTCTCCACATCCTCTCCAGTATCTGTTGTTTCCTAACTTTTTAATGATCACCATTCTAACTGGCATGAGATGGTATCTCATTTTGGTTTTGATTTGCATTTCTCTAATGACCAGTGATGATGAACTTTTTCTCACATGTTTATTGGCCGCATAAATATCTTCTTTTGAAAAGTGTCTGTTCATATCCTTCACCCACTTTTTGATGGAGTTCTTTGTTTTTTTCTTGTAAATTTCTTTAAGTTTTCTTAAAGAAATTTCTTGTAAATTTCTTGTAAGTTCCTTGTAGATTCTTGATATTAGCCCTTTGTCAGATGGATAGATTCAAAAATTTTCTCCCAATTCTGTAGGTTGCCTGTTCACTCTGATGATAGTTTCTTTTGCTGGGCAGAAGCTCTTTAGTTTAATTAGGTTCCATTTGTCAATTTTGGCTTTTGTTGCCATTGTTCTAAATTCGTTGTTTAAGTCATGAATTCTTTGCCCATGCCTATGTCCTAAATGGTACTGCCTAGGTTTTCTTCTAGGGTTTTTATGGTTTTAGGTCTTACATTTAAATCGTCAATCCATCTTGAGTTAATTTTTGTATAAGGTGTAAGGAAGGAGTCCAGTTTCAGTTTTCTGCTTATGGCTAGTCAGTTTTCCCAACACCATTTATTAAACAGGGAATCCTTTCTCCATTGCTTGTTTTTGTCAGGTTTGCCAAAGATCAGATGGTTGTAGATGTGTGGTGTTATTTCTGAGGCCTCTGTTCTATTCCATTGATCTATATATCTGTTTTGGTACCAGTACCATGCTGTTTTGGTCACTGTAGCCTTGTAGTATAGTTTGAAGTCAGGTAGCCTGATGTCTCCAGCTTTGTTCTTTTTCCTTAAGATTGTCTTGGCTATACGGGCTCTTTTTTGGTTCCATATGAAATTTAAAGTAGTTTTTTCTAATTCTGTGGAGAAAGTTAATGGTAGCTTGATGGGAATAGCATTGAATCTATAAATTACTTTGGACAGTTTGGCCAAATTCATGAAATTCATGAAAATTCACAATATTGATTCTTCCTATCCATGAGCATGGAATGTTTTTCCATTTGTTTGTGTCCTCTCTTATTTCCTTGAGCAGTGGTTTGTAGTTCTCCTTTAAGAGGTCCTTCACATCCCTCGTAAGTTGTATTTTTAGGTATTTTATTATCTTTGTAGCAATTGTGAATGGGAGGTTGCTCATGATTTGGCTCTCTGTTTGTCTATTATTGGTGTACAGGAATGCTTGTGATTTTTGCATATTGATTTTGTATCCAGAGACTTTGCCAAAGTTGCTTATCAACTTAAGGAAAGTTTTGGGGCTGAGACGATGGGGTTTTCTAAATACACAATCATGTCATCTGCAAACAGAGATAATTTGACTTCCTCTCTTCCTACTTGAATATGCTTTATTTCTTTCTCTTGACAGAATGCCCCAGCCAGAACGTCCAATACTATGTTGAATAGGAGTGGTGAGAGAGGGCATCCTTGACTTGTGCCGGTTTTCAAAGGGAATGCATCCAGCTTTTGTCCATTAGGTATGGTATTGAATGTGGGTTTGTCATAAATAGCTCTTATTATTTTGAGAGATATTCCATCAATATCTAGTTTATTGAGTGTTTTCAGCATGAAGGGGTGTTGAATTTTATCAAAGGCCTTTTCTGCATCTATTGAAACAATCATGTGGTTTTTGTCACTGGTTCTGTTTATGTGATGAATTACATTTATTGATTTGCATATGTTGAACCAGCCTTGCATCCTAGGGATGAAGCTGACTTGATTGGGATAGATACGCTTTTTGATGTGCAGCTGGATTTTGTTTGCCAGTATTTCATTGAGGATTTTCATATCAAAGTTCATCAGGGATGTTGGCCTGAAATTTTCTTTTTGTGTGTGTGTCTCTTCCAGGTTTGGTATCCGGATGATGCTGGCCTCATAAAATGAGTTAGGGAGTAGTCTTTCTTTTTCTGTTGTTTGGAATAGATTCAGAAGGAATGGTACCATCTCCTCTTTGTACCTCTGGTAGAATTTGGCTGTGAATCTCTCTGGTCCTGGGCTTTTTTTGGTTGCTAGGCTATTAATTACTGCCTCAATTTCACTTGTTATTGGTCTATTCAGGGATTCGACTTCTTCCTGGTTTAGTCTTAGGAGGATGTATGTGTCCAGGAATTTATCCATTTCTTCGAGATTTTCTACTTTATTTACATAGAGGTATTTACAGTATTCTCTGATGGCAGTTTGTATTTCTGTGGGATCAGTGGTGATTTCCCATTTATCATTTTTTATTGTGTCTATTTGATTCTTCTCTCTTTTTTTCCTACTCTTTTTTTTTTTTTCTTCTCTTCTTTTCATCTTTTTCTCTCTTTTCTCTGGCTAGTGGTCTATCTATTTTGTTAATCTTGTCAAAAAACCAACTCCTGGATTCACTGATTTTTTAAAGGGTTTTTCATATCTCTATCTCCTTCAGTTCTGCTCTGATCTTAGTTATTTCTTGTCTTCTGCTAGCTTTTGAATTTGTTTGCTCTAGCTTCTTTAGTTCTTTTAATTGTGATGTTAAGGTGTTGATTTTAGATCTTTTCCGCTTTCTCCTGTGGGCATTTAGTGCTATAAATTTCCCTCTAAACACTGCTTTAGCTGTGCCCCAGAGATTCTGGTACATTGTGTCTTTGTTCTCATTGATTTCAAATAACTTATTCATTTCTGCCTTAATTTTGTTATTTACCCATTAGTCATTCAGAGCAGGTTGTTCGTTCCATGTAGTCATGCAGTTTTGAGTGAGTTTCTTATTCCTGAGTTCTAATTTGATTGCACTGTGGTCCAAGAGACTGTTTGTTATGATTTTTGTTCTATTGCATTTGCTGAGAAGTGTTTTACTTCCAATTACATGGTTGATTTTAGAATAAGTGCTATGTGGTGCTGAAAAGAATGTATATTCTGTTGATTTGGGGTGGAGAGTTCTGTAGATGTCTATTAGGTCCACTTGGTCCAGAGCTGAGTTCAAGTCCTGAATATCCTTACTAATTTTCTGTCTCATTGATCTAATATTGACAGTGGGGTGTTAAAAGTCTCCCACTATTATTATGTGGGAGTCTAAGTTTCTTTGTAGGTCTCTACAAACTTGTTTTATGAATCTGGATGCTCCTGTATTGGGTGCATATATATTTAGGATAGTTAGCTCTTGTTGTTGCATTGATCGCTTTACCATTATGTAATGGCCTTCTTTGTCTCTTTTGATCTCTGTTGGTTTAAAGTCTGTTTTATAAGAGACTAGGATTGCAACCCCTGCTTTATTTTGTTTTCCATTTGATTGGTAAATCTTCCTCCATTTCTTTATTTTGAGCCTGTGTGTGTCTTTGCATGTGAGATGGGTCTCCTGAATACAGCACACTGATGGATCTTGACTCTTTATCCAATTTGCCAATCTGTGCCTGTTAATTGGGGCATTTAGTCTGTTTCCATTTAAGGTTAATATTGTTGTGTGTGAATTCCATCCTGTCATTATGATGCTCGCTGGTTATTTTGCCCATTAGTTGATACAGTTTCTTCATAGTGTTGATGGCCTTTACATTTTGGTTTGTTTTGCAGTGGCTGGTACCGGTTTTTCCCTTCCATATTTAGTGCTTCCTTCAGGAGCTCTTGTAAGGTAGGCTGCCTGGTGGCTACAAAATCCCTCAGCATTTGCTTGTCTGTAAAGGATTTTATTTCTCCTTCACTTATGAAGCTTAGTTTGGCTGGATATGAAATTGTGGGTTGAAAATTCTTTTCTTTAAGAATGTCGAATATTGGTCCCCACTCTCTTCTGGCTTGTAGGATTTCTGCCAAGAGATCCACTGTTAGTCTTATAGGCTTCCCTTTGTGGCTAACCTGACCTTTCTCTCTGGCTGCTCTTAACATTTTTTCCTTCATTTCAGCCTTGGTGAATTGGACGATTATGTGTCTTGGGGTTGCTCTTCTCAAGGAGTATCTTTGTGGTATTCTCCATATTTCCTGAATTTGGATGTTGGCCTGTCTTGCTAGGTTGGGGAAGTTCTCCTGGATAGTGTCCTGAAGTGTGTTTTCCAACTTGGTTCCATTCTCCCCATCACTTTCAGGCACATAATCAAATGTAGATTTGGTCTTTTCACATAGTTTCATATTTCTTGGAGGCTTTGTTCATTCCTTTTCCTTCTTTTCTTCTCTAATCTTCACACTTTATTTCATTAAGTTGATTTTCAATCTCTGATATCCTTTCTTCTGCTTGATCAATTTGGCTATTGATACTTGTACATGCTTCACAAAGTTCTTGTGCTGTATTTTTCAGCTCCATCAGGTCATTTATGTTCTTCTCTAAACTGGTTATTCTAGTTAGCAATTCCTCTAACCTTTTATCAACGTCCTTAGCTTCCTTGCATTGGGTTAGAATATGCTCCTTTAGCTCAAAGGAGTTTGTTATTACCAACCTTCAGAAGCCTACTTATGTCAATTCGTCAAACTCATTCTCTGTCCAGTTTTGTTCCCTTGCTGGCATGGAGTTGTGATCCTTTGGAGGAGAAGAGGCATTCTGGTTTTGGAATTTTCAGCCTTGTTGCGCTGGTTTTTCCTCATCTTTGTGGATTTATCTACCTTTGGTCTTTTCTGTTGGTGATCTTTGGATGCAGTTTTTGCATGGTCGTCCTTTTTGTTGATGTTGATGTTACTGCTTTCTGTTCGTTAGTTTTCCTTCTAACAGTCAGGCCCCTCTTCTGCAGTTCCGCTGAAGTTTGCTGGGGGTCCACTCCAGACGCTGTTTGCCCTGCTATCACCAGCAGAGGCTGCAGAACAGCAAAGATTGCTGCCTGTTCCTTCCTCTGGAAGCTTCATCCCAGAAGGGAAGCCTCCAGATGCCAGCCAGAGCTCTCCTGTATGAGGTGTCTGTCAACCCCTGCTGGGAGGTGTCTCCCCATTAGGAGGCACAGGGGTCAGCAACCCACTTGAGAAGGCAGTCTGTTCCTTAGCAGAGCTCAAGCACTGTGCTGGGAGATCCGCTGCTCTCTTCAGAGCCAGCAGGCAGGAACGTTTAAGTCTGCTGAAGCTGTGCCCACAGCCACCCCTTCCCTCAGGTGCTCTGTCCCAGGGAGATGGGAGTTTTATAAGCCCCTGACTGGGGCTGCTGCCTTTCTTTCAGAGATGTCATGCCCAGAGAGGAGGAATCTATAGAGGCAGTCTGACTACAGCAGCGTTGAGGCACTGCTGTGGGCTCTGCCCAGTCCAAATTGCCCAGCGGCTTTGTTTACACTGTAAGGGGAAAACAGCTTACTCAAGCCTCAGTAATGGCAGATGCCCCTCCCCCCACCAAACAGGAGCATCCTAGGTCAACTTCAGAGTGCTGTGCTAGCGCAAGAATTTCAAGCCAGTGGATCTTAGCTTGCTGGGCTCCTTGGGGGTGGGATCTGCTGAGCAAAACCACTTGGCTCCCTGGCTTCAGCCTGCTTTCCAGGGGAGCAAACCGTTCTGTCTCACTGGTGTTCCAGGTGCCACTGGGGTATGAAAATAAACTCCTGCAGCTAGCTTGGTGTCTGCCCAAACGGCTGCCCAGTTTTGTGCTTGACACCCAGGGCCCTGGAGGTGTAAGCACCCGAGGGCATCTCCTGCTCTGTGGGTTGCGAAGACTGTGGGAAAAGCATAGTTAGTATCTGGGCCAGATAGCACCATCCTTTGCAACAGGCACGGTTCCTCATGGCTTCCCTTGGCTAGGGGAGAAACTTCCCCGACCCCTTGCACTTCCCGGGTGAGGTGATGCCCCACCCTGTTTCTGCTTGCCCTGTATGGACTGCACCCACTGTCTAACCAGTCCCAATGAGATGAACCAGGTACCTCAGTTGGAAATGCAGAAATCACCCGCTTTCTGCGTTGGTCTCGCTGGGAGCCGCAGACCAGAGCTGTTTCTATTCAGCCATCTTGCCCAAGAATCAAAACTGAAGATTTTTAAACTGCTGAAAGACTACTTAAGTAATCTGTTTCTTCTTGAATAAGCTTTGCTAGTTTGTAGTTCTCAGGGAATCTTTCCATTTAATTGAAGTTGTTGAATTTATTGGTGTGAAGTTGTTCGTAAGATTCCCTGATTATCCTTTAAATATCTATAAAATATGTAATGATATTACTACTTTCATTCTTAATGTTGTGATCTGTATCTTATCTCTTTTTATTCTGATTAGTCTGGCTAGAGGTTTAGCATTTTACTTATTTTTTCAAAAAAAAGATTTTGGTTTTATTGATTTTTCTATTTTTTTATATTCTATTTCATTAAGTTATTTCCTTTTAAATTTGAATTTATTTTGCTCTTCTTTTTCTAGTTTCTTAAGGTATAAGCAGAGGACATTGATTTGGGACTTCTCTCCCTTTTTAATATAGATACTCAGGACTATAAATACCACTCTAAGTACTACTTTAGTGGCATCCCACACATTTTTGTTTGTTGTATCGTCATTTTTACGCTGTTCAAAATATTTCCCAATTCACCTTTTGAAATCTTCATTGATCTACCAGTTATTTTGAATTGGTTTTAAGTAGTTAACAAATATTTGGTCATTTTCCAGATCTTTCTAATTTGGTTCCATCTTGGTCAGAGAACATACATACAGGATCAAGGTTTGTCTTGTGGCTCAGAATGTGGTCTATCTTGGTCATGTTTCATGAGCCCTTGAGAAGAATGTATATTCTGTTGTTGGATGGAGTGTTCTATAAATGTCTATTTGATCACCTTAGGTGATAGTATTGCTCAAGTTTTCTATATCCTTATTGATTTTCCGTCAACTTATCTTTGTGATTATTGAGAGAGTTGTATTGAAATCTCTGCCTATAATTGTTCATTTGGCTATTTCTTATTGCATTTCTATTAGGTTTTGTTTCATGTATTCTGAAGTCCTATTACCAGGTGCTTTACATTTAGCATTATTATATCCTCTTAATGACTTATTTAATATTACAAAATGCCCTTCTTTATCTTTGCCAATTTTCTTTGCTCTGAATTGTACAATGTCTAATACTGATATGACCACTTCAGCTCTCCTTTGCTTAGTGTTAGTATGATATATATTTTTCTATCCATTCCTTTTTTTTTTTTTTTTTGAGACAGAGCCTCATTCTGTCACCCAGGCTGGAGTGCGGTGTTGCAATCTCAACTCACTGCATCCTTCGCCTCCTGGGTTTGAGCGCTTCTCCTACCTCAGCCTCCTGAGTAGCTGGGACTACAGGCGTGTGCCACCATGCCCAGCTAATTTTTATATTTTTAGTAGAGACAGTGTTTCACCATGTTGGCCAGATTGGTCTCAAACTCCTGACCTCAGGTGATCTACCTGCCTCAGCCTCCCAAAGTGCTGGGATTACAGGCATGAGCCACTATACCAGCCTCTATCCATTTACTAAGAAGCTATATGTGTCTTTATTTTAGAGTACATTTCCTGTAGGTGCATACAGTTGGGTCTCATAGGTACACACAGTTGCTTTTTTTAATCCAATGTGATAATATCTGCCTTTTAATTGGTATGTGTAGATCATTTACATTTAAAGCTGATATGGTCAGGTAATTATTTTTCTGATTATCCTGTTGTTATATCATCCTATCCTTTGTGGCCCTTTGTGGGTTTTTGTTTGTTTGCTTTTTTTATAGAGGCAGTGTCTCACTCTGTTGTCCTGGCTGGAGTGCAGTGGTGTGACCAGAGCTCACTGTCTAACCTCGAACTCCTGGGCTCAAGTGACTTTCCCACTTAAGCCTCCTGAGTAGCTGAGATGACAGGGGTGTGCCACCATGCCTGGCTAATTTTTTTCTTTTTTTTTTTTTTTGCAGAAATGGGGTCTTGCTATGTTGCTCAGGCTGGTCTCAAACTCCTAGCCTCAAGTGATCTTCCTTTCTTGGCCTCCTAAAGTGATGCCATCCTATTATTGATTTATATAGTCTATATTTCCTTACCTCTCTCCAAGAATAGTAATGACTTTTTTTATCTACAAAGTATTTATTTTTAATGCTATTTTTTATCTTTTATTTAATTTACTGTGGTCTTTTATTCCCCTCCTGTCAGTGGTTTTCATTCTAAGACTGAATGATGACCTTTTGTGATCCATTCATATTTTAAAGTGCATACTGGTTTGAATTTTTGTGGTAGTTTTCTCATTTTTTGTTAGCACATGTAGTTATCTTTATCATATCTCGTGTGGTTATCTTTTACAATCTACTAAGAGTAAATAAAAGGTCTGGATATGTTTCTGGGATTTCAGCAGACATGTTTTATTTTAGGGTTAGTAAGCAGAAAGCTAACCCAAGTGGTGGGGTGCCCCCCCTCTCAGAATAAAAAAGGCCTTTCTTTTCTGGGCTCCTTAAGCCCTCTTTAGAAGGCTAGTTCTTCATTGGTAATTATATTTAAATGTCTTTATTTAAAATGTCTGAAGATTTTGTTGTTATTGTTGTTGTTTATCTATTTGTTTGCTTCTTTCATCCCGATAATAAAATACATCGTGCATGGGTTGGAGGGAAGAGGACAGGATGGTGGTGAGTTTGGAGACCCAATGGGACTGATAGTTCCAAACAAAGGTCTCCAATTGCTTCTCAGCTTTTTGGACACCTCTTTCTCATTCTGCTAACATTCTTTACCTTCATACTTGGACTGAGTCAGTTTTCTTCTTGGCTGCAATGCTCTGTTTTATGTTCTGGGAGTATTTTATTCATGTTAGTCATCAACAGGTTACCATCCACTTTTCTACTCTAAAGGTTTAGTGGAAATCAGTTGGCCGCTGATGGTTAACTTCACTGTGATGTGCATATTTCTTTTAATAATCTCAGTTTAATGAGGTATTATGAAGGAGGGGACCCAAGTACTTGTGCTGGGTCTGCCAAATTGATTTGAGACTTTTGGAAAACATAATTCAAGGGTAGAGAATGAAACTATTAATTTTACATGTTTGTTTGGGGTTGTTTTGGATATATTCTTTAGAAAATTAGAAAGAGACATCTTCTGAGGATAAGCCAGAAGACTTATTGATATGTTTACGTTGGTTGTATATTTCGATAAATTAGGGTTTGGCAAACTACAGCCAGTGAGCCAAGTCCAGCAGTATCAGTTTTTGAAAATAACGTTTTATTGGAACACAGCCCTACTCACTTATTTATGTATTTGTCTATAGCTGCCTTTATGCTACAATGGCAAAATTGAGTACTTTTTACAGAGATTGTGTGGCCTGTAAAACCTAAAATATTCACTTTCTGGCATTTATAGAAAAAAATTTTCAGATCCTATATTTAGATGAACCTGTAATTAGAAGCAAATCGTTCAGAATCCAACGTTTTAGGTAAAATCACATTCCAGTCTTAAGTCCCAAAAGGATTTTCTCTTTGAATAATTATTATTATTTTCACTACTGTGGACTGAGCACACTAAAAATTTCCCCCATACCACATTGAGTTAGAATGGTCTTTTTCCATCAAATCTGTATCTGGCCATAGTTTTACTCAACTAAAGCTGGTAGCTCCTTTAGGGCAGTCAAAAGTTCCTTTAGAAGATAAGCTTAAAAGCAAGATTTAGAATCAAAATTCCAATTTTACATTTTAAAATAACCCAAGTCAAAACAATTTAGTATCAGTGCTTTGAAAATGAAATTATCTTACTGACCTGAAAGCACAGGAGTCAGTGCTGGACTCATTCCATCGGTAATCCCTCTCTCACAAAAGAATAAACCTCACAATGGAAAGAGAAAAAAAGCTGTTTTTGTGGGATCTACTCTGTTGAGTGATTTACACGCCTTGTATACATTACCTTCACAGAAAAAAATGGTATTATTTCTCCAAATAATAAGTAAACATGAACTAAAGGGAAACAAATTTTAGAGCCTTGCATCTTTGATAGACAAAGTCCTGCTTCCTGCCCCATCCATTAAAGACACAAATGGTTATTTGTGGAGATAGCTCACAGAGCATCAGATTTCACTCTGAGTATGTCTCTTGCAATTACAAATAATTAAATGAAGCTGATTGTCTCTACTAGTAATAATTAAGTATGAATGCGGGAAATCAACAGAACCAAAAAGTGGTCCATGAAAAGATCAACAAAATTGACAAAACTTTAGGAAAATTTATCAAGAAAAAAAGAGAGACTAGTTAAATGACTAGAATCAGAAACGAAATAGGAGATGTTACTATTTATTTTACAGAAATAAAAGAATTATAAAGGAAAACCATGAATAATTGCACACTAAAAAATGAGATAACTTAGATGAAATGGACAAATTGTTACAAGCAAACTGCCAAAGGGACTCAAGAAGAAACAGACAATCTGAATAAACCTATAACAAGCAAAGAGATTGTATAATTACTTTTAAAACTTACCCACAAAAAGTCCCAGGCCCAGATGGTATATCATTGCTGAATTCCACCAAACATTTAAAGAAAAAGTAATATCAAAATTTCACCAACATTTCCAAAAAGTAGAAGAGGAGAAAATCTTCCCAAATCATTGTATGATTTCAGTATTACCCTGATACCAAAATGAAAAATATTATAAGAAAAGAAAACTTTAGACCAATATATTTTATGAATATAGATTCAAAATTCCTCAAGAAAATTTTAACAAACCAAGCCATGCAACATATTAAAAAAATATGCACCATGACCAAGTGGGATTTATCTCAGAAATCAAAGGTTGGTTTAACACCCACAAATAAATTAATGCAATAGATCATATCAATATAATTAAAAAATCATGATTATCTCAAATGAATAAAAAGTATTTGACAAAATCCAACACTTATTCATGATATTAAAAAAACTCAATAAACTGAAAAAGAAGGAAAATCCCTCAACCTGACAAATGATATCTACAAAATCCCACAGCTAACATTAGACTAAATGATAAAAGAGCAGGTGCTTTTCCCCTAATATCAGGAGCAATTCTATGATGTCTTCTTTTGCTACATGTATTCAACACTGTAAAGGAGGTTTTAGCCAGGACAATTAGCCAAGTGAAAAATAAAAGGCATCCAGCTTGGAAAAGAAGAAGCAAAGCAACTTTATTTGCAGATGGCATGATCATATGCCCAGAATCCTAATGAATTCACTAAAAAATTAATAGAACTAGTAATTAGTTCAGCAGGGTTATAGGATACAAGATCAACACAAAAAAATTAATTCTATTTCTCTATATATGCAACAAACAATTCAGAAAATAAAATCAGAAAAATTAGAATGGTCTTTTCAGTAAGTGGTGTGAGAACAGTTGAATTGTCATGAAAAAGAATGAAAATGGACCCTTACCTCACACCATATGCCAAAATTAACCAAAAATAGACCAAAGATCTAAACATAAGAGTTAAAGCTGTACAACTCTTAGCAGAAACATAGGATAAATATTTACAACCTTGTATTTGAAGGATTTTTAGATATGACACCAAAAGCACAACAAAATTAGATAAATTGCAGTATTAAAGTTTAAAACTCTTGTGACTCAACATCAGCAAGAAAGTGAATAGACAACCCACAGAATGGAAGAAAACATCTGCAAATACTGTATCTAAAAGTACTCATATCTGGAATATATAAAGAACTGTCATAACTCCATAATAAAAACACAAATGAACTAATTTAAAAATGGGCAAAGGATTTCAATAGACTCTTCTACCACAGAGAAATACAAATGGCCAATAAGCACTTGAAAAGTTGCTCAATATCATTAGTCATTGGAGAAATGCAAACTAAAACCATGATGAAATACCACTTCGTATGCACTAGGATAGTTAGAACCAAAAAGTCAGATAGCAAGTGCTGGCAAGGATGTGGGGAAATCGGAACTCATGTACACTACTGGTAGGAATGTAAAATGGTGCAGCCACTTTGGAAAGCAGTCTGGCAGTTTCTCAAGTGGTTAAACAGAGAATTAAAATTTGATGCAGCAATTCTACTCATAGGTATATGCCCAAGAAATATGAAAACATGGGCTGGGCTTGGTGGCTCACGCCTGTAATCCCAGCACTTTGGGAGGCCAAGGCTGGCGGATCACGAGGTCAGGAGATCAAGACCATCCTGGCTAACACGGTGAAACCCTGTCTCTACTAAAAATACAAAACATTAGCCGGGCGCAGTGGCGGGCACCTGTAGTCCCAGCTACTCAGGAGGCTGAGGCAGGAGAATGGCGTGAACCTGGGAGGCGGAGCTTGCACTGAGCCGAGATAGCGCCACTGCAGTCCAGCCTGGGAGAAAAAGCGAGACTCCGTCTCAAAAAAAAAAAAAAAAAGAAATATGAAAACATTTGCCCACACAAAAACTTGTACATAAATATATATAGCAGCATTAGTCATTAATAGACCAAAGGTGAAAATAACCCAAATGTCCATCGATGAATAGATAAAAGGAATATAGCCATAGAATGGAATATTATTTGGCCATAAAAAGGAGTGAAGTACTGATACATGCTTCAACATGAATGAACCTAGAAAACATGACAAGTGAAAGAAGCCAGATACAAAAGACCATATAGTATATGTTACACTCATTTGGAAGTCCAGAATGGGGACATCTGTAGAGAAAGAAAGCAGATTGATTAATGGTTCCTCAGGGCTGACTGTTGTTATGGTTGCACATATTTGTGAATATATTTTAAAAGTTGAAATGTACACATTAAATTGATGAATTTTATAATATATCTTAACAAAGCTGTTAAAAATTTGGTTGGTAGTAAAAAAAATTAAAACAATGGTTTTAATAAGATATGTTTAATTTTTCTCACATTCAGAAGGTCTGGAAATAGCCAGTCTATGGCAAATATGGCAGTCCAAAGTTTCAGGGACTTTGGCTTCCTCTGTTTTATTGTTCTCAAGGTACCTCATGGTCTAAATGGCTTCTGGGGTGCCAGCCATAAACCTGACTTTTAAACAACAGGAAAAAGGAAGAGGGGAGAAAGTTAAACAACTCCCCTTTTCATGACACATCCAAGAATTACATGTATCATAATTGGCCACAATCTGGTCACGTGTTTGTACCTGTATGAAAATGAAGGTGGTAAATATAATCTTTTTATTTTATTTTATTATTATTTTTGAGACAGAGTCTCTCTCTGTCACCCAGGCTGGAGTGCAGTGGCACAATCTCAGCTCACTGCAAACTCTGCCTCACGGGTTCAAGTGATTCTTCTGCCTCAGCCTCCCGAGTAGCCACCACGCCTGGCTAATTTTTGTATTTTTAGTAGAGCCTGGGTTTCACCATATTGGCCAGGCTGGTCTCGAACTCCTACCCTCGTGATCTGCCCGCCTTGGCCTCCTAAAGTTCTGGGATTACAGGCGTGAGCCACTGCACTTGGCCAGTAAATATAATCTTTATTCCAGTAGTACTATTGCTATCAAACAAAAGAGGAACATTTGTAAGTGGACATCAGCAATCTTTGCAATGTTAACAAAATAAATATTTTATCAAGGTTGCTATAAAAATGCAATGTTCAATGAAATTCTAAAATGACTTAATTCTGAGCATAGAGTGAAGGAAGGATAGGAGAGATAATATTTAATTAAAAATACAAAAATAATATCAAAATTCTATATTAAGGGTTCTGAGTGGCAATGTAATCATTATAACCAAATATCAAATATAAAGATTGTATAAACTACAGAGAACCAAGCATAAGCTTCAAGAAAGCACCTGATTTAAGGCAGCACTGAAGAAATAGGAAGATAGATGAAGTTTGGCTTCTCCGTGAAAGACAAGACAATTAAGTTACTGAAGTGTCAACATCAAAAAAGCAAGTAAAGAAAAGCATATGCAGATCAATTAAAAGTTCAAGGATGGTCTCCTTTTTATACCTTGTCTTGTTATTATGAAATAGAAATGTATATTAAGGAAAGTTTTGATGAGTGATGATATTTGGGAGTAAAATCTCTTTATTACAAAGGCATGAGAGCCAAAAACAATCAGAGTGCAGTTAGCAAGGTAATTTAATCTGCAGCCCATACTATTGCCTGATTTTGAATATTAGCACAATTGATGGTGTGTTGAGGAAATTTAGCAGCCAGAGGTGTTTACTTTAGATTCAATTCGTAATTCACTTGGAGGGGTTGGCAGTGCCCTCACTTCTGTCAAGGAATGTAAATAATACATGAGGAACTATTTAGTAGCCAGAGGAGGTGTCGATGTTTAATGAGGTGACATTTTTAATTGTGCACTACACTGAGTAAACCAATACATTTGTATCTTCAAACTTATAAATGTAAAATAACTATTATAATTTAAATAATTATAAACATTGTAAATAATAGCTTACAATAACATTCTTGGAAATTGAAGGAACTCATTCATGGGTAGAATTTATTTGCAAGTGCATTGGAAAAGAAGGTAAATAATGTGTGTATATAAAAACAAAGAACCAAATTTGCCCAACTTTTCTTTAAAAAGATGTTACTAAAATTACATTTAAGAACCTTTGATGAACCCTAAGAAAACTGGGTTTAATGTCACTTCCTAGCTGTGTTACCCTGGGTAAGTTAATCAGCCTTACTGAGCTTCAGTTGCCTCTGGTACAGAATGGTAATCCCCGCCTCGTATCAAGAGGAGATCACTGAAGTGCTTGGACTATATTAGGTACTAGATATTCCCTACCCCACCCTTCCTCTTCCCTCCTTTATGGAAATGCATCAAGATCATCAGTATACTATAAAGCATGGGGCAGTGGAAAAATGGGAAGGCCCAATTATACAGGCCACTGACATTTATTTTTTCCATAATTAGTTCCCAAATTGGTATTTAGGTTACAATTTGGTTGAAGACAACAGCTGATGTAAGATGCAATGATCAACGTGGGCTTTCAGCTGACACTGATCCTAGAGTGTTGGCCCTATCCATCACAGGATGTTTCATTTCACATCATTTTGCCAAGTCCTGAGTGCACGCACATCTTCTAATCGGTTTCTGGAAGCTTGTGGTGAATAGACTGCGTTAGAAGCGCAGCAGTCAGATTTCCTTCCTCTCCTGCCCATTGGCTGAATGAGCTTCACAAGAGCCTTTCTATCCACGCTTTCCTCTCTCTACATGGCGCTAAGTACTGCCATGGGACTAATAAGCACATGCAGATGAATGACTAATAATATCTCTACCATCAGCTCTCGTTTATCACAGCCAGATAATTTGAATTTCAAATTATCTCCAGAAAGCCTCTCTTTTGAATATTTATTGACATTTCAACAACTCTTCTTAATTAAGTAGTTTATTGGAATGAACAAGATCTTTGTTTACTCTAGTTCAGCAGAAGCGTGAAGAGTCAAAATAACAGCATTCCTGCTCTGCAGAAGACATCAAGGAGAACTTTGTCAAGAAATCTTTGTTCGGCTGTAGGTTTGTTATTCATTTCTCCAGCTGTCAGTGAGTGCCCGTATACAACAGACATGCTGCTGGGTACATGTAAATGAAAAAATACGTTTGTTGACCTTAGGAACCCCAGAATCTCCCTAGGAAAAGAGACATGCAAAACATGATAATATAGAAAGAAATGTATCTCGTGGGAAGTGCAGTAGAGAACAGGAGGAGACGTCTAAATCAGCCTTACAGAATCCAAGACTGAACAGAGGAGAGGATGGTACTTGGGCTTGGCCTGGAGGTGGGGGTCGGAGTGTGTGTAGCCGACTACCTGGGAGGGTGGCTGTGTAGTGGCACTGCAGCGGCCACACAGAGGCAAGGGCAGTCCTTGGCTTCTGATGTCAGTTTTCTGAGTGGTGCTGTAATCTGTTTCCAACAGAGGGTGGATTACAGAAGCCGAATGCCCGTGGTGGTTTCCCTCTTTAAAGTAACATGTTATGTGCGCTCAGATTATCAGGGGCTCCTGATTTCACACTCTGATGTTAAATAAATCAAGATCATTAACTTGTATCTGCATGATTTATTATTTCAGGCATTTCACGCTGCTAGGGAAAGGTTCTATTTGGATTGTTACACGCTACAACTCTTATCCCAGGAGGAAAGATATACGTTGCTACTTTGGTTGCCATCTAAGCAACCCTACAAAGGATAATAAAGGGCTCTGTGTATTGAATTTTCATATATAGTATCTCATTAAACAACATATATTAATAATTATTTTTATTTATGGTTGTTTAAAAATATCTGTAAATCTCCTTGTTAGAAAAGAATTTAGCTGCTTTTCTTAATGCAAACTCTAGTTTTTAAACAAAAATAATTACCTCTTAACTGAACCAATACTAATTCTCTTCAGGTTTTGTATGATATATAAATATGTCATTAATTTAAAAAAGTCCTTGGCATTTTTTTACCATCATATTAAACACCTCATGTTTATTTCATGTTTTCAATGAATAATGAATGAAATTTCTATTTAATAATTTGTTTAATGACTACTGAAAATGACTAAGAATAAGCGTGTATAGAGAGGTAACCATTTAGAGAGGCATAAATACATTACCCAGATACAATTATTGGAGTCAGAGCATCTTTGAGTGGTAAGAGAATTGTGGTTTTTTTTAGACGGAGTTTCACTCAGTTGCCCAGGCTGGAGTGCAATGGTGTGATCTCGGCTCCCTGCAACCTCTGCCTCCCAGGTTCAAAGGATTCTTTTGCCTCAGTCTCTTGAGTAGCTGGGATTACAGGCACATGCCCGGCTAATTTGTTGTATTTTCAGTAGAGACGGGGTTTCACCATGTTGGCCAGGCTGGTCTCGAACTCCTGACCTTGGGTGACCTGCCCCCCTCAACCTCCCAAAGTGCTGGGATTACAGGTGTGTCACCACGCCCAGTCAGGGAATTTAAAGGTCATCTTTCCCTGCACCTATCCAGTGCCTGTGTGAATCTACAACCCTTTTTTTCTCCACCTGACCTTACCATTCAGAATTTTTTTATAAAAGCAAGTCATTTTTTAAGCTTTGAACAAAAGGGTAGGAAAAAAAGAAAAACCCCCACTTGGGGAAAAGGGGGAAAACTGGTAAGGTGGGTGGTGGTGTGTGGAGTCGTGCCTAAACTGGTGTCTTCAGCCACCTGTGGGAGTTTTCCCTTGCCTTTGTCTGGTCTCCCTTCCGATTTATTTCTCTGAATATGGAATTGTAAGTGGGAAGAGGAATGTGTACATATCACCATGGCCTGGATACATGAATGGCTCTGCGTCCTCATTACCTTCTGACTGACAGGTGTCAGGTTCTTCTCACTGCTGTTGGTAATTGGATAATGGGTGAATTACTTAATGTATTTCTTCAAGACAAATATTAACATTGGGGTTTTCCATTATAGAAATGAAATCTTTCAAACCAGAATATAAGGTCAAACCATGCCATCTGAACTAGTTTGATGCAATATTTTTCCCTTGCTTTAAACGTTTAAGATGTTACTGTTGTGTAAGTATAATGTGATACATGCATCCCATTTTAATTTGACTTACACATGATTATCTAGTGTGGATGACTTTTTTCAAAGAGAATGTCATTACATCAGTGCTGTGTTAACAGGAAAGCATATTAGCTTCTGTTTGTCAGTGAATATTAAAGGCTAGGAATATAATTTTTGAAACAATGGCACGGTGCTGCTGAAAATCACAGCCTTTATTTTCCAGTTGCCCACATTGCAGAATTAGTTAACATGACTCAGAAAAACAGCCACAAAACAAATGAAAGAAAATCTCATAACACATCCAGATTGCTTTCCTTTAAAAATAATCTTGCCCTTGTCTTGAGCTGGGTGCCCTAGAAGCAGATCCTGAAGCAGGTATTCAGGTTCAACCGATTTAGTGGGGATGTTCTCAGGTAAAGGGGAATGGGAGTAGTCTACGCTCAAACTGGCTTCTGTCCAGTCCCATGGGAGCCATGTGAAGGACCCTGCTGGGGTAGCTTCTGCACCCATGTCAGTCACTGGCCCTGGTCAGAGAGGACACAGCTCCTGTTTGGAAGTCGGCAGTTCTCTGGAGAGCAAAGGGCAGTGAGGTGGCATCGCCTGGCCACAGTGTGCCCCATGATACTCAGCCTCCCAACGACAGCTCGGGCTGTCACCCTGGCTGTGAGAAGTGAGCAGAATTCAAGCAGTAGCTCTAGCTGGCAATCATCTTCAAAGATGGTGTGAAGTTGAGAGGTGAAGCCAGCTGGATTTCTGGGCCAGGTGGGGACTTGGAGACCTTTTCTGTCTTACAAGAGGATTGTAAAATGCACTAATCAGCACTCTGTAGCTAGGATTGTAAAACGCACCAATCAGTGCTCTGTGGCTAGCTGGAGGTTTGTAAAATGTGCCAATCAGCACTCTGTAAAAACACACCGATCAGCTCTCTGTGGCTAGCTAGAGGTTTGTAAAATGGACCAGTCAGTGCTCTGTAAAATGGACCAATCAGCACACTGTAAAATGGACCAATCGGCACTCTGTAAAATGGACCAATCAGCAGGACATGGGCGGGGACAAATAAGGGAATAAAAGCTGGCCACCTCCACCCAGCAACAGCGACCTGCTGGGGTTACCTTCTATTTTGTGGAAGGTTTGTTGTTTCACTCTTCACAGTAACTCTTACTGCTGCTCACTCTTTGGGTCCATGCAGCCTTTAAAAGCTGTGACAGCGTGAAGGTCCGCAGCTTCAGTCTTTAAGTCAGCCCGACCAAGAACCCCCGGAAGGAACCAACTCTGGACATCCTCAGTGGTGGTAGGTGGGAAGGAGCTTCTTGGGGTTTATTTAATAAGAATGCTAATGCTATTCAGGTGGGCTCCACCCTCATGACCTAATCACCTCCTAAAAGCCCACTTCTAAAATTACCACTTTGGGGTGAAGATGTAAACATGATCAACTTGTGACACAAAGAGTTCAGCCCAGCGTGGCATTCCCACAGAAACTCTGCTTGCAGCTGTGCAGTTAGTGGGGTGAGCACCAGCCATGCGAGAAAAGCCACAGGAAACTCAAGCCTGCCAGTTTATTGTATGCTTACACCTGGGAATAAACTAAGAATACTGGGAAAAGGAGAATGACAAAAACAGTGAGGAATTGCTTAACACCAAAAAGAAAGGTGACTCTAGAAAGCTTGCCTTATTTGCTGAGCAAATGTTCTTCAGCTGCGGTGGTGGGGGACACCTGAGCTTACATTTCGGGGGTTGGGAGAAAGCAGAGGCTCACTGCCCTGACTCCGACGCCTGGAAGGCCCAAGGGGGTTTTCCTCCACAGTTGCCAGGGCGTGGAGCTCACATTATCACCAGGTGGAGGGACTGTGGAACCAGAGTTCCAGGTGGGTGGTGGGGGGCGTTCCGCGCTGCACTCTTGCCTCCCGTATTTCCAAGTCAGGGATTCGCCCAAAAACGTGCGTTTAAAAAGTTACCAGGTATTTAACGCATTCACTTAAAACAGCGTCTCCTCCCTAGAAAGCGTGCACGTGGTCAAATATTGATGTCCATTCAGCCTTCACTGGTCACTGGCTGGGCCCAGCACTGCTGGTTTTGTGAGGCATAGATGGCAGTGCTGATGTCCCTTGCTGGGGTCTCGGCACCACAGCAAAGGAGTTTCCTAGGTGAATCAGCCTGTTCTCTTGCTGCTATAAAGAAATACCTGATTGGGAGGCTGAGGTGGGCGGATCACGAGGTCAGGAGATCAAAACATCCTGGCTAACACGGTGAAACCCCGTCTCTACTAAAAATACAAAAAATTTAGCCGGGCGTGGTGGCGGGCGCCTGTAGTCCCAGCTACTAGGGAGGGTGAGGCAGGAGAATGGCATGAACCCGGGAGGTGGCGCTTCTAGTGAGCGGAGATCGTGCCACTGCACTCCAGCCTGGGTGACAGAGCCAGACTCCGTCTCAAAAACTTAAAAAAAAACAAAAAAAAACCTCTGAGACTGGGTAATGTATAAAGAAACGAAGTTTAATGGGCTCAAGGTTCTACAAGCTGTGCAGAAAGCATGGCAGCATCTGCTTCTGGAGAGGCCTCAGGGAGCTTCCACTTACGGCCCAAGGCAAAGCGGGAACAGGCCTCTCATACAGCAGGAACTGGAGAAGAGAGATTGAGGGTGGGAGGTACCACACACTTTAAAACCACCAGATCTCGTGAAAACTCTACCACAGCACTAAGGGAATGGTATTAAGCCGTGAGAAACCACCCCCATGATCCATTCACCTCTCACCAGGCCCCACCTCCCACCATTGGGAATTGCAATTCAACATAAGAGTTGGGCAGGGACACAGATCCGAACCACATCACTACGTGACGGGGAGCTAGTGACATGGAGGGTGTTTCTGATAGGCCCCCTCAGTGCACAGTGCTGTGGAGCCTGGCAGGTCCGGCAGGAAGTATTGCAAGGATGCTTGCGGTGGTAGTGGCGGGGCAGGAGCAACCAGACCTTGGCTTCTCACAGATGCTGACCTCATTTGGTGTGGATTCGCATCCGTTCCTCGCCTTATCATGTGAGAAGTGCCAAGGTGCTCCCTGAGTCCTTCACTGGCCGCCTGCACTCCAGGGGACAGCTGGAGTATGTGGTCCATCATTCTAAAACAGCAGGCACTAAATGAAGGTTGGTGTTGGAGGTGATGTAACCTCTCCTAGGAATCGATTAGCATTGAAGAAATACAAAGCTTTAAAAAACAAAAGGGGTTATCTTTACAAAGTGTCTGTCTTCAGTGCTGACCAAGGAGCCTCATGCTTTCTCTGGCAATCCCCACCGGTGTGCGGAGGGCCACAACTCAAACATCCACAGATGCTGCCTCTCCAGGAGCCTCCTGCTTTGCCAGTGCTCTGCAAGGGGCCAGGGGATCCCACAGCGGGATGTGGGTAACTGCTCCCAGTGGCTCTGGCTTCACTCTCACCAGCC
The DNA here is from genome assembly GCF_000001405.40 of Homo sapiens. Classification (NCBI taxonomy): domain Eukaryota; kingdom Metazoa; phylum Chordata; class Mammalia; order Primates; family Hominidae; genus Homo; species Homo sapiens. The sequence goes on along the minus strand of NC_000015.10, from coordinate 26,516,232 downwards.
AGTGCAGCAACCAGGCACTTCTCGGCCTCAGATGTAGTTTCCAATTCAGTTGCAAAAGGTCAAAAAGCAACTTTGAGAATAATCACTTTTGTAGCCTGGATGCTGTGCTGGGTACCTTTTTTTTTTTTTTTTTTTTTTTTTTTTGAGACGGAGTCTCACTCTGTCGCCCAGGCTGGAGTGCAGTGGCGCGATCTTGGCTCACTGCAAGCTCCGCCTCCCGGGTTCACGCCATTCTTCTGCCTCAGCCTCCCGAGTAGCTGGGACTACAGGCATCTGCCACCACGCCCGGCTAATTTTTTGTATTTTTAGTAGAGACGGGGTTTCCCCGTGTTAGCCAGGATGGTCTCGATCTCCTGACCTCGTGATCCGCCCGCCTCGGCCTCCCAAAGTGCTGGGATTACGGGCGTGAGCCACCGCGCCCGGCCTGTGCTGGGTACTTTTATAAGCATTTTTATTGTTTCCTCAAACCCTTAAGACAATTAGAGAAAGGTAGCATTATTAGCTCCCCTTGACAAAGGAGAAACCTGCTGCTGCTTTGTCAGCTATGTAGTAAGTGGCAGAGCTCAGGGAACTGTGGGTTTAACTTGAATCAGCTGGTGCTGGGGGGCTAGAGGTGGTTTATAGACTAACTACTGATTTGTTCATATGTAATTGGAAAGTTAGACATTACGGGAACACGGATGAGGGACACCTAAGCCAGCCTCCAGGAGACAAGGAAGACTTCCTGGTTTGTATTTCTTTATGTGTTGCTAAGACCACAGTAATGAATTCTCTGGTTATATAAGAGGTTTAATATCCAAATACCTCTGAAGGGTAGTGCCTTTATAGTGAAAGGACTAAGTTTATCTGAATGTTTGAAACGTCTTTGGCTCACAGTCGGTAGTGCCTTCACCTCAAAGCAGCAATGACTGAAAAAAAAACATCCGGAAGTCAAAGCTTCATGTGCACAGTTTCTCTTGCCCTGTATCTTGAGGGCAATGCGGGGTGGTTCAGGGTGATGTCGCACACTCGGTGGGTCTGTGCCACAGCTAAGTAAATCCGAGCTTAGGAAACCTCAGTCTTATAAGGGGGTTCCAAGGGAACTTACTATATATTATCCTGACAGGAAACAAATATGTCCTCTGGCCTGAAGGGAGACACCATCTCTGTCTTCCAAGGCTATTTGCTATAACATCACCCTTGAAAAGACAGCCTAGGAGGAAGGCTGCAACAAGACACAGAAACACTGTAGAAAGTTGCCTCCAAAAGGCATGATCTGCAGCCTCTTAGGCAAACTCCAAGCCGCTACTACCCACAACCACTATTACTTAGGCAAACTCCTACCCACAGCTGTGCAGGCTGGCCAGGTGCTTTCAATGCAGTGACGTAGATCATTGTATGTGTAAATTGGAGCTGTCCTCAAATTTACCCACGTATCCTGGATTGCAAGGTCTTTGTCTCCACTACATAGTCATTGAGATACATTTATAATGTGATTTCATTGATGTGCAACCTTTTTCTTTTAATCTTATACAATTATAACATTGAAATGCAGATGACAGTTTTGACATTCGAAAAAAATGTAATTTTAATTAGTGTGTTGATTACTTGATCTAAGAAGCCAGATGCCTAAATATCATGAAAGGTCACACGAACAAATTTTCAGTTTTCATCTTTTGATATTCTAATTTTATTGAATTAGAAGTAATTTAATTTAGTTGCATTAGAAGATGACTTTATTTAGCTCCCCACCCCCCCCCCTTTTTTTTTATTCTTTAGGATAAGTACAGAAATTCAAATCTCATAAAAGGAAAAAAATAAGGTTACCCAAGCCCTACCCATATCAATTTTCTTTCCTTTTTTTTTCCTAGTGGTGAACGTTGATAATAAAAGCTCAATGACTTCTCTTCTGAATAGCAGCTTTGTAACAATAGCAATATAAGGAAAAACCCTTTGCTGGGTGCAAATAACTTAGAAAGACAAATATGAAGAGACCTCCATTTGTAAAGTGGTTTTAACAAAACTATTATTCTTTCTCTACTGTGTTCTCAGTGTTTCAGAGGTTCCCTGTTAGATTTCCAACTAGGTAAAAGAACCATGTCCAGTTAGGTGAACTTTCCACAATCTAATTTGAAGTTAAAATATTGTCAACATTCCCTGTACTTCAAGTAGTTTGCCAATGGAATTAATCACATGGTTCTTATTCTTGGGTAAATCTAATCTGAGGTATAACAAAACTGAGTTCATTAAACACTTCCTCATCTGCCCCATGCTGGAAAAAGAAAACTAATAATGGGGCAATTACGTGAAATTTGAAATTCAACTCAAATTCATACTGGAACAATTTCCAATCTTGTTGTGTGGAGTTATCCTAGTTCTGTTATTACAGAATCTCCCATCTCTTCGAATCCTAAGGATTTGAGCATCTTGTAACCTCTTTTATTTGCCTAGACCTTGCAGTGCTTTAGTAGTAATTTGTCTTCCTTTCTGTTTCAACTTGAATTAATAAGTGTGAAATTATAAGTTTCTTTTATTGGATTTTTATCTCCTTAATACAATATAAGAACACCCAGTTAAAAAAAAAACTAGGATTTTAGCCATGTAATGAATTATTATAACCTTCTATAATGTAAATTATTGCCTACTTTTTGAAGTGTGATTTTATATGTTTTGATTAATATGCACAGTTAGACTCACCTACCTTAGTATTCCTGCCTCATGGGCTGTGCTCTGACAAAGCAAAACTGCTTGATGTTGTCTGTCCAGAATCCCACATCGGCATAGGCAAGAACTGAGCCTCAGCCTTTCATTCTCAAGCCAGCATTTGATGAACTAGACCACTCTGGGATTTCCAGTTTTATGCAAAGAGCTTGGAAGTTGTAACTCACATACTTAAGAAAAAGCTGACAAACGGAAATCCAGTGACATGTCCTGCAAATATCAGAAAACTGAGATCACAAGTCAAACTACAATTCCACAATGTGGAGAGTCAGGTGAATACAGAGTCACAACAATGATCTTCTTACCTAAAGCAGAAGCCACTGGAGCCATAAACTGGTATGGACACTTAAGTGGTAATTTTGATACATTGAATAAGACTGAGTATGGACCAGCCCAATAATGAGAAACTCTGGGGAATGTAGTCTTAGAGGAACCACCATAGGAATCCTGCCAGGTATGGTGACGATCTGAGAAAGACCCTCTCATGGCTTTGTCATGGAAAGGGGAAGAGGAGTCACTGGGTTATATTTGCAGATCCTTCTCCATGACACTTGCTCTCCAGAGAGAAGCAGTGATAAGCCAGAGGAAAGAAATGCCAGGAGAAAGGCATTTCTCCCAATTCAGATGCCCCTAGCTCTCCTGTTTCACCTGCAGGTTGGAGCAGGGAAAGGTGGAACTATAGTCAACACTACAAAGAAAAATATAGATGGTGAACACTGCAGCCAGGAAGGGAAGTAACCCAGGGGGGAAAAGCTGTAGCACTAGAGAAACACTTGGGAAAGTCACAGCCCAGAGACAGTCTCCCTAAAAGACTGAGATTTAATCGTAAAATTATAGAATCCTTTCCCTGTTCATTCCCTACCACCACACCAAAAGTGCTCCAGTATAATAACAGTGGGTGATAGCTGAAAGATCTGCAAGACACACTCTTTATAGGAAGAATACTTAGGAAAGTCTAAAGTCAATAGGAAAGACAAAAACTGTTATGGACATTTGAGGAATGATTGGGGCAATCTGTGTATGAACAATATTGAATTAATGTTGTTTTTTTTAGGTGTAGCAGATACTTCTGTTTGAGAAGATTTATGTCATACTGAAATATTTAGAGGTAAAATATGATTTCTGTAATCGATTTTCAATTGTTTAGCAAAAGGAAAATGTGTCTGAATGGCATTACCAATAAAAGACAGATTACTTGAGAAAGAAATAAAATAACAAAAAACAAGGATACTTGAGCAACTGTGTCCTATAGGTACACAAACATTAAACATAGCCCAACTCCTAGCCCAGGTAACATAAATATTTACACTAAAAGCTGATTTACTTTAGTTTCTAGCACGTGATACATGTTCAGCTCCCTCAAAAAAAAAAAAAAAATTTAAGGCATGCAAAAAGATTTTTAAAATGGCCATCATCAAAACCAGACTCAGATATGACACAGATGTTGGGATTATCAGGCAGGAACTTCAAATAATAATTAACATATAAAGGTTGTAATGGAAAAAGTAGACACCATGCCAGAATGGATGCATAATGAAAGCACAGATGAAAGTAAATGCTAGAAATCAAAACACACTAAGAGAAATAAAGAATGCTTTTGATGGGCCCATCAGTACACTGGACACAGCCGAGGATAGAATCAATGAGCTTGATAATTAGTCAACAGTAACTTCCTAAACTGAAAAGCAAAGAGAAAAAAAAAATGAAGAAAAGAATCCCACCATAGACCATCCAAGAACTGTGTGAAAAATTTAAGAGGTGCAACACATACATAATTGGAATCCGTAAAGAGAAAAATAGAGAATGCAGTAGAGGAAATATTTAATAATGGCTGAAAACTTTCTAAAATTAATGACAGAAACCAAATCACAGTGCTAGAGAGCTCTGAGAATACCAGCCAGGACAAATACCTTAGGAAAACCACACCAGGGAATATTGTCATATGAAAACCAGAGAAAAGCAAAGAGAAAAGTCTTGAAAGATGCCACGGGGAAAAAAAATCACTTACATATAGAAGAACAAGAATTAGAATTACAACAAATGTATCATCAGAAACCAAGCAAACAAGAGGAAAGTGGAGTGAAACTTGATATTGAAGGAATAAAAAGACCAATTTATAACTATATCCAGAGAAATGGTTCTTCAGAAGTGAAGGAGAAACAGGCTTTTTTAATACAAAACCTAAGGGAATTCATCACCAGCAGACCTCCTCTGTAATAAATGTTAAAATTTCTCCATGTAGAAGAAAATAAGTCATAAATTTAGATCTGTGTAAATAAAGGAAGTATGTCATAGGTAGAATAAATGTAAATCAAATAGTTTTCAAGTTTTCTATTATCTAAAAGATAACTGTTAAATAGTACAACACATTGAGTGAGTGTAGCATTTGGATGAATGAATGACAGCAATGTCACAAGGAATGAGAAGAATTGGGAATAATCTTCCATAAGATACTTGCATTACACAAGAAGTAGTTGCAGGTATCTTATGTTATTTAAAGTATGTCATGCAAGTATCTTATGTTATTTAAAGCTAGACTTAAATTAGTTAAAATGTATACTGTAAACTCTAGAGCAACAATTATTTTTAAATGAAGCACAATGAATTATTCTGATGAAATCATATGAAATGCTCAGTTAAATCAGAGAAGGCAGAAAAAGGGAAAAAATAAATTCAGTGAGTAGAGAACAATTAGAAGCATGGTAGAATTTAATTCGTTCACATAAATAAGTGCTTAAAATGTGAATGGTCTAAATACAGCAATTAAAACAGTATATATATTTGTGTGTATATACATATTTGTGTATATATATACATATTTGTGTATATATACATATTTGTGTGTATATATACATATTTGTATATATATACATATTTGTGTATATATATACATATTTGTGTATATATGTATTTGTGTGTGTATGTATGTATATATATATATATATATATATATATATAAAGAAGTCCAAGACCCAGCTGTATGTTGTCTACAAGAAACTCACTTCCAATATAAAGACAGCTAGGTTAAAAACAAAGGAACGAATAAAGGTATACTATACTAACTCTAATCAAAAGAAGACTGGAATATCTATATTTCAGAAAAAAATACCCTTTAGAACAACGAAACTCATCAATAGTAAAGAAAGTTACTGTCTAATTTAAAATGGTCAGTACTTCAAGAATACAAAGCAATCCTGTGTATGCACCTGATAACAGAGCAATAAAATATATGAGGTGAAATTGATAGAACTAAAAGGAGACATACATAAATCCACTATAATAGTTGGAAACTTTAGTATACCTCTCTCAGTAATTTGATACATCCAGCAGGTAGAAAATCAGTAAAGATGACCTGAAAAGCACTAACAATCAACTTAATCAACTGATATTTATAAAATACTCTACCCAACAAAACTGGATTACTCATTCTTCTTAGGCTCATTCTTTTCCATAACTATATTCAGTTGTCACAGAAACGTTTGTCAGAAAGACTATTTTTTCTCCCTTTGAGTTGCCTTGGCCTCTTTGTTGAAAAGCAGTTAGCCATAAATGTTAAGAGGTTATTTCTGAACTCTCAATTCTGTTTCATTAATCTGTAGAAATTGGCTTGATTGCTACATTTTATAGTAAATTTTGAAATCAGAATGTGTGAATCCATTAACTTTTTGATGACTGTTTTGGCTGTTCTGTGTTCCTTGCATTTCCATATGAATGCCTGGATCAACATGTGTATTCGCTGGGATTTTTCTCTACACAAGATTATTTAATCTATGAATAAAGAAAAATTTAGGCTGGTTGAGGTGCCTCACACCTGTAATCCCAGCACTTTGGAGGTCAGGGTGGGCAGATCACCTGGTCAGGAGTTCAAGACCAGCCTGGCCAACATGGTGAAACCTCATCTCTGCTAAAAATACAAAAATTAGCCAGGTGTGGTGGTAGACACCTGTAATCTCAGCTCCTTGGGAGGCTGAGGCAGGAGAATCACTTGAACCCAGGAGGCAGAGTTGCAGTGAGCTGAGATAGTGCCACTGCACGCCAGTCTGAGCGTCAGAGTGAGACTCCATCTCGATTAAAAAAAAATTACTTCTTTCTTGCTAAATTCCTTTTATTTATTTATTTTTTACCCAGTTGATCTTATTAAAACCTCCAGTACAGTATTGAATGGAAGAGGAAAGAGATATCCTTGTTGTGTTTCCTCCATTGGGGGAAAGCATTCAGAACTTTACTGTTTAGTATGATGTTAGCTGTAGGCTTTTCACTGATACTGTTCGTTGGGTTTAGATTCCCCTCTAGTCCTAGTTCATAGGGTAGGTTTTAATCATGAAAGAGTGTTGGATGTAGTCTAATTATTTTTGTTCATCTATTTAAATAATCATGTTTTTTTGTCCTTTATGAGGCGTATAGTACATTGATTTTGGATGTGAAACCAATCTTCTGTTCCTTGGTAAATCCTACTTTGTCATGTTGTATATCTCTTTTTATATGTTACCAGATTTGGTTTGCTAGTATTTTGTTGAGGATTTTTTGCATCTATAGTCCTAAAAGATGTGGGTTTATAGTTTTTAAAATATATATATTTTTGGTTTTGCTATTATGATAATACTGATCTCAAAGAACAAGTAGGAAAGTGTTTCCTTTCCTTTATTTTCTGGAAAAGTTAGTAAAGGGTTGGTGTTCTTTAAATGCTTTGTAGCATTCACCACCAAAGTCATCTGCATCTGAGCTTTTTTTAATGAGAAGTTTTAAAAGTATTCTATTTCTTTGCTTGTTCATTGGTCTATTTATATTTTACATTTCTTCTTAAGTCAGTTTCAGTAATTTGATCTTTCTAGGATTTTTTCATTTTATCTCTGTTATCTACTTTGCAGCATACAGTCATTCATATTACTCCCTTATAATTCTTTATATTTCCATAAGGTCAGTAGTGACTTTTTTGTCAACTTAAATCTACTGTTGAGCCCTTCTAGTAAAATTTATATCTTAGTTATTGTATTTTTCGATCCCAGAATTTATGTTTGGTTATTTTTAGAATTTTTATATCTTTATTGACATTATTTGTTGAATTATTGTTCTCATATCTATATGTGACTTTATAAATATAATTTTCTTTAGTTGTTTTCAGGTCTTTCTGTATTAAATTCAATATCTTGCCCCGGTAAGATATTGGTAATTGTGTTTCCTACATTAGGGGGAAAGTATTCAGAACTTTACTGTAATTTCTAGTGGCTATTTTATTTCCTATGAATGGCCTACACTTTCCTAGTTCTTTGCATGTCTCATACTTTTTGGTTAAAAACTGGAAATTTTACATAATATATTGTAGCAATTTGGATAAGGACATACACCTTCCTTCTGGGGTTTTTAGGTTTTGTTGTTCAATCACTGTGTTTACTGATTTGGTTGGACTAACTCTTTGATGTCTGCACAGTATGCAGCAAATCTGATGTCATTGCTCAGGATTTTCTCTTTATTTTTAGCCTGGCTTTTTTTTTCTTTTCTTAGCACAGAGTCTTACTCTGTCACCCAAGTTATAGTGCAGTGGCAGAATCTCTGCTCACTGCAACCTCTACCTGCCTGATTCAAGCAATTCCCCTGCCTCAGCCTCCTGAGTAGCTGGGACACAGCCATGCACCATCACACTTGTATTTTTAGCCTGACTTTCTAAGGGTCATACTTGGAGTGTGCATTGACTACATTTTGGTCAAAAGTTGCGCTTAACTCCCCTTAATCCATTACATTTTCACCCATTGCTGTTGGTAATAAGTGCAGCTTGGAGGCTGCTTTCTCTGCTTGGGAAATTTACAGTTTTTGTCTTCTCCTACCTCAGTGATCATCCAGAGACACGTTCTGAGGCTACGTCTCCAGTGACACACGGCAGAGCACAGCCTTAGGTCTGTGCACAGTTGTTCTGATGACCAGGGATGAGTGAGATTTCATTTTAAGCTTGTCTTCCCATGAGCTGCCCCAGGTCTAAGGAGCTTATTTTTCTGCCAGTGTCTGGTCACAGGTTGTTTTTAAGCTCCTGGAAACTTTAGGGCTCAAAGTTTTTTTTGTTGAGGGATCTGTGAATGGCTTGAGGTGATTTTTTTAAGCCATTACCACACTGTGCTTTGATTTTCCAGAGTGGGTACAAGATAGTGCCTGTGCACACTCTTATGGCCCCTCAAGGATGAGGGAGTCTCCAGGATGAGTCTTCTTGGCTGTCCCTTTCCTTGTTTTCTTCTAATAAACCTCAAACTCAGTGTTTGCCAACAGGGGTTTTTAGACTTCCTTAAGGGCTCTTTGTCTGTTTGTATACTGGTCTAATCCACATCGGATGTACCAGGAGGAGGACAAATTAGACAACATCTTGCTTGATTCCTAGTGTTTAGCAAGGTTTCTTTTCACACAGTTCTGGTCAGCATTATATTTGCTCTCAGTTATTCTGAATAGAACGATACACAATATATTGCCTCTAGCACTCTCCTCACCTTCACCCTTCCTACAGGAATCGTATTTGTGAAGATTATATTTTCTGGAGTATAATGCACTCTCACTTCTCCCCAACCTCTGAATAATGCAGGTGGTGGAAGGATAAGAATACTTTCCTGGCCAAAAAAAAAAAAAAAAAAGAGAGATATTTTATGATCAAATGGACAGCTGTATTAGTCTGTTCTTGCACCTCTGTAAAGAACTACCTGAGACTGGGTAATTTATAAAGAAAAGAGGTTTAATTGGCTCTCTGTTCTTCAGGCTGTGTAGGAAGCATGGCTGGGGAGGCCTCAGGAAACATACAATCACTGTGGAAGGCAAAGGGGAAGCAGGCTCATCTTACGTAACTAGAGCAGGAGGAAAAGAGAAAAAGGGGAGGTGAGACACACTTTTAAACAATCAGCTCTCATGAGAACTACTCACTATCATGAGGACAGCAAGGGGGAATTCTGCCCCCATGATCCAATCACCTCCCACCAGGCTCTTCTTCCACTATTGGGGATTATAATTCAACATGAGATTTGGGTAGGGACACAAATCTAAACCGTATCAACAGCCATCTATTATTCTATTGATATATAGACACATGAGTTGGGTTTTCTGTAGCACATCTAAGAGAATACTTTCTAAATACTTTCAGTAGGACTGGCAGACAGCATCTTAACAAGACTAGCACATTTTACAGTTTTCAATTCCCCTTTCACTATAGTTTGAACATAAAGTTCTTGGAGATCTGACACTATTGTCAATCTTATTTTTCAACATTTTAGTAAGATTAATGTTTTATTAAACATTATTTTAGTAATGTTTTTGGGTATTCATAGGTATATTAGTGATAGACTGTGGTCAGGAATTCTCAGCTTTATGACATTTTAAATTGAAATCCCAATACATGCACTCTGTCGTTAATGTATAAGCATAGACTGAGGATGAATTGGCTAGTTAAGTTAGGTCAGTATTTCTCACTATGAGCTCTATGTCTGGGAATAGAAAGGTCCCATAAGTCCATAATTCTGTTCCTCAACCATTGGCAATAAAGAAACCACACTATCATATAAAGGCTGTGAGAAACCTTGTAGTGGGGAGACTTCTTGATTTTTTTGTATTTGGCACAGCAATATAGATCTGTATTTGGCAGAGTTACAGTAACTTAGGTGACAGTTTGGTTGTTTTGACTTTGTTGTCATTTAAGTTAGTCCAAATAAAAAAGGATTGGGTGTGGTGGCTCATGCCTGTAATCCCAGCACTTTGGGAGGTCGAGGTGGGTGGATCATGAGGTCAGATTGAGACCATCCTGGCTAACACGGTGAAACCCCATCTCTACTAAATATACAAAAAATTAGCCAGGCGTAGTGGCTAATTTTTTTTTGAGACAGAGTCTTCAAAAAAAAAAAAAAAGGATTGAGAAGATGTAAAAGGCAATATTACAAAAAACCCAAGCTGTACCTAAGACTGGACAGAAAAGTGAAAAACAAGCTCTTCCTTCCATCTCTGGTGGAGATGTCTTTTCCACGTTGCTGGTCTGTTGTCTTCTCCTGTTCCTCGCGCAGACAGGCTTTTTCTATTTACTCTGCTCATCTTGACTGAATTTTAGTTTGTTTTGGAAAGGAACAACTCCATCCCAGTATATATGCTGTCTTTTAGTTCCATCTCCTATCATAGTTTAACTGGCCTAGCCTCTCACTGTTTTAGGTAATCCAGAGACAGCAGATACCCAGCATCGATCAAAGTCTCCCCTTGATAGGCCTTGTGGAAAGTGAGACTTTTCAGGGTAGTGGGCAAGATCGGTTTTCAAAGATGGGAATTTGAAGCCAGGCATGGTGGCTTCCACCTGTTATCCTAGCACTTTGGGAGGCCAGGACAGGAGGATTGCTTGATCCCAGGAGTTTAAAACCAGCCTGGGCAACATAGAGAGACCCTGTCTCTAAAGAAGAAGAAAAAAATGAAAATATGAGAATTGGAGTGTAGAGGAGGTGACTGACATCTCTGTCTACTCTATTTACCATCATGTCATAGTGTAAGCTTATCTGATAGCAAACATTTCTTTGGCATGAATGACACCTGGTAACATCCATTGCAGATGGAAAAAAATTAGGGAACACTAGCATAGATAAGATGGTAATGTTGATCAAAGTGGTCTATGGAGGTAATTAAGATGACACAGTATTGGAAGTTCTGATGTGAGAGGGTTCTGCTGGACTGGGCTTGTTGAGAAAACTGAAAGATGCTTCCATGTAGCAAGAGATGTTGTATGTGTACTGAAAACTCAATGTGGTGGGAAATGGTATGGCTTAAAAGGTAGAAATATATTTAGGTAGGAGTCACTGCTTATTCCCCTGGCTTCTTTGCTGAGGAAGTTGATGTAAAGAAAATGAAAAACTAGAAGAGAACCAGGGACAAATGTTATTTAAAAACTAGGAAGGTGCCTGATATTCTTGGGTAAAAGCTGAATTTGTGTCTTTGGTCTTAGGAAGCTTCAGTGAGATCTGAGATCTTTCTTCTCTGATCATTTTGTGCCTACCTCCCCAAGCACTCATTATATAAGATTGTAATCACTGCAGTCTGAAGAAAGGCTAATCCAAAGTATACCCATAAGTGTCAACAAAGGAGTAGCAGCTACACAGCAAGAAACAGAGTTTCTCCAGTGCTTAACAGCAAGCTAGCCTAGACTCCATAGCCTGTGTCCAAGCCTGTACCTGGCTGCCATGTGGAAAGAGAGAGAAAATGACTGGCTTGCTTTGCAAGAGCTTGTTACTCTTAGCACTGTCAAAACAGTGGAAGGCAGGGCAAGAGGACATACCCCATGTAAGCATGAAACTTCAACACATGATGATGTCAGTCACCATGACTCATAACAAGACACATGGCCCAATGACTGGCATGCTTTAACAAAGCAAATTAGCTGCCCCCTATGCATGACATATTTTAGTAACAGGCAGAAAGAAGAGCCAGGATTGTTCCCTCTGCCCCTTTTCCATTATGGGGAGAGCTTGGATAGAAATTTGGTCTTGCCTGGAGCAGAGGCAGAAACATGACAACAAAGGGACAGCTGTTCCTTCTTTGGCACTGTACTCTATCGGGTCCATCTAAGGGGGTAAAGAAGTCAGATACTCTTTTGTGACCTGTTCTAGTTACTTGATCTCACTAATTTTCAGATTTCTCGTCTGTAAAATAGGCATAATAATCCTACCTTCATTGAGTGGAATGTGAAAGCCTGAAGCAATAAAAGAGCTCAGTAAATATTAGCAATTGTTATTATTAATATACCATATTTATAAAGATTAAGTGCTTTACTGTGTAAGTCAGTGCTTATGCATTCAATAAATTATGTGTCTTTGCTCATTCTACCGTGAAATAACTTGATAGATAAATTGAATAAAGACAATCAAACTACTTGATTGGTTCACAAGGTGTGTGGACATATTTTAATATATTTTCCAAAAGCATAACTTATTTTAGCCAAAGATGGGAGTACTAAAATTTAGTAAGATTAGTCTTTGGAAAATCACCAGTTTCCATCGGACCTACTTTTAGTTTTTGAGTTCCTTTTTTTAAGAAGTTCAAGCTATTTATAAGGATTTCTATTTATAAAACTCTTATTCTTTCTTAGAAGTCTTCCAAAAATGAGTAATTTTACTTATTTTAAATAAAATCACATATTTTATTTTATAATTATCATATGGGTCCATTGGACCTTTTAATAAATCTAAGATACAGTATGAGATCTTAGTGATGTTATTTTTGTGTCTTGAAATATTTTTTATATTTAGCTGTCACAGAAATTATCTCATCATTGTCCATGAATTATTCCCAACTATGCTACAAAAGTTGTAGAATAAAAAGAAAGTAGAAGAATGACAGTGTGACAGGCAGAATGAGCCCTCAAAGATGTCCACACCCTAAACCCTGGACCCTGTGAATATGTTACACTACATGGCAAAAGTGGTTACCAACTTTATGATATGGAGATAATTTTGAATTATCCAAGTGGGCCCATCTAATCACATGAGCCCTTAAAAGCAGAGAACCTTCTTTGGCTAGAGTCAGAGATTAAGCACAAGGAAAAGTTGGAAGATTTGTTTGCTTCTCCATTAAGTTTGAGTCACAAATGGTGTCGGCAGGGCTGCCTGGCCTTGTGGAAAGTACACATAAAAATCAGAAACTTGGATCCTACTCAGTTTGTCCACTTACTAGCTAAGTAATCTTATTAATCACTAAAGCCATGCATATTTCATAAAGTTGTTATGGATCATAATAAAATAAGAGGGTATACCTACTTTATAATGGAGAATACAATTACTAGATGGTAACATGGCACTGAAAACTGTCGGCCCTGCTCATTCTTCTCATTTTTAGATTTATGCATTCTTAATTTTTTCTTCATGGTTTTTTTAAGTTTCCTGTTCACTGAAACATTTACATGATCTTGCTTTACTTTCCCACTTTTTCTATTTGTCAGATATCTTGGCACATAAAATCAGTAAAATCAAGTGAAATGCAAGTATTCTTCACTCAATCCCGATGACTATTATAGAGTACTTTGTTAGAACATAATTGTCACAAAGTCAGAATTTCTGATATAAATACATAGATTGACTTTTTTTTTCTAATTAATGATTTGAGCTCATATTTACCTATTGCCTGCTAACAAATAAAAATAAACAAGAAGAGGAAGGGGCAGAGCAAGACAGTGGAATAGAAGGCTCCACCAATTGTCCTCCCTGCAAAAACACGAATTTAACTATCTGTACAAAAACGTAACTTCATAAGAACCAAAAATCAGGTGAGCACTCACAGTACCTGTTTTTAACTTTATACTGCTAAAAGATGCACTGAAGAAGTAGAAAAAACAATCTTGAATCACCAATGTCACTCCCTCCCATCCCCCAGCCGCAGCGGCATGATGCAGAGAGCATTTTTGTGTGGTTGTGAGAGAGGGAGAGCACAGCAATTGTGAGGCATTGAACTCAGTGCTGCCTTATTACAGCAGAAAGTAAAACTGGACCAAACTCAGCTGTTGCCTGCCCAAGGAGGTAGCATTTAAATTAGCCCTAGTCAAAGGGGAGTTGTTGATCTCAGTGGTTGTAACTTCAGTTTGTACAAGCCTCATCACTGTGAGCTAAAGTGCTCTGGGGTGCTAAATAAACTGGAAAAGTAGTCTAGGCCACAAGGACTAGGTGAGTCCTAGGGCTGAACCAGGCCCAGAGCTAGTGGAGGGGTGGGGGCACGCAACCTACTGAGACACTGGTCAGGGTAGCTAAGAGAGTGCTGGCATCACCCCTCCCCTAATCTCAGGCTACACAGCTCACGGCTCCGAAAGAGTCGCCTTGCTTCCACTTGAGGAGAGGAGAAGGAAGACAGGGGAGGATTTTGTCTTGCATCTTGGCTATCAGCTCAGCCACAGCATGATAGGGTACTGGTCAGAGTCATGAGGCCCCTGGTTCAGGTCCTAGCTCCCAGAAGACATTTCTAGACATATCCTGAGCCGGAGGGAAAACTGCTTCCTTGAAGGGAAGGACCCATTCCTAGCACGATTAATCACCTGCTAACTGAATAGTACCTGAGCCCTGAATAACCATCAGCAATACTCAGGTACTGTGTCAAGGGCCTTGGGTGAGCCTCTGACACTTGCTGGCTTCAGGTGAGACTCAATACATTACCAGCTGTGGTGGCTATGTGGCAAGAATCTTTCTGCTTGAGAAAAGCAGAGAGAAAAGTAAAAGAGACTTTGTCTTGCATTTTAGAGACCAGCATGGCCACACGGGGGTAGAGCAAGAGGCAGGCTCTTGGGTCCCTGATTATAGGATGTGGCTCTTGAATGGCATTTCTGGGACTGTGCTAGGCCAGAGAGGAGCCTTCTGCCCCGAAGGATGAGTCCCAGCCCAGACAGCATTCATCACAAGCTGACTTAAGAGACCTTGGGCCTTAAGGGAACACTAGCAGTAGTCTAGCAGTACTTCCTGTGGGCCTATAGTGGTGGTGGCCAGGAGGTAAGGCTCCTCTGCCTTTGGAAAGGGAAGGGAATAATGGAAAAGACAGCATCTTGTGGTTTGAGGGCTAGCTCAGCCTCAGCACAATAGAACACCATGAAGACTTCCAAAGTTTTTTACTCTGGTTCCTGGCTCCCAGATGGCATGTCTGGACCCACTCAGGACATGAGGGATCTCACCACTCTGAAGGGAAGGACACAGGCCTGCCTGGCTTTGCCACCTGCTAAGTGTAGAGCCCCCAGGGCTTTGAACAAACATAGGCAGTAGCCAGGGAGTGGTTATAGGGGGCCTTGGATGAGACCCAGTGCTGTGCTGGCTTCAGGTCTAACCCAGCACGGTCCCAGTGGTGGTGGCCACTGGAGTGCTTGTGTCACTCCATTCCCAGCTCCAGGTGGCTCAGAACAGAGAGAGAGAGAATAAGAGAGAGAGAGAGAAAGGGAAGAGAACAGGAGTCTCTGCTTGGTAATCCAGAGAATTCTGCTGGATCTTGTCTAAGACAATGAAGGCAGTACTTCTGTAAGTCTGCAAAAACAGTAGCATTAGCGGGCTTTGGGTACCCCCTAAAGCAGATACAGCTTAGATCACCACACCTAAGCCCTTTAGAATATCTGGAAAGACTTCCCAAGAAGGATGGGTACAAACAAGCCCAGACTGTGAAGACTAAAATAAATAATTCTTCAATGCCCAGACACAGACAGACATCTACAAGTATCAAGACCACCCAGAAAAACATGACCTCACCAGATGAACTAAGTAAGTCACCAGGGACAAATCCTGGAGAAACAGTGATATGTGATCTTTCAGACAGAGTATTCAGAATAGCTGTTTTAAGAAAACTCAAGGAAATTCAAGATAACATAGAGAAAGAATTCAGAATTCTGTCAGGTCAATTTAACAAAAAGATTGAAATAATTAAAAAGAATCAAGCAGAAATTCTGGAGCTGAAAAATGTAGTTGTCGTACTGAAGAATGTATCAGTCTTTAAATAGCAGAACTGATACAGCAAAAAAAAAAGTGAATTTCAAGATAGACTCTTTGAAAATACACAGTCAGAGGAGACAGAAGAAAAAAGAATAAAAAGCAATGAAGCATGCCTACAGGAGCTTAGAAAATAGCCTCAACAGAGCAAATCTAAAAGTTACTGGCCCTAAAGGAGAGGTAGAGAGGTAGAGAAAGATAGTGGTGGAAAGTTTATTCAAAGGGATAACATCCGAGAACTCCCCAAACCTAGAGAAAGATACCAACATTCGAGAAGGTTATAGAACACCAAGCAGATTTAACCCAAGAAGACTGCTGCAAAGTATTTAATAGTCAAACTCCCAAAGGTCAATGATAAAGAGAGGATTTTAAAAGCAGCAAGAAAAAAAAAAAAACGTATAAAGGAGCTCCAGTACATCTGGCAGCAGACTTTTTAGTGGAAACTTACATGCCAGGAGAGAGTGGCATGACATATTTAAAATGCTCAAGGAAGAAACTTTTACTCTAGAATAGTATATCCAGCAAAAATAGTTTTCAAACATGAAGGAAAAATAAAGACTTTTCCAGACAAACAAAAGCTGAGCAATTTCATGAACACCAGACCTGTCCTACAAGAAATGCTAAAGGAAGTTCTTCAATCAGAAAGAAAAGAATGTTAATGAGCAAGAAGAAATAATCTGAGGAATAAAACTCACTAGTAATAGTAAATATACAGAGAAACACATAATTTTATAGCACTGTAACTATGGTTTGTAAAGTACTCTTGACTTAAGTAGAAAGTAGTAAATGATAAACCAATAAAAATAATAACTACAACTTCTCAAGACATAGTACAATAATATTTGAATAGAAACAACAAAAAGTTAAAAAGCAGAGGGCTGAATTTAAGGCACAGAGGCTTTATTCATTTTCTTTTTGCTGATTTGTTTTGGCAAACAGTGTTGTTATGAGGTTAAAATGAGTTGTAGGATAAAATTTGCAAGCTTCATGGTAACCTCAAATCAAACAACATACAAAGGATACACAAAAAGATAAGAAGCAAGAGAATAAATCATGTCACCAGGCAAAATCACCTTCACTAAAGAAGACAGGAAAGGAAGAAAGAAGGAAGAGAAGAGCACAAAACAACCAGAAAACAACAAGATGGCAAGAGTAAATCCTTACTGATGGATAATAACATTGAATGTAAATGGACTAAACTCTCCAATCAAAAGACACAGAGTGGCTAAATGGATAAAAAAAAAAGACTCAATGATTGGTTACCTGCAATAAATGCAATTCACCTAAAAAGACACACATAGAATGAAAATAAAAGGATGGACAATGATATTCCATGCCAATGAAAACCATCAAAGAGCAGGAGTAGCTATACTCATATCAGACAAAATAGATTTTAAGACAAAACATGTAAGAAGAGACAAAGAATATCACTATAAAATAATGAAGTGGTCAATTCAACAAGAGGATATGAGAAGTTTAAATGCATATACACCCAACACTGGAACTCCCGGATATATTATAAAGGAAATATTATTAGAACTAAAGAGAGAAATAAGACCCAGTACAATAATAGCTGGAGACATCATCAACATGCCACTTTCAGCATTGGACAGATCTTCCAGATAGAAAATCAACAAAGAAATATTGGACTTAATCTGCACCATAGAACAAATGGGCCTAATAGATATTTATGGAGCATTTCATCTAACAGCTGCAGAATACACCTTCTTTTTCTCAGCATATGGATTGTTCTGCCATTCTCAAGGATAGATTATATGTTAGGTCAGAAAACAAGTCTGAAAACATCTTAAAAAATTGAAATGATATGAGGCATCTTTGATCACAATGGAATAAAACTAGAAATCAATAAGAAGAATTTTGGAAACTATACAAATACATGGAAATAAAATAATATGCTCCTGAGTGACCAGTGGGTCAATAAAGAAATTAAGAAGAAAATTGAAAAACTTCTTGAAACAAATGATAATGGAAACACAACATACTAAAACCTATGGGATATAGCAAAATCAGTACTAAGAGGGAAGTTTGTAGCTATAAGTGCCTACTTTAAAAAAGAATAAGACTTCAAATAAACAGCCTAATGACACATCTTAATGAACTAGAAAAGCAAGAGCAAACCAAACCCAAAATTAGTAGAATAAAAGAAATAATAATGATAAGAAATGAATGAAATTGAAATAAAACAATACAAAAGATCAATGAAACAAAAGTTGGTTTTCTGAAAAATTAAACAAAATAGACAACCTTTAGCCAGACTAAGAAAAAAGAGAGAAGATCCAAATAAAATCAGAGATGAAAAAGAGATATTACAACTGTTACTGCAAAAATTTAAAGGATCATTAGTGGCTACTCTGAGCAACTATATGCCAAAAAACTGGAAAACTTAGACTAAATGGACAAATTCCTAGACTCATACAACCTACCAAGATTGAACCATGAAGAAATCAAAAATCTGAATAGAATAGTAACAAGAAATGAGATTGAAGCTGTAATAAGTCTCCCAGTAAAGAAAACCCCAGGATCCAATGACTTAACTGCTGAAATCTACAAAACATTTAAAGAAGAACTAATACCAATCCTACTCATACTATTTTTTAAAATAGAAGAGGATAGAATACTTCCAGAGTAATTCTACAAGGCCAGTGCTTTTGCGATACCAAAACCAGACAGACACATGAGAAAAAATTATAGGCCAATATCTCTGATGAATATTGATAACAAAAATTCTCAACAAAATACTAGCAAACTAAATTCAACAATACGTTAAAAAGATCATTCATCATGAACAAATGGGATTTATCTCTGGGATGCAAGAATGGTTCGGCATATGCAAATCAATCAATTTGATATATCAACAGGATGAAGGACAAAAACCATATTATCATTTCAATTGATGCTTAAAAAGCATTGAATAAAATTCAACATCCCTTCATGATAAAAACCCTCAAAAATCTGGGTATAGAAGGAACAAACCTCAATATAATAAAACCCATATATGACAGACAAACATTTAGTATCATACTGAATGGGGAAAAACTGAAAGCCTTTCCTCTAAGACCTGGAACACAACAAGGATTCCCACTTTCACCGCTGTTACTCAACATAGTGCTGGAGGTCCTAGCTAGAGGAATCAAACAGAAATAAGGGGCATACATATTGGAAAGGAAGAAGTCAAATTATCCTTGTTAGCATGTGATATGATCTTATATCTGGAAAAACCTCAAGACTCCACACACAAAAAAAATTAGAACTGATGAACAAATTCACTACAGTTTCAGGATACAAAATCAACATACAAAAAGTCAGTAGCATTTCTATATGCCAACAGTGAACAATCTGAAAAAGAAATTAAAAAGTAATTCCATTTACAATAGCCACAATTAAAAATACTCAGAATTAACCAAAGAAGTAAAAGATCTATAAAATGAAAACTATAAAACACTGATGAAAGAAATTGAAGAGGACACAAAAATGGAAAGATATTCCATGTTCATGGATTGGAAGACTCAATATTGTTAACGTGTCCACACTACCAAAGCAGTCTGCAGACTTAATGCAATCTCAATTGAAATACCAATGACAGTATTCACGGAAATAGAAAAAAATTCCTAAAATTTATATGGAATCATAAGAGACCCAAAATAGCCAAAGCTATCCTAAGCAAAAAGAACAAAATTGGAGAAATCACATTACCTGACTTCAAATTATACTATGGAGGTAGAGTAAGCAAAACAGCATAGTACTGGCATAAAAACAGACAAATAGAATAGAATATAGAACCCAGAAATAAACCCACACACCTACAGGGAACTCATTTTTTACAAAGATGCCAAGAACATACACTGGAGAAAGGCAGTCTCTTCAGTAAATGGTGCTGGGAAAACTGAACACTCACATGCAGAAGAATGAAACCAGATCCCTATTTCTCACCATATGCAAAAATTAAATCAAAATGGATTGAAAACTTAAAGCCTCAAACTATGAAACTACCACAGGAAAACATTGGGGAAACTCTCCAGGATACTGATCTGGGAAAAAATTTCTTGGGTAATGCCCCATAGGCCGGACAACTAAAGCAAAAATGCAGAAATAAGATCACATCAAATTAAAAGGCTTCTGCACAGCAAAGGATACAATCAACAAGGTGACAACACAATTTATAGAATGGGAGAAAATATTTGCAAACCACTGTTCTGACAAGATATTAATGACCAGAATATATAAGGAGCTCAAACAACTCTATAGAAAAAAAATTAATTAAAAAATGACAAAATATTTGAATAGACATTTTTCAAAAGAAGACATACAGATGGCAAACAGGCATATGAAGAGGTACTCAACATCACTGATCATTAGGAAATGCAAATCAAAACTACAATGAGATATGATCTCACCCCAGTTAAAATGGCTTATACCCAAAAGACAGGCAATAATAAAAGCTGGCAAGGATGTGGAGAAAAGGGAACCCTCATACACTGTTTTTGGGAATGTAAATTAGCACAACCACTATGGAGAACAGTTTGGAGGTTCTTCAAAAAACTAAAAATAGAACTACCATATGATCCAGCAATTCCACCACTGGGTATATACTCAAAGGAAATCAGTATATAGAAGAGATATCTGCACTCTCATGTTCACTGCAGCACTGTTTACAATATCCAAGATTTGGAAGTAACCTGTGTTCATCAACAGATAAATGTATAAAGAAAATGTGGTACTAATACACAATGGGGTACTATTCAGCTGCAAAAATGAATGAGATTGTTATTTGCAACATTGATGGAAATGGAGGTCATTATGTTAAGTGAAATAAGCCATGCATAGAAGGGCAAATACCACATGAATCTAGGATTGCTACCTTGCGCTGGGTACTGAACCTTTACAACCCCAGTTTCTTTATCTAAACAATGTTGTGAGGATAATAAGATTATGTATATCGAGTAGCTACTTTGGTGCACATAAGTAATAAATAAATATATTTTAGAATTGTTAATATTATGTATACATATGTCTCGTAGTGAAACCCCAATGTCTGTGAGCGTCTGTAAAATGAAGAAGAAATAAAGGGTTATATTTAGTTTTATGTTGTGAAAGATTGTGCTGTATTTGTCAAGATTACCTGTTTCAATATTATATAGCATAAGAGGTAAAATTTCAAAATTCTTCTTTACTAACTTTAATCACTTGAATGAGGAAAGTCGTTTTAAGTTAGGTAGTGTAGGTCAAGAATCCTCAGGAATTTGAGGATCCAGATTCACTGTGTACAGACATGAAGGATTTTTTTCCTGCGATGTCTTTAAGTTATCTCTTGGCCTCTCCTAACAAATTTCCCCCATATGTTACTGAATTTATGTCTACTAGGCTATAAATTCTAACAAATGTAAAGGATTATACAAATAGAAAGGCCTACTTAGAATGGTAAGTGTGCTGAAACTTTGTGAAAATTCAAATTATCAAATATTTTGAGAAAAAGTAAAGTAGAATTGGGAATTTCAATGGTTTTAACATCTTAAGGTTAAAAATGAAACATTTGCAACTTAATAGATTGTTCAACACTAAGTCCCCAAAGAAGCAAACAGTTAGCAGATGTGTTACTGGCAATCTGGAGTATTCAAAAACAGTTGAGGCTTGTCAGAACCAAATGAACACCCACCATGCCATCTTCCCAAGCTGACTCTTGCTGTATGTAGAAAATATAGAAGAAACTCTTCCCATTCCACATCCTGACTCAAATCCAAAACACTGCAACTTTCAGTACATGCCATCTCTCCTCTTTCTCAACATATCTAGACCAGCTTGTTTTACAAGTGAAAACTATGTGGTTTTTGTAGAATGCTATCATTAAGCAATTAAGTACTTCCAGAGCCACCAAGCTACACTTTTCTAGCTCTGAGATGATAATATGATTTTCAAAATGTTCCTATATTCATAATGTATGTTATTTCACTACCCAAGCATGTGTATTCTGTTAACCTTTTGGCTAGCTATGGATTTATTCAATTTATTTGTCTTTTTACTGTCAAAGTAGCTGCTCATCTTAGACTAATCAATCAGAAATGCTGTCTACTATGTAAAATTATTTTGATAGACTGTCAATTACTGACTGTATTTTATACTGACAGTGCTTACTGATTTTCTGCAGACTGATTGATTCTCCTAATATTCTTTTTGATAAAATAATATGTTGTAATTTTTTCATGGATTTATCAAACATTTGAGAGATCTAAAATTCAACTTTTAAATTTTATAAATGAGAACATTCATTAACACATGCTTATTATGTACCTATTTAAAAATTTTTTTTTGAAATAGCTTTAGATTTACAGAAAGTTGCAAAGATAGTACAGCAAGTTCCTGTATACCTTTGCTCAGCTCTCCCAAATGTTATCGTACATGACCATGGTAAATCTAGCAAAACTAACAGAGTACATCACTAATTACTAAACTCCATACTTTATTCACACCTTGCCAGCGTTGCATAATGTTCTTCTGTCCCAGGGTCCAACCAGGGCCTCATACTGCCTTTAGTTGTCTTGTCTTCTTGTCTCCTCCCATCTGAAACGGCTCCTCAGTCTTCCCTGGTCTCTCATGACTGATGACAATTTGACAATTTGGGTTTATTTATGTTTTCTCGTGGCTGGATTGAGGTTGCCCCTTTTGGTTTGTTCAAGAATATGACAACTGTGTTGTGCTTTTCTCCGTGCATCATATCAGATAATCTATGTCTGATTATATCTTGCTCACTTGGCTAGGATGGTGTCTGCTAGGTTTCTTCACTATAACATTACTATTTTTCTCTTTGTAATTAATAAATATTTTGGGAGAGATACTTTGAAACTATGCAAATATCTAGTTTTTCCTTTTTTTCCATAGATTTTGGCATCTGTTAGTGGATCTTGCTTACAATTTCACTGTTGTGTTTGCTTAATGATACTTTTGTGTCTTCCTCACTCTTTCTACATTTGTTAACTGGAATTCTTCTGTAAGGAAAAGCTATCTCTTCTTATTTATCCAATCTTTTTTGTATATCAGTATTAAGCATATTTCTTATTTTATCTTATGGCCTGCTATGGTTATTTGTTTTCTTGATCAGAGTGTTTCAACTTTGGCCATTGGGAACGTTTGCAAGTTGGCCCCTCAGTCCTTTCCACATGCCACCATCATTTTTTGAGCACTTCCTTCCTTTATGGAACCACAAGGTCTTCCAAAGCTCATCTTGTATTTTTGCTGTCCCAGTCCTGGAATCAACCACTTCTCTAAGGAGCCCCAGTTTCTTCTGTTGGAGAATGGTATTAAAAACTTCAATATAGGTGCTGGTATCGAGCACTTATTAAGTGCTAGGCTCATTTCTGGAAGTGTGGTGACTAATTGTGAGCAAACAGACCAATATCCAGTCACTTCTGGAGCTTGCATTCTAGTGTGGGAGCATAAACAGTGTTATAATAAATAAGTAATGTCTCTACCTTGAAAGAAGGTGCAAAGTGCTATGAGTAAAATTCAGCAGGAAGAAAGGAAAAAGAAATGCAGGAGACAATGGGAAGATTGATGGAGATCAAAATGCAAAATTAAATAGAGAGATTAAGATGAGCCTCAAAATGCAAAATTAAATAGAGAGATTAAGATGAGTCTCATTGAAAAGGCAACATTTGAGCAAAGACTTGAGGGGGTAAAGAACTTGTCTTCATTGATTTGGGCCGCTATAACGAAATACCATAGGCTGGGTGGCTTAAATAACAGACATATGTTTCTTACAGTTCTGGAGGCTGGAAAGTCCAAGATCAATATGACGACTTATTTGGTTCTTGGTGAGGACCCACTCTTTGGCTTGCAGATGGTCACCAGGTCACTGTGTGCCCACATGGGGTTTCTTCATGTGGAGAGAGATCTGTCTTCTTCTAATAAGGGCACCAATCTCTCATCATGAGTCCTATCATGGATTAGGGCTTCAACATATGAATTTGGGGGGATAAAAACATTCAGTTTGTAACAGAAGTTGACTGCCAAACATCTGGATAAAGTGCATTCAAGGAAGAGAAAGTCCTTAGGCTTAAGAGAGACTGTGTGCTCCAGGACCATGACAAAGATCAACTTGACTAGAGGATAAGGTGCAGGAGACGAGGCCCAACAGGCAGGATGAGAGACAGGACCACCTAAGGCCAAATAACTTAGGGCCCTACAGGTCATTGTAAACCCAGAGGTTATCAGCAGAGGAATGGTCAGATCTGATGTAGGTTTTTAGGTATCACATTGGTTGCTGCATTGAGAATGGACTGTATGGTGGCAAGGGTAAATGTTGGTTGACCAGTTAGGGGACTGCAGCAACCCGGGCAAAAGATGAGGGCAGTTCAGGTTAAGGTGGCAGTGAAGGAGGTGATCACAGAGAGCTGGGTATTTTAGGTATTTTGATTTAGAGCCAGCAGCACCTCACTTCTTGCTGGATGAGATGTGGGGCAAGAGAAACATTGAATTGAGATTTTGGTTTGAGCAGCTGGAAATATGGAGTTGTCATTAACTGAAATGCAAAATGAAAATTTATGTCGAGCAGGTTCTGGAAAAGGATCAGAGCCTTTGCTTTTTTATTTCCTAACAGTATTCGTCTGATCATGATGCTCTTGTGATCAAATGTATCTAAGGCTCATAACAGCACCTGGCATCTAGTAAGAGCCAAACAGATTGTTATAGTTGTTATATTCTTTGTGACAATGCCCATCATCATCAACATCATCATCTCTGACATATCCCAGAGT
Organism: Homo sapiens; assembly: GCF_000001405.40. Classification (NCBI taxonomy): domain Eukaryota; kingdom Metazoa; phylum Chordata; class Mammalia; order Primates; family Hominidae; genus Homo; species Homo sapiens. The sequence continues at coordinate 26,491,325 of NC_000015.10, read as the reverse complement.
CTGTAAGAGGAGAAGAGAGGTTGATAGAAAGAGCTGGATGTTTTTGCAAACCAGTGACTGGCTAGTTTAATCCCTTAATTTTGCAAAAGAGACAATTTTGAACTGAAGTAGTGAAACAATCTTTCGTGATTCTCCAATTTCCCTGTTCCTTTAGAGGATACTTTGAGAGAAAAATAGATGTTTATGTATTAAAGCAATGAGATTGTGAAATAGTTTGTTAGAGCACTTTGTTAGAGCAGTATAAGCTTAACCCTTCTGACTGACAACCACAGTAAGCCATTATAGAAGTTCATATTCTGATTTCTAGTTACACCTTCCACTATTCCATGATGATATATGATTGTGCATTAAAAATATCCCTTAATAAATTATAGTGAAAATGAATATGATGGTGTATATAAAGGAAGGCACTAGCTTGGGAGAAAAGGTGATTGTCTTCATAATGGAGTAAAGGATTTGTCTGTTGCAACCACCAATATGTTAACCATACACTGGGTATCCTTCTAGGAGTCAGGATTTGGTGTGGCGTGAAAGAGAGAGAAAAGGCTGGGTGCAGTGGTTTACACCTGTAATCCCAGCACTTTGGGAGGCCAAGGTGAGTGGGTCACCTGAGGCCAGGAATATGAGACCAGCCTGGCCAACATGGTGAAACCCTGTCTCTACTAAAAATACAAAATTAGCTGGACGTGGTGGCATGCACCTGTAATCCCGGCTACTCTGAAGGCTGAGGCAGGAGAATCACTTAGAACCCGGGAGGCAGAAGTTACGGTGGGCCAAGATTGCACCACTGCACTCCAGCCTGGGCGACAGAGCAAAGACTGTGTCTCAAAAAAAAAAAAAAAATGAGGGAGAGAAAAAGCCTTAGTGCCCTCGCCTGGGCTCCAGATGGACTGCTTCTGGGAAAGCAGTCCCTTTTCTTTTGGAGGGCTGTGCAATTGCAGAGTGATGGGACCTCACTCAGGAGCATTATCTAAGGAACACTGCAAGGCATTAGAAGTCTTTCTATTTTAGTTTTCACCTTCCTTCATGTAATGCATCTCAATACTTTAAAAGAATCAATTTTTCAAAGTTTATTATTGAAAAAGTACTCTCCAACACCTTCCCAAATCCTCTTCAACAGAGCCTTTGACATTTTGAAGTGTTTGTTTTGGTTTCTATTTTTATATTTCTAGATAGATAATCATATTGCCACTTCTTCATTTTTTCAGTTTTTGACATTATGAGAAGAGATTTTATCTCTTGTTCCTGTTGCTTTCAATACACCACACACACACACACACACACACACACACACACACACACACACACACACAGTATTTCCTCATCTTCAATACTCTCAGTATAATTATAACATTTTAGTTTAAATCAGTATTTACTGTTTACATATTACTATTATGAAATATTATTCAGAGCTGAATCTACTAGCACAGTGCAATTACTTTTCCTTTTTGCTTTTATTATTTTTGTCTTGTTTTCATTTGCTTACTTTTCTATGAACTTATCAGCATTCCCACCCCAAACTCTCCCCTAGATGTTTAAATCTCATTAAAATACATCATTTCTATATTTTTAATTTTTTTTTCATTTCTGCTTCTTCTGTACAATTCAGTAGTCTTAAAGAAAGCTCTGCAATGGACTTCAGATCTTCTCCAGGGCTCTCTGGGCCTCCCCAGCTGCCAGCCTGGAATGCCCCTCTTCCATGTCCTGAGGACGCCCTTTGGCTCTTTCTTGACATGGACCGCTTATATTCAGGATGCTTGGACCCCATCACTGAATTACTCTTATTTCCGTACAGCTCCTCGTCAGGCAGCTTCCTGAGAAAAGGTAGAAGAGAGGCACGTCTATACAATCCTCCCATTTAATAGAACTTTTTTCTAGGTTTAAGATTGGAAATAATTGGCCGGGCGCGGTGGCTCACGCTTGTAATCCCAGCACTTTGGGAGGCCGAGGCGGGTGGATCACGAGGTCAGGAGATCGAGACCACGGTCTCTACTAAAAATAAAAAAAAATTAGCCGGGCGTGGTGGCGGGCGCCTATAGTCCCAGCTACTCGGAGAGGCTGAGGCAGGAGAATGGCGTGAACCCGGGAGGCGGAGCTTGCAGTGAGCCGAGACTGCGCCACTGCACTCCAGCCTGGGCGACAGAGCGAGACTCCGTCTCAAAAAAAAAAAAAAAAGATTGGAAATAATTTCTCATCAGAACTTTAAAAGTTTTGTTTCATTGCTTCCAGCTTACAATTTTGCTACTGAGAAATACAAAGACATTTGAATCTCAATCTTTCATATCTGACAGTTTTTCTTCCTTTAAACCTTCAGATATACTTGTTCTCAGAATTGTGATATTTCACAATGTTAGGCTTGATTTTATTTAAAAAATGTATTGTGTTGGCTACTCTATCCACTTTTTAAATTTGAAATTTATGTCCTTCAATTTTGGAAAACTTCCTTGAAGATTTTAAAGATCATTTTTTACTCTCTTAATGTGTTGTGCTCTTTCTGAAAGTCTTTTTTGAGTTTTGAGTATTGGATCTCCTGAGCTGATTCTCTATTTTTTATATCTTTTCTTTCTTATTACTCACATATTTGACTTTTTGTTCTATGTTTGGGAACTTTTCTAATCTTATCTTCCAACATATTTACTGAATTTTGCACACATCTTATCTTAGTTTTTGTTTATCAGAACTTCTTCTTACCTTTCTTTTTTTTTTTTGGAGTCTCACTCTGTTGCCCAGGCTGGAGTGCAGTGGCACGATCTTGGCTCACTACAACCTCCACCTCCTAGGTTTAAGCGATTCTCCTACCTCAGCCTCCCTAGTAGTTGGCGTTACAGGCACCCACCACGACTGGCTAATTTTTGTGTTTTTAGTAGAGACGGGGTTTTGCCATGTTGACCAGGCTGGTCTCAAACTCCTGACCTCAAGTGATCCACCGGCCTCGTCCTCCCAAAGTGCTGGGATTACAGGCATAAGCCACCATGCCTGGCCTTCCTTTATTTTTTTAGTGTGGTTTTAAGTTCATGGCAAAATTGAAGGTAAGGTACAGAGAGTTCACATATACCTTCCCTGCCCTCCACAAGCCTCCCTCACTATCAACATCCCCCAGCAAAGGGGTACGTTTATTACAATTGATGAACCTACGTTGGCACATCATAATCCATACAAGTCCATCGTTTACATGGTTATCCATCAAAGTCCATAGTTTACACGAGGGTTCAGTCTTGTACATTCTGTGGGTTTGGACAAATTATATGGACAAGTATCCATCATTACAGTATCGTGAAGAATATGGCACTGCCCTTAAAATCCTCTGTGCTCCACCTATTCATCACTCATTCCCCACCAATCCCTGTCAAACACTGATCTTTTTACAGTCTCCATAGTTTTGCGTTCCCCACAATCTTATATAGTTGCCATGATACAGTACGTGGCCTTTTCAAATTGGCTACTTTTACTTACAAATACACATTTAAGTTTCCTCCTTGTTTTTCATAGCTTAGTTTCTAGTGCTGGATAATATTCCATTGTCTGAATGTTCCACACTTTTTTAAATATTCAACTACTGAAGAACATATTGGTTGGCAATTATAAATAAAACCGCTATAGACATATGTACAGATTGTTTTTGTGGACATGTTTTAAGCTTCTTTGAGTAGATATGAAGGAACATGATTGCTGGATTACATGGCAAGAGCATGTTTACTTTTTTAAGACAATATCAAATTGTCCTCCAAGGTGACTGTATCATTGTGCATTCACATTGGCAATTGCCTTTTTTTAATTAATAATTGTTTAAACAACATCCTGTTCTTATTTCCTGGATGCAGTATCTTCCCCTTCATTTTCTTTATAGGAATACTATAATAGTATAGTATGGATATGCTGTAATGATAGCTTTATAATTACTAAAGTTTTATTTCCCTGCATACGCTCTCCTTTCTTTAAGTATCCTTTTCCACATTGGTAGGTTTTGCTCATTAACTTTGATAGAAGAGGCTTCCCTAAGATAATCTAGTCATTCTTTCTGTGTGTTCTGATTTAAGGATGGGCCCCCAAGATAATGAGTGGGAGATCAGCACGTGGAATGCTCAGTGGTGAGCTTCACACATTGCAAACGGGGTGGACAGTGCCATCAGGGAGCCCCTGATCTTATTGTAGGTTCTTCTTCTCAGTCTGTTAAGGATTTCTGCAGAAGTCCCTTCCCATCTCCTTCTTGGAGCTGTTAGAGTACCTTGTAGATTTCTGCGTATCAAGTAGGGGAAGAGGACTGGGGGATTCACATTCAGTACATAAATTTTCACTTAATATCCCTGTGTTTAAAATTATACCCATCTTCTCGCTGCACCTCAGCTTTTCCAAGTGCCTGTGTCAAGTAACCTCTATGTTACTCTCCGGAGAGGATAAAACTGCAGGAGTTCTGCCGGGATCATGCAGCTCTCTCTCTCTCTCTCTCTCTCTCTCTCTCTCTCTCTCTCTCTCTCTCTCTCTCTGCCCATGTGTGTGTGTGTGTGTGTGATTTTGGTGGAGGAGAGGGATATCTGATAATGTAACAGTTTCTCAAATAACCTTTAACTAATCCTATTCATAATCTGCTTCCATTTCCAAAGCCATCTGGGTGCTTCTAATTCCTGAGATTTCTGGAAATTCTGAGCTGACACAAGGTTTTCTTCTTGGCTGTCATCGCTGCAGGCTCAGGATTCAGTTTTCTTAGTTCTACAAATAAGTTTCCATTTTTTCTTTTGCAATTATATTAGTGTTGTCTCTTGTCCTACACCCTTCGTCCTAGTACCCACCTGTATCACTTAAAAAAGAGAAAAAAACCTTTTTTCTCTTGTTCCAGTGAAATTTTTCTGAAAAACGAAGTTACATGATGTGTCTAGTCAGCAACAGTTTGCAACTTAAATGTTACTTAACAGTTTGTTGTAATTATATAGCCTTTTCCATCTTGGTAGATTTGTTAAGGAACATCTTAAGGTTTTGCACAGAGGCCTTAAAGTTGAGTAATGCAGCTGGTCTTCATTGAGAATATTTTTTATTTCCAGTTTCCTTCATTTACTATATGCTATTATAGCATTTTCAATATAATTATACACACTGCAGCAAAAACAAAAATTAATTACATTCTTCTGCTGCAGAATCCCATCCAGGATACCACATTACATTAGTAATCATATCTCCTTAGGCTTCTGTAGACTGTGACTCCCTTTCCTTATTATCAATGACTCTGAAAATTTTGAGGCGTACTGGGTTAACATTTTGCAGAATGTCCTTCAGTTTAGATTTGTCTGATGATTTTCTTACAACAGGATGACAGTATGGGTTTTTGGAGGAAGACCAAAGAGGTGAAGTGCCATTTTCATCATATACCAAGACTGCAGACTAGTAATATGCCATGTTAACCTTGATCACATAACTGAGATTGGCCAGATTTCTCCACTGCTAAGTTACTTTCCTCCTTCCCATATTCTCTTCTTTGGAAGCAGTCACTACGCACCGCCCATGCTAAAGAGTTGGGGAGTTCTGTTCCACCATCTTGATGGGAAATACCTGCATAAATTATATGAAATTCTCTCTATGTAAGATTTGTTTTTCTCCCCTATTTATTTATTCAATAGTTTATTTATCTCCGTATGGGCTCATACATTTTTAACTTATACTTTGGATTATAATCCAATACTACATTACTTATTTGGTCCAAATTGTCCAACCTTCAGCCACTGGGAGTCTTTCAGTGGACTCTAGTGTCCCTTTGACATGTCCCAATCCTTTTGTGTTTTGGGTACTTCTCTATTTCCTGGCACTACAAAGTCCTCCAGGCTTATATTGTATATTCCCTGTCCCAGTCCTAGAATGAGTCCTTATTCCTTTTTGTGGAGAGTAATACAAAAAACTGAGATCTGCATACTGGTGCACTCATCAGTACTGGGATGTCCTTGCTTCTAGACCTTCTCAATGAACATAGCTAGATGACGTGTGTGCATACTAACTAACCCATGTACACACACACACACAAACACACACACATTTCTATATGTAACCATCTGGGTCAATATTAAGCTTAACATGAGTTCATGCTGATGTCTCAGTCTAACCCAGTACCACACGCCTCATTCTATCCTTTCACCTTGCATGTCTGTAACCTTTCACTCCAACAGTGAGAAACTTGATGCTCACCATCCACCATTCAGTTACTTATTTGTTCAACCCCAGTACACATGTACTTATGGCAGTTTCAATATTGTAAATCCATACCAACTAGCACAATCTACTGTACAGTTCCTTTTGTTTTCAGTCTTACGGACCGGTCCTTTCCAAAGTTACTTACATTAGTATCACTTTTCCTCACCCTCTTCAGTGAGGTTATGACATGCATTTCTGGTACTGTTGGATTATTTTATCAGTTTGTAGTCCATGCAGGTCCCCCTTTTTTTTAAGATGTTATCCAAAATCTTAAAAAAATTGTAAACATTAAGCTTCACTCTTTGTGCTGTAAAGTTCTAAGGGTTTTGATGAATGCATAATGTTGTTTATCTACTACTGCATTACTGTACCAAGTAGTCTCATCTCTCTATAAAATCTCCTGTACTTCACATAATCAAAACTCTTCTCTCCCTAAATCCCCAGGAACCACCCATCTCTTTTCTGTTTCTGTAGTTTTGCCATTTCTAGAATGTCATATGAATGAATCATACAGTATGTGGCCTTTTCAGACTGGCTTCTTTCATTTAGCAATACACATTTAATACTCATACATGTTATTGCATGGATTAATAGCTTATTCCTCTTTATCAGTGAATAATATTCTATTAGTTTATTTATCCTTCACCCATTGAAAGGATATCTTGGTTGCTTCCAATCTTTGGTGATTATAGATAAAGCTGCTATAAATATTAATGTATGGGATTTTTGTGTCAACATAAGTTTTTAAATCAGTTGGGTAAATACCTGTCATTGTTAGATCACATGGTAAGACTATGTTTAGCCTTGGAAGAAACTGCCAAACTGTCTTCCAAAGTAGCTATATAATTTTGCATTCCCACCAATAATGAATTCTATTATTGTTCTATATCCTAGGTAACAACTGGTCAGATTTTTTCTTTTTTATTTCAGGCATTCTAATGGGTGTGTAGTGGTATTTTGTTCTTGTTTTAACTTGCATTTCTACTGTGATAAATGGTGTTGAGCATCTTTTCAAATGCTTACTTGCCACCTGTATATCTTCTTTGGTAAGGGATCTGTTCCGATCTTTTCTCTACTTTTTTGTCTTTAAGTTTTTATTTTGAAATAATTTCAAACTTACAGAAAAGTTGCAAGATTAGTATAGATAACTATTATATAACTTAACTCATTTTCTTAATACCTATATACTTAAATATTACCATATTTACCATAATTCCTTCATGTTTTTTTGTGTCTCTCTCTCTTCCCAAACATACACACATATATGTGTATCAGTAAAGATATCTACATCTAGGTAGATATCTATCTAATCTATCTAAAATTATTTGAGAGTAAATTGCAGATATGCCCAAATATCCCTTTTTTTTTAGTGCAGAGTTCCTAAAAATAAGTATACACTCTCATACAAAAACTCAATTATATGCGTGACAATCATAAATTAGATTACGTGGCAGTATCATGTCAGTGATAGAATTGCCACAATCTCTTCGTAGATCTCATGAGTCTTGACTATTTCTTTAGCCTTCATTAGCCTTTCTCTTCCCTTGTCTTTTACGACCTTGGAATTTTTGAAGAATAGAGGTCAGACATTTTGTCAAATGCTCCTTAGTTTGAGTTTGTTTGATATTTTCTTATTATTTCACAACACTTATATTTGGCAGAAATGCCCCAGATGCAATGCTGTATTTGTCTCCAATTATCTTATCAGGAGGTATAGGATGTTGGTTTACCCACTTACTGTTGATAAATTTGGTCACTTGATTAAGATGGTGCCTGTATTTCTCCGTCATATTTTTGCTTTTTCTGTTGTTTTTCTTTCCTTCCTGATGGTCCACATTTTCTCCTTTATTATTTTGTTTATGTTTCAAGATTCCCCTTAGATATTCTTTTACAGATCTGCTGGTGACAAATTCTCTTAGGTTTTTTTGATCTGGAAATGTCTTTACTTTCCCTGTATTCCTAAAAGATAATTTGGGCAAATATAAAATTTGGAGATGACATGTCTTTTCTTTAAGCACTGAAAAATATTTTGCCACTTTTTTCTAGCTTCTCTGCTTCCAATAAGAAGCCCACTGTCACTCAGATTGTTTTTCCCCCAATAGATAAGGTATCATTTCTCTCTCACTGCTTCCAATATATGCACATTGTCTTTCATTTGCAGAAGCGTGTGTCCTCATATGAATTTCTTTGGTTTTATCTTGTTTGAGAATCACTCATCTTTTTGAATCTGTTAGCTTGTGTCAAATTTGGAAAAATTTCAGCCATATTTAGTGTGAGGTAGGGTCAAAATTCATTCTTTTGCATATGGCTCTTGTTCCAGCACAATTTTTTGAATAGATAATCCTATCTCCCTTGGATGGTCTTGGCACCCTTATCAGTTGACCATAACTGTGTGGGCTTATGTCTGGACTCTCACTTCTCTTCCACTGATTTTTATGTCTATCTTCGTACCAGTGCAACACTGTCTTAATTGCCATTGCTTTTGTAGCACATGTTTAAAATGGAAAGTGTGAGTCTTCCTACTTTGTCTTTCTTTTCCAACATGGTTTTGGATATTCTGGGTCCCTTGCAATTCCACTTGAATTTTGGAATCATCGTGTCATTTATATACAGCAGTCAGCTTGAATTCTAATAGGGATTATATTCAATGTATAGATCAATTTAAGGAGTATTGCCATAGTAATAATGTTATATAATTCATGAATATGAGATATTTTTCCAGTCAATTAGATCTTCTTCAACATTGTTTTGTAGATTTAAGAGTACACATTTTTCACTTATTTTGTTTAATTTATTCTTAAATATTCTTTTAAGTGCCATTGTAAATGGAATTGCTTTCTTAATTTCATTTTTAGATTGTTCATTAAAGGAATATAGAAATACAACTGACATTTGCATATTAATCTTATATTTTTCCACCTTTCTGAACTTGTTTTTTAGTTCCACAGTTTTTTAGTGGATGTCTTAGGATTTTTTATGTACAAGATTATGTCATTTGCAAATAAATAGTTTTACTTCTTCCTTTCTAATCTGCTTGTTCATTCGTCCTTCCTTCCGTCCTTCCTTCTTTCCTTCCTTTAGTTTTTTTTTTTTCTTGCTGAACTGTTGTGGCTAGAACCTCTAGTACAATGTTGAATAGAAGTGGTGAGAACATACTTGATTGTCTCTTTCCTGATGTTAGAAGAAAATATCCAATCTTTCATCATTGAGCATGATATTAACTTGGAGACTTTCAGACTTTATCCGGTTGAGGAAGTTCCTTTTGATTCCTAGTTTGTAGAGTATTTTTAAATAATGAAAGGCTGTCAGATTTTGTAAAATGATTTTTCTGTGTCAATTGAGGATCTTTTTTTTGTTTTTTATTCTTTTTGTATAATGTATTACATTAATTGATTTGTGGGTATTAAACCAATCTTGAATTCCTAAGATAAATCCAATTTGGTCATGGTGTATAACTCTTTTTATATATTATTCTATTCACTTTTTGCTACTTTGTTGAGAATTTTGTGTCCATATTCAGAAGAAATGTTGGTCTGTGGCTTTCATATTTCTCAGAATGTGGTCTCATTTGGATACAGAACATTTGCACATGTAATGAGTTAAGATGATGTCATACTTGATTAGAATGGGTCCTAGTCCAGTGACTGGTGTCCTCACAGGAGAAAATAGACACAGACAGATAGATACACAGAGATAATTTCATGTGATGACAGAGGCACAGACTAGAGTGATAGTTCCTCAAGCCAAAGAACTCCATGGAATGACTACAAGCACTAGGAACTAGGAAAAGGCAGAACGGAATCTTTCCAGTGATGCCAGAGACAGCATGGTCCTGCTGAGATCTGCTTATTTTCTCAATGGAAGCATGGTAGAAAGGACAAAGGAGACCTGGGGGTTTGGTGGCATCTCTAGGTCATCTGCCACTGCATCGCCTGTCTAGTCACATATTCTCTGCAGTTTCTCAAGAGCACACTCTCCCCACCCCATCCACTGCTCCTCTGGCTAATTTCTACTTACCTGTGTCATTGCCTTAAAGATGCTTTCCCTTGCTTCAAGTTTAATTGGGTTCTGCTAATTGATCCCTTTTCCAATAAGCCTTATTACTTTTTTCTTCAAATCTTCTGCAATGCTTCGTAACTATATCCTTTACTCAATGGTCCCTAAGATCAAGGGCAATTTGTCTATTTTCTTTATCATTTTATAGTGCCTGGCACAGTGCCTGACTCAAAATAGGTACTAGACAAACATATTTTGAACAATGGTTGAGGAAATGGATCCTTATTTTTCTGCTCATTAGTTGGTCAATGTATTAGTTGTGTGATTCCAAGCATACTTCTTTAAGCCTGGCATTCTTGTGTCATAAAATGTGAATCATATTTCTAATTATGTATAAAATCACCGGGCAGAGAATAATAAATACCCAATGGTTTATTAGGATGTTAGCTTAATATAATACTCATGAAATTGTACTCTAGTAATCACAAAAATCTACTGTATGAATATGTACTTTAATTTATTTTTTTGCTGGGACCTGGATGTAAATAGATGCTCCTTGAGTGTACGAAAGTAGAGGAAAGCATCCTTCTCTAGGCATGTTACATGGAACTTTTCAACAACGTCCACATTTGAGAAGTCTTCCAATTAGGCAGTTAGTGTCACTTACTGGCCTGCATACTAGCCACACTGGCACCTTCAGGGCAAGCTTTTCTAAGCATGTTGTTCACCTTCCTTCACACCAAGCTTACGAAGATCTTTTGGGGTAGTCATGACACTATTATATTGCAATTTATGCTTTAAAGTAACCTAAACCAGGAATATTAACTCTACTGATACCAGTATATTCCTACACTCCAAAAGTCATGCATAGTTGAAGGTTTCCCCTCAGAATCATTGGAATACAGTCATAGGATTAACTGTAACTGGATGCCAAGATTAAGCTTTGGAAAAGTTGAAGTAAAGAAGTTCAGAAGTGGGGAGGAGGGGTAAGAAATGCTGTCTTAATATGTTTCAAGTCAGCTTCATTGAAAGGTCTTTCTCTCTGGCCCACAATTTCATTCAAAAACATTACAACAAACCTACATTGATAGCTTTTTATGTGCCAGCATGGAGCCTTGTGCTGATATAGAGCAGAAGTTTGGATGAAGATTGGCTTGGAGATGTGTTCTAGGTCATTCAACTTCCCACGATGGCTTGCCCCAAGATAAGTTCTAGGAAAGGCAAGCAAATGCATTACACTGCACCCAACCATCTGTCCCACTTACAAATCCCCCAAAATTTAAATCCCTAGAGGTTGTGTAAACCTGTATCGAGAAAGATGACTTAGTTCCAAAGTATAGTCTGAGACAAAATAGCCTATCCAGAGTGCTGAAAACCTCTTGGAGAGAGTGGAGCCCAGATGTGCTGAGGCCCCACCTTGACTCCCAGTCCTTTCTTCTAAGACCTACCTGCCCTTCAGGGCTACTCTCCAGTTCCATAGCCTCAGTCCAAGCATCCCTGGAAATGTGCACTGTGGTCTCTCTCATCCCTGAATTCCTGCAGTATTTGGCAATTTGCATTGCTGTAGATGTAGCATCTGCAACATGTTGGCTTCATTGGACTATGGCCCCACTGGCATCATAAGAGGGTTGAGAGGGGACCTGCTGTGTGAGATGTTGAAAAATGACTGACTGAATGAATAAATGATAACCAGGGCTGGGACTGTTTCTATATATTTATTTCACATCACCTGGCACAAAGTCATACTCTAAATATGTTGCTGATCATGAAGGTGATCATTGATGCTAGCTTGATCCATGCCCTAGAGAGATAATTTTACAAAGATTTGCAAGAAAGAAAGTTTCCTTCTCAAGAAACATAATGGAGTAAAACCTATTTTCTTTGAGAAGAAACTGTTCTGCTGTTTTATGTCAGATTCTTTTTTACTTTGTTTTAGAATGTGATTTGTCTAATATAGGGCTAAAAGGAACGAATTCTACCCATAGAATTAAAAAAAAAAAAAACCGTTTGGAAGACCAACAAAGAACTTATGAGGACTGAGTATGGACCACTTCCTGCTTGGACTTGATGGACCTGAGGCTTGAGGAGCACTCTAATTCTCTCTGTGTCTGTTTTGCACCTTCGTTTAATCAGAACCATGGCATTATCTGGGTCATGAGCGTGCTGCTTCTTTTTCCTTTAGCGATCCAAATGGTTACCATCAATAATGTAAATCAGGAAAGAAAAGGCCAGGTGCAGTGGCTCATGCCTGCAATCCCAGCATTTAGGGAGGCAGAGGCGGGAGGATAGTTTGAGCCCAGGAGTTCAAGGCCTGCCTGGGCAACATAGCAAGGTCCTGTTCTCCAACAACAACAAAAAGGCTGGGCGCGGTGGCTCATGCCTGCAATGGCAGCACTTTGGGAGGCCGAGGTGGGTGGATCACTTGAGATCGGGAGTTTGAGACTAGCCTGACCAACATGGAGAAACCTCGTCTCTATTAAAAATACAAAATTAGCCAGGCATGGTGGCACATGCCTGTAATCCCAGCTACTCAGGAGGCTGAGGCAGGAGAATCACTTGGACCCAGGAGGCGTAGGTTGCGGTGAACCAAGATTGTGCCATTGCGCTCCAGCCTGGGCAACAGGAGTGAAACTCTGTCTCAAAAAAAAAAAAAAAAAAAAGAAAAGAAAAACAAATAAATAAATGAGGGAAGAACTGATTCCCCTGTTTTCCTGTTGTTTTAGTCTTCAACCTTAGATGAAATTACAAACCAAATATACCAAAGCCCACAACTTTCTATATTAAATGCCACAGTTGGTTTTCAGAAATCTAACTGTGGACTTGAGATATCATGACTGCAATTTTTCCAGACATTTAAAAATGCAAATTACATATTATGTCAAAATATTTTTTAACATGGCTTTATTTCTTATTGTTTAGGATTAAATTTAGAGCTACTTCTTCTTCTTCCATCTTGGAGAATTCTCATAGTTAAAGAAATCAAGTAAAAATTAGTCCTCATAAGTAGATTAAAACAATGAAAGCCAGGCCACTGACTGAATGATTAAGTCTGTGCTGGACATGACAATGAATTTAACCCTCTTGCCAGCCTAGGAGAGCACACAGATGCAGGAAGAGGATTGAAAACCTACTTTTCAATTTTCTCTTCTTCCTCACCCCTGCTCTAATTTGCCTGACCTGTTTCCTTTCAAAACCTTGCTGTTATCAGTACCTTGTCCATTTTCACTCTGTTTCTCTTTGTAGACTAATTCCTTGCTGCTTCCTCATGGGAGATAAACTCATGCTCATGTAAGAAGAACATCTGTCTTGGGCTAGGAGGAGCACAGGAAGATGCCTTTATCTCAAGAGCTAGGAAATAAGGCAACTGTATTAAATTGTCAAGGGAGGACAGCAGACCAACAAGGATGAAGAAGCTTGAAAAATTCTTCATTGCAGGTAAGCAAATACTTTCTCCTTTTAGTCAAATAACACCGAACCCCACCAAGTGTGGGCAGAGGGGTGCAGGTGCTTGCCAATGCAAGTGCAACAGATTAAGAAAAACTTTCCAAGGCCGCAAGGAATGAAAAGAATTTATCTGAAATGCTGTTGTCAATGATCTTTTTTTTCCTCATAAAATCATGAATAAAGACAAATATACCAATTAGATTAAATTAGTCCAGCAGCAGGGACTTCTATATTTCACTTGTGCTTAGCAGCTGGTTCGCTGTTCGGCATCTGTCAAGAATAGTTACCACCAATTCCGAGAGGCGTCTCTAATTCGCTGTCTATTTTCACATAGGAACAAGAGGTTAGGTAACATAGCTAATTGGAGAGAGATAAAAACATATGTAAAATACCAAGCAGTGAATGTGATTATACTTCGGTTCAAATGTAGTTTCTCTTGCTCATAGGATAAAAATAGTGCCTAGTAAATCTCTCTCACTTGAGCTTAAGAGGGCTCATCCTTTGGCAGGCCTTGGTGTTTGTATTACCTTTTCCATTTTAAAAACATCCCGGTTGGGTTTAGCACATCTTAACAAAAGTGCATAATCTTGAACATTTTCCCTTCTGCCTCAAGCCTAAATGGGAGGAAATTTGGCAGTGTCAATGCTAGGAAATAGAAATCAGAAGCCTCGGGAGCCACCACAGTTTAGTCTCACTAGAAAACCTACCAGAAACCCCATCACGGCCTGAAATGAGATTTAAGGCCGGAGCTCAGAAAGTCTCCAAATATTGAAGTCCGTTTCAGAATGTCATTTGCAATGCTTAATTCACCACTCCCTGGCAGACGAGGACAATCTCACAGCCGCTTCTATGGAAAAGCAAGGGGCAGACAGGGTGTGTGGGGTGAGGGGAGAGTGGCAGGGAGACTGGCCCAGCAGGCAGCTGACTTAGACTCCTGGGCTAAGACAGGTGCCTTTCTCACCAGAGTGCTCCTTCCCAGAGGGATTAAGAACGATATGTACAAGAACTCGATGCAAAGAAAAGATGGAACACGTCATACACATCATTTACCAACACTGGCATGCTTGACAAAGCATTGAAAACAAGGGACAACCTTATTTCAGAGTAAAATCCATTATGCTACTTTTCAAAGCTTCTTATAGAATCCAGATTTCTAAGTTTACAGATTAGAAGACTTTTTATCTGGACAGGAAGAGGAAAGTGCACCATAACATGAAACAAGCTTCTGGGAAAAAGTTGCTCATTGATCAGAGTCCTCTCTGAGAAGAGATGACTAATGAGGGGCACTAGAATGAAGGTGTCAGCCATGGGACAAGGCAATGACCTCTCTTCAGGCTGCCCCTGCTTCACCACCAGTCTGTGCCCATGGGCACCCCTCTACCAGCCTCAGGCCTCTGAAGACCCCTGTGGCCTTCAGATTGGTCTTTCCTTCTAAACATCTCCAGCTGCCTCGAAGGAAACAGGTTTTTAAAGGTTTAGGCCTGTCCTTTAATCTCCTCTTGCAGGCTTTAAAACCCAGTACTAGAATTCAGTAAAAACCATTCTTTCTCTTTGATTTTGGAATAAAATGATTGAATGTTCTGCGTAGTGGAAGAAAGGAAACTCCTTCTAGCTTTCCCTCAGGAGCCTGTAGATCTTATGGTTTTTCTTTAACACAAAATTCTAACATGTCCTTGAAAGATGCTTAAAGAAGTTATATATATGTGCAGCCAAATTAGGCAGTGTATATCATAAACAGATGACCAGAATCTTCTGTAATTCTTTTCCTAACGTATCTTTACATGAAGAAGATATTTACCGGTTTGTGTGCTATTATGTGTAATTAACTCAGAAACTGTCACACTCTAGTCTTTTCTGTCCAATGTATGACAAACATCTTGCCCTTAACATTTCCTAAGACCATGCCTAGCGCAGTGAAGATGGGTGATGTCTAGGTTTCCTCCAGACCCACCTGCAGGGGTCAGGGCTCACTGCAGGACGCAGGAGTCACTCCAGGGCCGTTAGTCAGGAAATGATATAGTACACAGGAGTAGATACGCACACAGCTGGTGGAAGAGCTGAAAGCAGGAGGGAACAGGCTGGCCTCCAGAAACGGCCCTGAGTACACAGGTCCCACCCACAGGGAAGTTCCTACCCCTGAGGCTATGAAATGTGGCCTCTAAATCTCTCCTACAATTGCAAACCATCACAAAGCTATGTCCCCGCCGGCTGCCTCTTTCACTCAGGGAGCAAGAGAAGGGCCCCCGGGAGCAAGCTCCTGCCCAAAGCCTCCTGTTCCTATGATGTTGCTTGTGCACAGAACCAACTAACGAAGATGGGAGTCCAGCCTCCTCGCGTCCTCTCTTCCAAATCTTGAGCAAATCGTCATGAATTGGTTTAATAGAGTTGCTGCCTCAGCACCCATTTTTAGGCTTGACATAAGTTGTTTGAAATGGTCCTATCTGTCCATTTTGACCTAGCTAAACCTTCCCTGCCCTGTGTGGTTGTCTGCAATATTGTCTGCTGGCATCTTGTTCCACTGACCCAAACCCAACCCACCCTGCAGCTGCTGACCACAATAACAGCAGAGTCATTTAAAGAGGTTTCCTGCTTTGTGCATCTTTTTTTAAAACTAGCCAACTCAAAACCCCATGGGAAAGCCTAAGGAAATGCCCATGGGCCTTAATGAAGGCCTAGTCCCAGCTCCTGCCTCTCTTCCTCTCACTGGTTGAACTCCCTCCCCCTCCAGACTTCCTGTCACCACCCCCAGCCTCTCTGGGACTGGGAGTAATACATTTCTTCTGCTCCCTGCATTTTGGTTTTACTTCCTCTTGTGTTTTAACTGACTGACTCACATGAACTTAACTTTCCCCTTGTCAGTCTTGTCCTAGAGAGTGGTTCTGTCTTGGCTTCCGACCCTCTCAGGAGAGAGACCCCCAAGACCAAATTAAAAAGAAACAATAACAATGGAAATCATAACACATGCTAATTTAGTTGGCAGGGACTAATCAGCACCCTAGATCCTAGCTGCAAGAGACTCCAGGAAATAAGAGTGTTTAATTTTCAAGCTTCTCCAAGTGGAAGGTAGTGATACAAACTGGTTCACAGCGTCTAGTTCTTTTTCTGTTTGGGAAATGAAGAAGCTGAAAGGCCTGATGAGTGTGAGACGCTCTCAAGCAAACCTTGCAGCTGAGATGGGCAGGGAGTTGGTCCAAGTGAGTCAAGAACAGCAAAACCAAAGGAAAGTCCTTAGGACTCTTGACCCAGTACTCCTATGAGGACTAGAGGTTGGCCTCAGTGAAGCCCTGGGTCACTAGGGTATAGTGATGACCATCACTGTGATCCTACCAAACTTCACATTGTCACCCTGATGGGTCCCTGTGCTGGACTGGGACCCCATCCCACTCAGTGCCTTAGCAAATGTGGAACAGACAGGTTATAGATGATAGATGATAGATGGTAAGTGCTGCCTGGGGTTTAGTTGCTGTTTTATGGTCACAAAGACTGATTGAGTAAGAAGTAACCCAACTGCCTTGGGTGTGCTTTCTCAGGACCTCTTGAGATTATGTAACCTGGGCCACGGCCATTCCTATTGGCTCAGAATAAACCTCTAACATGTTTTGGCAGAATTTGGACATTTCTGTCATCACTGTTTTAAACAACACAGTAAATAGGAATAAAAACTAAATAAAATGGGCAAAGAGGATTTGTGTTAGAGGCTGGACCAGGCAGGGGTGATCTGGAGGGAAAATTACCATGCGAGAAGAGCAGCAGCCTGCAATTTGGAACCAGAACACCTGGGTCCCTTTCTCTGTGCGTCCAAAATAAGTCATTTAACCCCCTACCTTGTGCCCTCTTCACTCATATGCAAAATGAGAAGACAGGGATTGCTAAGATTCTTTCTATGGTAGAATGCTAAGAATTTTTTTTCACATGTCTTTAGTGTTTTCTTCCCTTTATTTATGTAAGTTCTATGTACTGATGAAAAATACTTTGCCTGAGAAAAAACATGCAGAGACATAGGAAACTTTTGGAGGAGATGGATGTGCTTATTACCTTGACTGTGGTGATGGTATTCGGGTGTCTGCAAATGTCCAAACTCATCAAATTGCATACATTAAATATGTGCAGTTTTTTTGCATATCAAATTCACTTCTATCAAAGCTGTTAAAAGTATTTTTGCCTCTCCATTTAGACAGCACTTAGACAACTGACAAGACTTCATGCTTCATCCTTTGTTGTTATAGGCATTGGAAAAGAAAGAATTAATATAAAATTCTAAATAACACATTAATTTTAGAACCTCTTCTCCCTACCTTTTGAGAATAGAAAAATAGGCCCTGGCAGTGTGAGCTGTGTGAGGTATGCAAAATGTATCAGGCTCAGGGAAACCTGAGTATGGGACTTCAGTCACGCTCCTCCTTCCTTGGAGGCAATTGCTTAAAGTCATTTTGTTTCTGACTGTCTGCTTCACCTAGTATCTTCATGTTCCTTGAATTTGTGATACAAAGAACAATGTACAGGCAATCAATAGCTTATGTTATTTTAATGCAAATTCTTGGTAAACAACTCAGGAACTGCCTCTTCTTTTCCTTTAAAAATCGACTAGTAACTGTTCCTAATCAGAGTGGAGATTCAGGGCAACTTGAATCTATGCTCCCGGATTGCAATCCTCAAGCTCGGCCCAAATAAACTCTCTACTTACATTCATTTCGCCTCTGCTTCTTCCTTTCGGGTCAGCATTTCTCATCTTAACTAACATGGTTTCACAACATTAGCTCTAGCTCTGGCACTTTTTCAACAGAAATTTTCAATCGTTTTGTTACATTTGGTTGAATCAGTGCTGTACCAGCACAGTTACTAATTCTTTTCGTTTGATTTGATGAAAGCTGTAATTCTTCAAAAAGAATAGAAACTTAAATCCTCTTGTGAGTTGTTAAAGAAAGTACTCATTTCAAAGATCTTGGCAAAAGCAACATTTTTTTTCTCACTCTGTGAGATCTAAAGTGTGGACACTTGTTCTATATTTAAGTGAAAAGAATATGACTTTTTTTTTTCCTGCAGAACAAGATTCTATGGAAGTCAGACCGTTTCAGACGTTAACACCAACGCTCTATCTTAATAATGTGGTTTATAAGTGATGAACTATTGTTGTGCTTCATCCAGGAAACACTTGTCAAACACAGGGGGATTATATACATGTTTTATGGAAGAGGATGCCACAGACAAATATAATGCTATCAAATGGAAGATGATGGCATTTTTAAAATGTGAGGTCCAGAAGGAAGAAAAAACTGAGGCAAATTAATACAAGTAGAGAGTTTATTTAGGCCATGTTTGGGGACTGCAACCCAGGAGACATAGATTCAAGTTGCCCTGAATGTATACTCTGATTAGCAACAATTATAAGTGGGTTCTTAAAAGGAAGGGGCAGTTCTTACATAGGTTCATTAAAATAACATTAGCTACTGATTGGTATACATTGTTCTTTGTATCACAAATTCCAGGAACATTAAGATAATAGGTGAAGGTCACTTTGTGCAACTTGTGATAACATTTTAGGTAATTTATCAGCTTGCCTGGAAACTACAGGGAAGGAAAAAGAGCAAAATGCCTTTAAACAATTGCTCTGGGGAATGGGGGGTGTTTGACTGCAGCTTCATGCTCATGGCTCTTTGGGCCTGATAAATTTTGCAGACCTCACATAGCTCAGACTGCCCAGAGCTACTTTTCTTTCTCAAATGTTTACATGTGTTGGGGCTCAGAAAGCAATATCCCAAACACAGGCTTTGCCATGCTAAGAGGCCTTAAGAGCTGCCTCAGAACCAAGGTCCCTCTGACCTTGGTAAACAACTCAGGAACTGCTGCTGCTTTTCCTTTAAAAATCAGCTTGGGGCCAGACACGGTGGCTCACGCCTGTAAGCCCAGCACTTTGGGAGACCAAGGAAGGCAGAACACGAGGTCAGGAGATCGAGACCATCCTGCCCAACATGGTGAAACCCTGTCTCTACTAAAAATACAAAAATTATCTGCGCGTGGTGGCATGCACCTGTAGTCCCAGCTTCTTGAGAGGCTGAGGCAGGAGAATCATTTGAACCTGGGAGGCGGAGGTTGCAGTGAGCCCAGATTGCACCAAGGCACTCCAGCCTAGCAACAGAGTGAGACTCTGTCTGAAAAAAAAAAAAAAAAAAAAATCAACTTGTAACTGCTCCTAATCAGAGTGGATATTCAGGGCAACTTGAATCTATGCTCCTGGGTTGCAATCCTCAAGCTCGGCCCAAATAAACTCTCTACTTTTATTAATTTCACCTCTGCTTCTTCCTTTCAGGTCAACACTTCTCATCTTAACTAACATGGTTTCACAATATTAGCTCAACAGAGTCCCTCCCTGTGCCCATGCTCCCACCCGCAAGCACAGGGAGGGACTCTAGGATTTTGTTATCTGACCAAGAAAGCTTCTTTCCAGGGGAAACCCAGTTGCCTTCAGTTCTCTGCCTGAAATCTCATTATCTATCTCAGAAAAGAAGACTGGGGAATGAAGCCACACCCGGGAGGACTTTTCACAAGATACCGCCTGCCTCTCAGATGCTTTCAAATTCCAAAGACAAATTTTACAAATTAATTTCTATCTCCAGGGTCCACTCATTGTCTCTAATGATTTGCTGCTCCTCAAAAGAATGTCTACACTCCCGATCGCCCCTTTTGCCATGAGAAAAGGTATATATGCTTCTCTTCCCCCACTGTGGTATTGGGTAATCATTCTCCTTCAGTTCTCCCATGCTATGTACATTAAAATGACATTTTGGATGCCTTTTCTCCTATTCTGTCTTTTATCAGTTGATTTTCACTGAACCTTCAGAGGGTGAAGAGGAAGCTTTTCCTTGACTTCTACACAGGCTGGAAATAAATAACCTCCGCTTAGGACACCCCTGGCAGGGGCTTTCCAAACCACTTCCAACCCTGGAGAGAAAGATAATGATGTGCCCAAACAAGTAAGTGACAGTAAGAAATTAGTGAGTGCGGCAGATGTTGGGGAAAGGCCTGCAGCCTATTGCTTCTGCTCTTTGGGATTTCAAGTCTCAACTGTGGTCATGGCAAAGCGCTGTAAAAGAGGTGGGTTGCCAGTGCTAAGGGAATGGCCAAACAAAATTACCCAAGGATATTGTAAGCAGTGGTGAATCCGTATAGGCCTTCAGCAACCTCAATTCTGTCCTCATCAGAAGAAAGAATTTGACTGAGGGGCATAAGCTCAAGTGAGAGACTGAGGTAAATTTTATAGCAGGAATGAACGTTTATTAAAAATCTTCAGAATAGGAACAAAAGGAAGTGTACACTTGGAGGCAGGTCGAATGGGCAACCTGAGTGTCAAGTGCGTGGTTGACCTTGACCTGGGGTCTTATACATCAGCATGCTTCTGGGGTTATGTCACTTCTCCCCCGATTCTTCCCTTGGGGTGGACTCTCACACGTGCAGTGGCCTGCCAGCACTTGGCAGTGGGCGCACGTGCAGTGTGTTTACTGGAATTGTGTATACGCTCAATTGAGGCATTTTCCCATTACCAGTCGAATGCTCCTAGAGGAAGGTCATAGACAACTTAGACTCTGCCATTTTGCCCCTTAGTGGTCATAGACCATTTAGACTCTGCCATTTGCTCAAGCCTACTCACCCAGATCCTGATATCCTATCCAGACGCCTATCACCAGATTCGGGTGTTTTCTCTCTGCTGGGAGACGGCCGTTCCCTGGCACCAGCTGCGACCAATTATTATTTTGGAGAAACAGCTTAATAACTGCCTGCCCATCACCTGATTGTTGCCTGACATTCCTGGTGGGACGGGGGCCTCTCCTGCTCTGCTCATGTCTACCTGGCTGCCTACTGTAACAATGCTACATCTAAGTGTCATCCAAAAGACTTCCAGGATGGCTAAATAGTAAAGAATGGAAAGCTGTATTGGTGATAGCAGTTTGGAAACTGAGAAGAGAAATGTCTGCAAAGCAGACTGGAGGTGTTCTCTTTTCAAAGACGGGAAGGACAGTTGGGTTTTATCCCTTACAGGGCCTGAATCAAACAATAGAGTCAAACATATTCAGCAGGTTTGGGGAAAAGCTGTACCAATTTCTGAGGAGACCCAAGCACATTCACAATGGGTAAACATATACGTAGCATACGTCCCATGCTCACTTTGGGGTGGGTGTTACCATTAAAGTGAGGTGGAATTTGGGTCTTTATTTCACAAGAGGTGAACTATAGCACACAAAGACAGTTTGTATACCGTCTCTATAAGCCGCTGGAACTGGCTTAGGGTCTACAGTTGCTTATCAAGGAAAGAGCATCTGTAAGGGCGATTCTCTAACAGAGTTCTAATGACCTCGGTTTAAATTATCCTTGTAGCATTAGGGACTTTAGCAAGGGTGTGGCCTTTCTTGTAGTCCCAGGAATTTAGAAATTTTCCATGCCAGCTGGGTCCTGAACCCTCATAGGTAACTTTTTCTTTCCTTCTCTTTCTTTTCTTTCTCCTTCCTTCCTTCCTTCTTTCCTTCCTTCCTTCCTTTCCTTCTTTCCTTCCTTCCTTCCTTCCTTCTTTCCTTCCTTCCTTCCTTCTTTCCTTCCTTCCTTCCTTTCTTTCTCTTTCTTAATTTCTTTCTTTCCCCTTCCTTCCTTCTTTTCTTTCATCTCTTTCTCTCTCTCTCTCTTTTTTGAATAAAGTTCAGGGATACATGTGCAGTTTTGTTATATGGGTAAACTCATGTCATGGGGATTTGTTATACAGACTGTTTCATCACCCGGGTATTAAGACTGGTACCCATTAGCTATTTTTCCTGATCTTCTCCCCCCTCCTGCCCTCCACACTCCAATAGGCCCCAGAGTGTGTTGTTGCCCTCTATGTGTCCATGTGTTCTTATCGTTTAGCTCCCACATATAAGTGAGAACATGTGGTATTTGCTTTTCTGTTCTTATGTTTGTTTGCTAAGGATAATGGCCTCCAGGTCCATCTATGTCACTGCAAAGGACATGATCTTCTTCTTTTTAATGACTGAATAGTATTCCATGGTGTACATGTACATTTTCTTTATCCAGTCTGCCATCGATGGGCATTTAGATTGATTCCATGCATTTGCTGTTGTGAATAGTGCTGCTATTGTGAATAGTGCTGCAATTAATATACATGTATGCACATGTTTTTATGATAGAAAGATTTGTATTTCTTTGGGTATATACCCAGTATGAGATTTCTGGGTTGAATGGTAGTTCTGTTTTTAGCTCTTTAAGGAATCACCACACCGTTTTTCACAATGGTTAAATTAATTTACACTTCCACCAACAATGTATAATCTTTTTCTCCAGAACCTTGCTAGCCTTGGCCTGTTATTGGTATATAGGAATGCTAGTGATTTTTGTATGTTGATTTTGTATCCTGAGACTTTGCTGAAGTTGTTTATGAGCTTAAGGGGCTTTTGGGCTGAGACAATGGTGTTTTCCAGATATATGATCATGTCATTTTTTGTTTTTTGACTTTTTAATTATAGCCATTCTGACTTGTGTGAGATGGTATCTCATTGTGGTTTTGATTTGCATTTCTCTAATGATAGTGATGTTGAGGTTTTTTTCATATGCTTGTTGGCTGCATATATGTCTTTTTTTTTTTTTGAAAAGTGTCTTCGTATCCTTTGCCTCTTTTTAATGAGGTTTTTTGTTGTTGTAAATTGGTTTATAGATGCCAGATACTAGACCTTTGTCACATGCAGAGTTTGCAAAAATTTTCTCCCATTCTGTAGGTTGTCTGTTTACACTGTTGATACTCTCTTTTGCTGTGCAGAAGCTCTTTAGCTTAATTAGCTCCCTTTTGTCAATTTTTGCTTTTGTTGCAATTGCTTTTGGCGTCGTCATCATGAAATCTTTGCCCATTCCTGTGTCTAGAATGGTATTGCCTAGGTTTTCTTTTAGGCTCTTTTTATAGTTTCAGGTTTTACATTTGAGTCTTTAATCCATCTTGAGTTGATTTTCGTATCTGGTAAAAGAAAGGGGTCCATTTTCAACCTTCTCCATATGGCTAGCCAGTTATCCCAGCATCATTTATTGAAAAGACAGTGTTTTCCCCATTGCTTGTTTTTGTCAGCTTTCAAAGATCAGATGGTTGCGGGTGTGCGTTCTTATTTTTGAGTTCTCTATTCTGTTCTATTGATCTGTGTGTCTGTTTTTGTACCATGCTGTTTTGGTTACTGTAACACTGTAGTATATTTTGAAGCCAACTAACATGATGTCTCCAGCTTTCTTCTTTTTACTTAGGATTGCTTTGGTTATGCAGGCTCTTTTTCAGTTCCATATGAATTTTAAAATACATTTTTCTTCTTTTGTGAAGAATGTCATTGATAGTTTGATAGGAATAACATTGAATCTGTAAATTGCTTTGGGCAGTATAGCCATTTTAACAATATTGATTCTTCCTGCCCATGAGCATGGTATGTTTTTCCATTTGTTTGTGTCATCTCTGATTTCTTTGAGCAGTGTTTGTAGTTCTCCTTGTAGAGACCTTTCACCTCCCTGGTGAAAGCTCTAATTCTAGTTATTTCTGGTCTTCTGCTAGCTTTGTGTATTTCTTGTTTTCTGCTAGCAGTATTCCTTGGTATTTTATTCCTAATTTGGCTCTTGGCCTGTTTTGTTTTGTTTTTGTTTTTGTTTTTTTGTGACAGAGTCTTGTTGTCTCGCCCAAGCTGGAGTGCAGTGGTTTGATCATGGCTCACTGCCACCTCTGCCTCCAGGTCTCAAGTGTTTCTCATACCTCAGCCTCCCAAGTAGCTGGGATTACAGGCATGCACCACCATGCCTGACTAATTTTTGTATTTTTAGTAGAGATGGGTTTTTGCCATGTTGGCCAGTCTGGTCTCAAACTCCTGGCCTCAAGTGATCTGCCTACCTCAGCCTCCCAAAGTGCTGGGATTACAGGCATGAGCCACCATGCCCAGCCTTGACCTGACTGTTATTGGTGTATAGGAATGTTAGTGATTTTTGTACATTGATTTTGTATCCTAAGACTTTGCTGAAGTTGTTTATGAGCTTAAGGGGCTTTTGGGCTGAGACTATGGAGTTTTTTAGATATGTAATCATGTCATCTGCTAACAGGAATAGTCTGACTTCTTCTGTTACTATTTGGTTGCCCTTTACTCCTTTCTCTTGCCTGATTGCTCTGACCAGGGCTTCCATTACTATGTTGAGTAGGAGTGTGGTGAGAAAGGGAATTCTTGTCTTGTGCTGGTTTTCAAGGGGAATGTTTCCAACTTTTGCCCATTCAATGTGATGTTAGCTGTAAGTTTGTCATAGATGGCTCTTATTATTTTGAGGTATGTTTATTCAATACCTAGTTTATTTAGAGTTTTTAACATGAGAGGATGTTGCATTTCATCAAATGCCTTTTCTGTGTCTGTTGAGATAATCATGTGTTTTTTGTCTTTAGTTTAGTTTGTGATGAGTCACACTTATTGATTTGTGTATGTTGAATCAACCTTGCATCCCAGGAAAAAAAAAGCCTACTTTATCTTGGTGGATAAGTTTGTTTGTTTTTGAGATGGAGTCTCGCTCTGTTGCCCAGGCTGGAGTGCAGTGGTGCGATCTTGGCTCACTGCAAGCTCCACCTCCCGGGTTCACGCCATTCTCCTGCCTCAGCCTCCTGAGTGGCTGGGACTACAGGCGCCCACCACCATGCCCGGGTAATTTTTTGTATTTTTAGCAGAGATGGGGTTTCACCGTGTTGGTCAGGAAGGTCTTGATCTCCTGACCTTGTGATCTGCCCACCTTGGCCTCCCAAAGTGCTGGGATTACAGGTGTGAGCCACTGCGCCCGGCCGGATAAGTTTTTTTGATGTGCTGCTGGATTCAGTTTGCCAATATTTTGTTGGGGATTTTTGCATCAATGTTCATCAAGGATATTGGCTGGAAGATTTCCTTTTTGGTGTGTCCCTGCAAGGTTTTGGTATCAGGATGATCCTGACCTTATAGAAGAAGTTAGGGAGGAGTCTCTTCTCCTCAATTTTTTGGAATAGTTTCAGTAGGAATGGTATCAACTCTTCTTTGCACATTTGGTAGAATATGGCTGTGAATCAATCTTGTCCTAGGATTTTTGGCTGATAGGCTATTTATTACTGATTCAGTTTCAGAGTTTGTTACTGGTCTGTTCAGGGATTCAATTTCTTCCTGGCTCAGTCATAGGAAGATATACATATACAGGAATTTATCTATGTTTTTCTATATTTTCTAGTTTATGTGCATAGAAGTGTTCACAATATTCCATGATGGTTATTTGTATTTCTGTGGGGTCAGTGGTAGTGCCACCTTTTTTGTTTCTAATTGTGTTTATGTGGATCGTCTCTCTTTTCTTCTTTATTAGACTAGCTAGTGGTCTATGTATTTTATTAATTTTTTCATAAAAACAATTCCTGGATTCATTGATCTTTTGAGTAGTTTTTTGTATGTCTCAATCTCCTTCAGTTCAGCTCTGATTTTGGTTATTTCTTGTCTTCTGCTAGCTTTGGGGTTGGTTTGCTTGTGGTTCTCTAGTTTTTTTAGTTGTGATGTTAGATTGTTAAATTGAGATCTTTCTAACTTTTTGATGTGGGCATTTAGTGCTATAAATTTCCCTCTTAACACTGCTTTACCTGTGTCCCAGAGATTCTGTTATGTTGTATCTTTGTTCTCATTAGTTTCAGAAAACTTCTTGATTTCTGCCTGAATTTCATTATTTACCCAAAAGTCATTCAGGAGCAGATTATTTAATTTCCATGTAAATGTATGGTTTTGAGCACATTTCTTAGTCTTGATTTCTAATTTGTGCTGTGGTTCAAGAGATTGTTATAATTTCAGTTCTTCTGCATTTGCTGAGGAGTGTTTTGTGTTCAGTTATGTGGTCAATTTTAGAGTATGTGCCACATGGTGGTGAGAAGCATGTATATTCTGTTGCTTTTGGGTGGAGAGTTCTGTAGATGTCTATCCAGTCCATTTGATCCTGTGCTGAGGTCAGGTTCTGAATATCTTTGTTATTTTTCTGTCTTGATGATCTGTCTAATACTGTCAGTGGGGTGTTGAAGTCTCCGACTGTTAATTGTATGGGAGTCTAAGTCTCATTGAAGGTCACTAAGAACTTGCTTTATCAATCTGGGTGATCCTGTGTTGGGTGTATATATATTTAGAATACTTAGGTCTTCTTATTAAATTGAACCCTTTACGATTATGTAATGTCCTTCTTTGCCTTTTTTGATCTTTGTTGGTTTAAAGTCTGTTTTGTCTGAAATTATGATTGCAACCCCTGCCTTTTTCTGTTTTCCATTTGCTTGGTAGATTTTCCTCCATCGCTTTATTTTAAGCCCATGGGTATCATTGCATGTGAGATGTGTCTCCTGAAAACAGCATATTAATGGATCTTGGTGTTTTATCCAGCTTTCCACTCTGTGCCTTTTAATTAGGGCATGTAACCTGTTTACATTCAAGGTTCACATTGATATATGTGGATTTGTTCCTGTCGTGATGTTAGCTGGTTATTTTGCAGACTTGTTTAGATGGTTGCTTTATAGTGTCACCTGTCTGTGTACTTAAGTGTGTTTTTGTAGTGTCTGATAACAGTCTTTCATATTTACTGCTTCCTTCAGGAGCTCCTGTAAGGTAGAGCTAGTGGTAACAAATTTCCTCAGCATTTGCTTGTCTGAAAAGGATCTTGTTTCTCTTCATTTATAAAGCTTAATTTGGTCAGATATGTAATTCTGGGATGGAATTTCTTTTCTTTCAGAATGTTGATATTGACCCCCAATCTCTTCTGGCTTGTGGGGTTTCTGCTGAGAGGTCCGCTGTTAGTCTGATGGGCTTCCCTTTGTAGGTGACCTGACCTTTCTCTCTAGCTGCCTTTTAAATTTTTCTTTCTTTTGACCTTGGAGAATCTGATGATTATGTGTCTTGGGGATGATTTTCTTGTGAAGTATTTTACTGGGGTTCTTGAAATTTCCTGAATTTGAAAGTTGGCTTCTCTAGCTAAGTTGGGGGAATTTCTCATAGATAATATCCTGAAATATGCTTTCCAAGTTGCCTACACTCTCTTCATCTCTTTCAGGGACACCAGTGAGTCATAGATTTGGTCTCTTCATATAATCCCATATTTCTCACAGGGTTTGTTCATTCTTTTTACTATATTCTTGTCTGTCCTATTTCAGAAAGTCAGTCTTTCAAGATCTGAGATTCTTTCCTCAGCTTGTTCTAATCTGTTATTAATACTTGTAGTTGCATTATGAAACAGAGTCTTGCTCTCTCTGCCAGGCTAGAGTGCAGTGGCACAATCTCAGCTCACTGCAACCTCTGCCTCCTGAGCTCAAGCAATTCTCCTGCCTCAGCCTCCCAAGTAGCTGGGATTACAGGCATGTGCCACCATGCCTGGCTAATTTTTGTATTTTTAGTAGAGACAGGGTTTCACCATGTTGGCCAGGTTGGTCTCGAACTCCTGACCTCACGTAATCTGCCCACCTCAGCCTCCCAAAGTGCTGGGATTACAGGCGTGAGCCACCATGCCCGGCCGTGAAGTTCTTATGGTGTGTTTTTCAGCTCTATAAGGGCAGTTACAGCCTTTTCTATATTGGTTATTTTGTCTGTCAGCTCCTGTATTGTTTTATTGTGATTTTTAACTTCCTTGGATTGGTTTTCGATGTACTCCTGCATTTCAGTTATCTTCATTTCTATCCATATCCTTAATTCTCTTTCTGTCATTTTAGCCATCTCCACCTGGTTCAGAACCCTTGCTGGAGAGGTGGTGTAATTGTTTAGAGGAAAGAAGACACTCTGGCTTTTTGAGTTATCAGAGTTCTTGCATTGGTTCTTATCTTTGTGGGCTGATGTTTCTTCCATCTTTGAAGCTGTTGACCTTTGGATGGAATTTTTTCCCTTTTATCCTATCTGGTGACCTTGAGGATTTGATTATGGTGTAAGGTGGATTCAGCCAACTGGCTTTGTTTCTGCAAGATTTTAGGGGGCCAATGCTGAGCTCCCAACTCTTGTACTGTGTGCCCTAACTCTGGGGGACTTGTATTGGGCCCTGACTTTGTTCTCTGGCTCCTCGAGTTTGTGAATCCACTGCACTAGGGGGCCGAGGTGCTTCTGGACCATTGGTCACTACTCTGGTGGGTGGTGTCAGCCAAAATGTTTATAGTGGGGAGACAGCTGGATCTGTCCTTGTTTGCATGTGCCAGCAGCAACAGCAGTGGCAACACGGCAGGGTGCACACTCATTAACTGCAGCAGGGTGCTAGCGTGGGCCGGGGTGCCTGCCTCCATGTGGGTGTTCACCACAGTGGTGGAAGAAGCACAGCTCCGGGGTGAGGGGCCCCTGATGGTGACTGCACATGTGGTCATGTTGGTAGTGGTACTAGCAGCAGGGTGGGGCGCTGGTAGGCACAGGTCTGTGTGTGTTCTCTGTGCACCACAGTCAGGAGTGGTCACTCAGGGAAGGGGAGGGTCCACTGTTCTCTATGTCTAGTTTTAGTCCCTCAGAAATGTTGACACAAGGGTAGGATGCTGGTGGGGGTGTGGCTGGCTGGCTGTATACCTGTCAAAGCTCCACTGTTGGTTTGGTGGGGGTAGAGTGAGCGGAGTGCACTCCCACCACAGCAGTGGCAGGGCAGGGTGCACACACACACACGCACGTGCTAGTGAGACAAGGAAAGCAAATGCATCTGCACACACACGTGTTGGCATAAGTAATTTAGGGACTGGCTGTGGGTCCATGGGAAGCTTCAGTGTGGGGAGGGGGCATGCAGGATAGTGTGTGGCCATAAGGGCTGCCCCGATGGAGCTCTCCACTGGATGGGCATAGTCTACCAGGGCGCAGGAGGCATGATGCGGGTCCGCAGGGTATCCAAGGCTGCTCTGCCAGTAGGTTGGGGCCCTGGGAGAGGCCAGCAGACCAAGGGATGCTCAGATTGGACAGGTCCCATATGATGGACAAGACTGCCCTGCAGAGATGAGGTCTGACAGTTCCCCTAAGGCTAATATCTCCTATGGGAGCAAGTGGAGGCGACAGGGATGGGCTTCCTTGGCCATGCTCCACTACAGATGCTCCAGCTCCAAACCCTCTGAGCTCTGTTTCAACAGGCATGCCACCCCTACCACTTCTCTAAGCAGCTCTCTGCCAACTGGAGTGTCTGTGCTGGTCAAAGGGTCTCTTCCTGCTAAGATTCCAGAGGCTCGTGGTGAGACAGGGTTGCTCAGGGTTGCTCCTTGCCAGTCCAACTTACCCATTCCCCTAGAGTTGTTGGGGGCCAGGGATGAGTCTGCAGGCTGCACAGGAAGCATTGTTGAGGAGGCCTCAGGAAACTTAAAATCATGGGGGAAAATAAAGGGGAAGCAGACACATCTTACATGGCCAGAGAAGAAGAAGACAGAGCAGAGGGAGGTGCTACACGTTTGTAAACAACCAGATCACAACAGAACTCGCTCACTATCAGGAGAACAGCAAGGGGAAAGTCCACCCCCATGATCTAATTACCTCCCACCAGGCTCCTCCTCCAACATGGGGGATTACAATTTGACATAAGATTTGGGCAATGACTCAAATCCAAACCATATCAGAAATCACGAAAGGTCTCCTGCTTTCTTTATTAAAACACCTCAGCAAGAGGGAGATGAAAGAATCTGAGGTGTTGCCAGTCCTGCCTTCTGTGTCAGTGTCAGTGGGACTTTCCTGGCTACACCTTTGCTTGGCATTGCCCGTTCACTCACCCATTCATTCATTCCTTTTGCAAATTGTTATGTGGTACGTCCCAATACACCATGTTTTAGGGGCTGACACTGCAAATAAGCAGTGTATAAAACAAAATCCTGGGGTCCCCATTTTAGTCACTGAAAGCCAGCTGATGAGCAGACAGGGAGGGAGGGATGAACAGGAGGAGCAGAGAGGATTGCGGGGGCTATGAGACTGCTTTATATGATACTACAGTGGCGGGTACCCGTGATGATGTACTTGTCCAAACACATAGAATGCACAACACCAAGAGTGAGCCTTAATGTAAGCCATGAACTCTGGGTGACAATGATCTGTCAATGCAGGTTCTTTCATTGGAGCCAATGTGCCACTGCAGTGCAGGATGTTGACTGGGGGAGGGCCATGTATGTGTAGGGGTAGTGGGCAGATGGGAACCTGTGGTACCTTTTGCTCAAATTTGCTGTGAACCTAAAACTGCTCTAAAAAATAAAGTATATGAAAAGAAAACATAAGAAGAAAGGCATAGGATAGTGATAGGAATTCTCCAGATAACTGAGTAGGGTGAGGTGCTGGACAGGGGATGTGTCTGGACCTGGACTACTTTCAAGATCTCTGTGCACACTTGGCTGCATGACTTTGCTGACACAGTTCAGCTGCACAACACGCCACCTACCCTTCTACAGAGGTCAGCAACCTGGGAGAGGACCCAGTCAGTTCTGGGGAGTGAAATGCCAAGACTGTTTGATGGGCATTCCAGGAGAGTGTATATTGTGTTGTTAACTAGAATGGAAACGATTTAGAGCTGCCAGGGGTCTTGGACAATAGCTTATCCAAACTCCTCATTTACAGAGATTTTATGGACCCTTCAACATCACTAAAACACTATTGGAGCCTCACAAGCTTATAAAATCCAAAGGACAACTGGGTAATTCTATATAGACATTGTTAAATTTTTGATCTAAAAGGAAAAAGCTGAGGTAAAATTAATAGAAGTAGAGGGCAGGGCACAGTGGTTCACAACTGTGATCTCAGCACTTTGGGAGGCTGAGGCAGGAGGATTGCCTGAGGTTAGGAGTTTGAAACCAGCCTGTACAACACGGTGAGACCCTGTCTCTACCAAATCAAAAAAAAATTAGCCAGGTGTGGTGGCGCATGCCTGTAGTTCCAGCTACTCAGGAGGCTGAGGTGGGAGGACTGCTTGAGTCCAGAAATTTGAGATAACAGTGAAGTGTGGGTCATTGTGTTTGGTGCAGCATTATTCGGTTAATTTCTAGCTACCTGTGGCAATAGTAAGTAGTTGCAAGAAATGAATACATAGCTCATGGGTTAAGTAGGATGTGATTGTTATCTCATTTTACGTCTCTCTTGGCCTGATAATTTAAAAGGATTCATATTCCTCGAATAAAAGTTATCTCCTTTTCTCAAGATCAATGGTCCCTACTTGCACCTATCAAACTGGCCATGCCCATGCCCATTCTGGGCCCATATGGAAGCTCTCTTTGCACCTTTTGGTTGACCTCTGAGGAGCAGCTTGGATACCTTCTTCCCCTTAACACTGTAGAGGCTCTCTGCAACAGAACTCCCTACATCTCACAGCACCAGCCTCCGTTCTCCTACCAAGTGTGATTTGTGTGTCTAGCCTTCTCTAGGACTTCTGCCAGATTGGGTGAGTCCAAAAAATACTGACCTTCTTAACATCTCTTTGTAAAAACAGCTTTCATTTCTCTGTTTTTATATTTCTTTTACTTTCCTCCTCTTCCTCCTCTTTCTTCTTTTCCTTTTTTTAGAGACAGGGTCTTGTTCTGTTTTCTAGGCTGGAGTGCAGTGGCATGGTCATAGCTCACTGCAGCCTCAAACTCCTGGGCTCAAACCATCCTCCTGCCCCAGCCTCCCAAGTAGCTGGATCTACAGGTGCTTGCCACCATACTCAGCTAAATTTAAAAAGAAGTCTTTTTTAGAGGTGGACTCTTGTATTGTTGCCCACACTGATCTCAAACTCCTGGCTTCAAATGATCCTCTTGCATCAGCCTCCCAAAGCTCTGGGATTACAGGTGTATGCCATCACACTGGGCCTGTTTTTCATATTTCAAAGACACAAAGCCACCCCAGTAGAAAGAAGGTAGGGATTTGAGTGAGATCTTTGTGATTGTTATGTGCTCCCCTGAACTAAATTCAAGCGTGCACAAGTCCATGTCTTCTCTGAAGAACTGAATCCATAATGGTAAATATTCTACACACAATACACCTTGTATGCAAGTAGGCATGCATGAGCACATCATCTTTAAATAATGAGATTCAGAAAATATGATTTAGTATAGAGTTTATCTGAGGGCAATACTTGAGGAGAGCCACCTGGAAACACTAACTCCACATGAATGGTGTTAGCATTCTAAAGTGGAGAAGTTAGTTTCACCTAGATAGAAATATTATTAGCAGGATTAGAACATTTTCCAGACAAGACTAGTGCATATACTGTAGCAATTGATTGCTTACAGATTGCTATATTCCAGGGAAGATTATTCCTCCATGAGGAGGAACAGTGATCCAAGAGGGTCTTACCTCTGGCACTGTTTGATCTTAATAAGTTATAGAAAAAAAAAGGAGTTGCTGCTCCCTGCTATGTGACTCAGTCTGCATAGCCACATTCCTCTCAAGGCTCAGAATAATTTAAAATTCCAACATCTTAAAGTTTAAATTATTTAATTTCACAAATGGTATATTTATGTCTTTTCACCCTTAGCCTCTCTTCAGGTACAGCTAGGAGAGCCACATTCAAAACCAAGAAGAGAAAGGAGTCATAGAGCCACAGCCAGAATGTTTAGGATCCAAGGTACGAGAACATGCCAAAATGCATCAAAATCTAGCAAGGTCAGGTGGTAGAACCTTACAAATACATAAATGCTCAATGCACACTTCAAACCTTTAGGTAATTGCTTAAGAATAGTTAATAATTGTGCTTGGTATTCCATCATTTGATTTCCCAAGTAGATTACAAATTCCTGGAGGGCGAGCTGACCTCCGGGAAGCCAGGCTCAGCAGTGGGTTCTCCCTTCAGTACACCCAATGCCAACCGAAAGTTTGGGCATGAAAGGAAGTGTGGACTCCCAACCCAGTTAAATGAAGATTTCTTTAATTTTGAGCTCAAATATAGACATATAGGAGTGGAGGATATGATATATAACACCTTTTAAGATTTGAATTTTTGTTACTAAAACACCAGGGGTTAGGTCCAGGTCTCTTTGCTCCCTGCATGGAAAGACAATCTCTGAGATGACAAATATTGTCCAGGAAGAAAGCACTATTTGAGTAGTGTTAGCCAAGAAGACAAGAGATAATTCTCAAACCTGTCCCGCCAGCTGACTAACACTGGGGTTTAATATAGTGCACAGGAATGTAACTACATGCAGAAAAACAGAAATTAGGGAGGCATGAGGAAACAATCATGAAGGATGAGGGGTCTGGTGTCTTAGAGCCTGGATGTGTTCATCTAGTGAGTTTCAGTTCCTTGCCCAAGAAAGGAACTCAGATAAGACAAATGTAAGTTTCAAGTTTTAAGATCAGAGGATCAATTTCTGTTTATTCAAAAGAACCATCCAAACCTGGTAAACATCATTTCCATGGGGAAACTGGGATGGTTTCATTTTGAGATCAGTAATATCGACACCAATACTCCTGAGAATGGTCCAAGGAGCATCTGAGTCAATGTGCCTGGGAAGTAATAAATGACATAGATTTTTGGGTCATGTGCTCACCTAATGCTGCAGAATGTGGAGTCAGGCCTTGGGAGACTCCCTGCTCACAAGGATACCAAGTGATTTTTAAGCAAATCCTATTCTGAAACACAAGTAGCTGCTGTCAGTCAAATGGGACATCCACCTGAAATGAGGATGGCCTTTTGATGTCGGGTGATGTGCCTTGGGGCTTGCAGGATTTGAGGAGACAGAGGAAGGGTGCAGCTTTCCAGTGTCTCAGGCTGAAGTTCAGAGGCCGAGATGTGAAAGGACACAGTGGAGGCCACTGTTTTTCCTATTTCTACGTTTAGGGTTCACCTGGTTTTAAGGAAGCTTCTAGCTGCTCTGGCTCTGACTTTGAAAGAACATTTGGTTGAAATGCAAATGCCCTAGCCCAGGCAGCCACCACAGCATTTCTATAAGAAAACAAGCTGTTCACAACTGTGTCAGACCTGTGAGCTCACATGATGTTTTTCCTCTGTGCCTTAAAAATAATTTCCAAAATTAGCTTTGGATCTTTAAACTGAGATGTAATGGTTATCTCACAATGAGAAAAGTGTTCATATTTCTCTTTGTAAAACCACTTCTGAGTCTGCCTTTTGATTCAGTGGGGATATCGCCACCTAGACCCATGCTCTGAAAACTCCCACGGTAATAGGCAGAAATGCTTCTTTTGGCTCACACAGGCAAATATAATCCCAGTAAACAAATAACTTTTAAAAAAGCATTCATATTATACTTTACACAGCACGGTGAATATATTTAATTTCAAAAGTGAAGACTTTACAAATATTTGTCAATACTGACAAATAACTTATGTCAGTATTGGGTTTGGGTGTGTTTGGCTGAGACATCCAGAATAAAAGAGCTGATAGGAAGTGGAATTTCTTTTTTTTTTTTTTTTCCACTTTAAAGAAGCCCAGGGTAAGCAGTAAGTTCCCCAGGGGCCCTTGCTCCCTTCCGCCAGCCACTCTGCCTGCCTTAGCTGGGGCTCTTAATCTTGTGCTCCAAGGTGGCTGCCAGGACTCCAGATGTCACATCCCTTTCCCAAGCAGCAGGATGGAGAGAGAAAGAGAGAAGGTCGTCCAGTCTCTCTTTGAAAAGACTTCCTGGAAGAATTGGTAAGATTTCTACTTACATCTCTGTTGGCCACATACCTGGACACAAGGCCACACCAGCCTCAAGTCAGCTGGGAAGTGAGGGCTCTGTCCAGAGGAGAACATCACAGCCAAGCCCCTCATTCATTTCTGACTCAGAACAGGAGAATGAATATTGGGTGACAAGTAACCTGGCATGCC
This sequence comes from Homo sapiens, assembly GCF_000001405.40. Lineage (NCBI taxonomy): Eukaryota > Metazoa > Chordata > Mammalia > Primates > Hominidae > Homo > Homo sapiens. The sequence continues at coordinate 26,455,976 of NC_000015.10, read as the reverse complement.
TCCCGTGTTATCACCCTGAGCTAGGACAATGAGAGACATGTGATTCTGAGATAGGAAGTTGGCAGGACTGTTTTACAAGACCTAGCTCAAAAAACAAACAAACCAAAAAAACAAAAAAAACCTGATAAAACAGGATGCAGTAAAGAAGCCAGCCAAAACCCACCAAAACCAAGATGGCCACAAAAGCAACCTCTGGTTGTCCTCACTGCTCATTATATGCTAATTATAATACGTTAACTTGCTCAAAGAAACTCCTACCAATGCCATGGCAATTTACAAATGCGATGGTAGCATCAAGAATTACCCTATATAGTCTGAAAGGGGGAGGAAACATTAGTTCCCATAACTGTCCTCCCATTCCCCCAAAACTCATGAATAATCCACCCCTTGTTTAGCATATAATCAAGAAATAACCATAGAAAAAGCCAACCAGCAGCACTCAGGGCTGCTCTGCCTATGGCATAGCCACCCTGTTATTCCTTTACTTTCTTAGTAAACTTGCTTTCTCTTCACTCTGTTGGCTGGCTGTCGAATTCCTGCCCGCACAAAGCCGAGAACCCACATGGCCTCCCAGGCTCAGTCTCAATTTTTGAGTTGGCCCTGTGGCACTTCATTGTCATGAGGAAAGTATTACTTTTATGAAGACCTGTGATCTTGGCCTCTGTGTTAGACTACTGCAGGTTTCAAGGATCAGATATGTCTTCAGGTAACCTCTAGTGAGCACTTCTTTTTAAATAAGAGGACACAGAAAATGAAGTGAAGGAAAGCCTCTAAACAGCCAAAATATTTATCATATTCATTTCCTGAGAAACTATTGAGTGCTTACCTTACACTAGGGACAGCATCAGTTATTTAGGCATGAGTCCAGTCATCTCAGAGAGTGCAGGGTTGAAAGGTATATGTGTGTATAGATGGCAGATATAATGCAATGGTGCACCCATTAGGCCAGAGGAAGTCTGTAGGAGGATCAGGAGGGACAGTTCCATTAGTCTTCACAGGGAGCATATATCCTTTCTTTGAGCTGCGGTGTACGGTGTACGGAGAGGTATTATATGAAGAGAGGCCATGCAACAGTTCTGCCAAAGTGGAGTAGGGCTCAGGTATGGTCTCATGAGTGGTGCGAGGTCAGAGATAACCAGGTCCATGCAGGCTTGTGTTGTTCCACAGTGTCAACCTTTTATTGATGCTATTTCAATCACAAAAGCCACGAACTTCATGGAGTTCCCAAGCAGACAGTTCTCGTTAGTACTTCCCATTCACTCGGTAGTCAGAGCTGCGGGGACACAGGTTCAAGCCACTCCATAAGTCAGTCAATATTGCAAACCATACATAATAGTATACTTAATCAATATATAAACGTTACAGATTAAACATTCCACAACAAACAAAGTCACATTTAGCGTTAAGAAAAGATAGGAAAAAGGGTTAACAAGGCAGTACAGGGAGAGTGACAAAAAGATTAAAAGAATCTCCCCGTCTGGCCTCAGCAATTCGTCTTGCAAGGAAGAGTCTTCGATGTGGGCAGATGTTGGGTGCTTATCACAAGTGACAGCAAGACGATGTCAATTAACGTGACCGTTTTGAACAGCTGAAGTCCTGCTCTTTTTTTGGCCAGAGTCCTCTGGGGAGGGCCAATAGTGGAAGAGTGTGTTTATATCCTTATCTGGTTGGATGCAATCTTTATTAGGCAAACTCTCCATTGCAGTGTGTCCTATGAACTGTAAGATGATGGAACCACTTATGTCAAGGGTGCTCTATATACATGGTTATCTAAAGCCTCTGCAGACACACATCATGTGGCTGGGGGAGCTGGTCTTTCACTGCCCTCAAGGCAGGCACTGGTGGGTCTGTGCCTGTCTCGCCACCTCATTCTCCCTCTGTCCTTGGTGCTGATCCTCTGGCTGCTTCTGCTGAGGGTGCTGGTTCTGGTTTTGCTGTGCCAGCTGCTTAGGGTATATAGCAGTGCTTGGTGGCCCAGGAGCAGAATTCTTCCCCAGTCTGCACTCCCCACTCTCAACGTCTCCTCCTCCTGTCCTCCCTTGAACCACTCCATGTGGGTTAGCCCCACCAGTCCACCAAAACTGGCCTTGTCGTGGCAAACAATGACCTCCATATTTCCCAACCCAGCAGCCTTCCTCCTACTTGATCTTTGGGGAGCGCCTGGCCCAGGTGACCCCCACAATCGCCTCTCCAATATCCACATTGGCGTGGTTCTTTCCCTCGTCGTCTTCGGGTCTCTGCTTGAATGTCACTCAACCTGAGCACCTCTGACTGCTTAGCTTCCTTTCTCGATGATTGCCCGTCCTGGCTGCTATCACAGGGCATATTGGATACCGTCTCTCTTTCCCACCACCACGAGAGCAGAGACTGTCTTTCCTTCTCACTGCTGTACCTCTGAACCCAGTGTGGTGCTCTGCACCCGGCACTCATCTGAGACACATTTACTGGCTGCATAGATTCTATGGGGTGGGGCTGAAGGGACTGGAGGTGTCATGCACCTCGAGTCTCTTAGATTTCTCTCTCCACCACAACCATGGCATAGTGGTTTTAAGTGTCAACTTTTCTTAGTGGCTGCCTATTGGGCAACTTAATAAGCGCATTCAATCAGATGAGCGCTGTCCCTCCCGAGGGTCAACATGGTCAGACACAGGTACCCTAGTTCCACTGGGGCAGCTGAGAGGACTTTAGAGCCCTGGTCATATTTAATGGTGGCAAATATGTGAGCTTCTAAGAGCATAGTACACATTTAGAGACAGAAAAATGAGTTTTGAAATTACGCTGTTCAATCCGAATCATTTTTTTTCTTTACTCAAACATAATCTGGAAATAAATGACTGAGACCAGTTGTTTTATGTGCAGCATATGCACTGGGTTAGATGGTAATTATACAAGTGGTCCTCTGAAAATGGTGTAAATAGAGGCAGCAATTTCACGGCAGGTACACAGCCTTAAAGAGGACTACCTTAACGGACTTCCCGATTTGTTTATATGCCTAAAATTAGATTGTAAATAATTTATGAAAAAATAAACTGCTTCATAGCTGAACCTAATATACATTTTACTGTCATCTCTAGATCTTATGATATTCCCAATTCTACCTAGCACTGCTACAGATCTTTACATGATATGAGTTGTTAGAAAAAAATATTTTCCTTAAGGGCCTAACATAAAACCAAGAGTGATGTTGGCAGTAAAGGACAAGGTAATGGGTATGTTAGTGTGAGTAATAACTTTTTGGAAAATAAAAATATCAACATTTTCAAAATAGAATTCAGTGACTTGTATACTTCATCTTTATCATTATTCTCTACCCTTATCCACTCTTAATGTTGTTCAGGGTCAATGACAATATTTTGAAAACTACATTAGGAAAAAAATCCAACTCTCTCAAGTAGATAATAAAAGCACTCAGCTGTGTTTAAAATACCATATGTAAAATATCTTTAAAGAGCAGTCATCGATAATGAAAAACTCTCCAGTTAATATAAAGTCAAAATTAGTTTTTTTCCATCTCAATTTAGAAAATTAATGAAATAGTATTACAATAAAATCTCTCATCTGCTTTTTCTCAGGTATAATGATAGATTTTTAAAAATTCCTCTGTTTATAAACATAATGAGAGCTGTTCACTAAACCAAAGTCGTCTTTACAAAAGGGGTATCCTGACTAAGTCAATTTGCAAAGCAGATGAATCTTTCTGTTGGTCCCAGATCCTTGTCCTATTTTTCACTTGAGATTAACTGGCAAGGAGTTGTTGTGACATCTTGAATTACTAAAGCCATCTTACCTGTCCAAATTGACAGCACATCTGCAGATGTTCCGTGGAGCATCATCACCAAAAATGCACACGAAACTGCCACTAGAAGCAAATGGAGGAAGCACACAGCAGGACTGGGTGTCTTTAATTGCCATTGCGGTGAGAGGTTTATTTGCTCTTTTAAACAATTAATTCTAACGTGTACTTGAGTCGCTAGTAACTAATATCTGTATAGGTAGAAATACTTTAAATAAATGGCAATGATCATACTGGAATGCACAAATAACAGGCTATTTGACCTGGAAGGAGAGTTTCATAGTCATTGAATCTAATATGCTTATTTGACTAACAGAACGTGTGTCCATCTGCACCACGTGAATGATTTGCGGCACAGCCGGGACCTGGCTCAGTTCTCTTGACACATACATCAACTCACAAGCACTGAAGTGGCAAGGCTGTTTGCAGAAGACATTTAAGGCAAAAATAGATTGCATCTTAAAAGTGAGTGAACTCCTTTATATGGGATAATCTAGGCACTGATATCTTTCCTTCCTAATCATAGCAAAATCTATCTTATTTATTATTTCAGCTAAAGGAAAGGAAAAATTGAGATTTGTGTTTTAAACCATACCTAGATAGATGATATCACTGCTGCTGTGAAAAATATTTTCAAGTCAGTGATTTGTTACTTAATTTTGGAAATTAGTAAAAACCCTGCAAGTCATTTTTTTTTTTAGCATTGTTCTTAGTTTTCCAATCTGCCCTTGAGGTCTTGCCTTTAATCATTAAGTATGTATGTTAGAGTTTGCTGCAAGAACATTGAAACTTCAAATTTGTTTAAATTAACAAATTCAAGGCCAACTAGTCAGTAGATAGAATGATGAGGTGAGAGTTGGTGGCCATCCCAAGCTCTGTGTTAACCAGGACCAAATCATTTAACCACTTCCTTGGCACTTCTATTTGTTAGGTGAGAATTAATTGATTCATTTATTCAGTTGTTTTGTACGCTGGAAGAAATGCTTCATTCATTTATTTCATTTATTCTTTAAGTGTCCAAGTGATGTATCAAATACTGGTGATTAAAAGAAATTGCACAAAATAAGACTTTTAAGCTGAGGAGCTCAGAGTTTACTAGAAGCGACACACATATAAAAAGATGAAACACAGACTAACACATACCCGGCAAGATAAGAACCAAGTACAGAGTGCTGGAACAGAGGGTACCGTGTCTGTTTAGGTGGCTGCAAAGATCTCCAGGACGTACCCAGGTGCAGAAGCCATGCAGGCATGAAGCCTGAGGGTTGCATCTATGGTAACAGCAGTACAGTGCTATCTCCAAGGAACAGGAGGACATTCTGAGAGAGGACAATGTAGAGTTTGGTGGTACAACGGCAGTGGATGACATGGGATAGAATAAGATGAGATAGAAATTTTGTGACAGGCCAGGTGCGGTGGCTCACGCCTGTAATCCCAGCACTTTGGGAGGCCAAGGCAGGCGGATCACAAGGTTAGGAGTTTGAGACCAGCCTAGCCAATATGGTGAAACCCTGTCTGTACTAAATGTACAAAAATTAGCTGGGTGTGGTGGTGGACACCTGTAGTCCCAGCTACTCGGGAGGCTGAGGCAGGAGAATTGCTTGAACCCGGGAGGCGGAGGTTGCAGTGAGCCAAGATCGCACCACTGCACTCCAGCCTGGGCAACAGAGCAAGACACTGTATCAAAAAAAAAAAAAAAAAAAAAAAAAGAAAGAAAGAAAGAAAAGAGAAGAAATGTGACAGAAAGTGACTAGCTTTGTTTGCCAAATTAAGGAAACAAAAGTTTAAGGAGAAAAATAAGTCTCTGGAAGATAATCTTCAATTGCTCTGTGATCTCAAGCTGGACATTTTTCCATAAATGCAAAGTATTCATAGTTTAGTACAAAGCATTATGTAGAATCTAGATAAAGCAAATCAATCAGAAAATATTTAATAAACCAATGTACAGTGATAATTGATGTTTGGAATATTGCACTTGGACACCAGAAGCATGCACCTTATGAATCAAAACCAGTGTAACCTTCAAGGGCTTAGGTATGAATTCATTGCTTTTGTAATTCTAATTCTTTGCTAACCAGTGTTTCCTTTTATATTCTTGATGATTGGCTAATATTCTTGTTAACCAGAAAATCAAACCAAGCTCACCATCCCAATTCTTAACAGATAGATAATAAGGAACTTACCATAACTAACTTTAAAAAGAATATTACAAAGGAAATTTCCAAGTTTGACTGAGGTTTTCTTGGTCTCTTTGTACATTCACTTGAAGGAGGAAAATATATAGAATAATCAATGACGATAGAAGCCAGGGGTATAAATAACAACAACTGATAAGGAATCTTTACAAACAAATCTCCAGGAGGCAGGCTTGTTGACATTTGCTGTCACTTATAATGAGCCACAGATTGCTATTGTTGACACATGGGAACAATACAAAAATGTTTGTTAGCACCAGTGGAATGTGGAGAATGACACCTAAATTATGCTGAATATGATTTTATTCTTAATGTCTGAGGCAAACTAAAAGTTAGAGGTAACTATCTGCTGCATCTGAAGAGATAAGAAAGCGACAGAGCTGAGGCTGGTCTCCAGACGGGGTTATGGTTATGGTTTTAACACACCACTCTCCGCTACAATAGGATCAGTGTGATGATTTCAGTTCATTGGAAGGTGAAGCAAGGAGGGCCCAGACAGCAAGGCATTCCATTCCAGTGAATAGGAGAGTCAGGGAACTTAAAAACGGGTTCTCAGAGTTGCTCAGCAAACCAACCTCTGTGACCTATGGCGAGAACCGTGCTATTAACATCTATACAAAGGAGCTGCTCAATCAGCATTTCCTGAGTGAATTAATAGTGATAGAATGAGTCAACGTAGAAGAAGGAAAGAGTAATCAAGAAGTTCCACATCTTTATTATAAAGTATAGAGCTACCAATATTCGGTTCTTTTTGCTAATGAGAATATAAATTAGTGGGTGAAAAAAATTTTAAAGTTCTTCAAATTATTTCAGGTTTCTTCTCTACCTGAAATTTTTCCACAAAGGAATAAAGAAAGCAAAATAATATTTACTGACCACCAAGCAATGTATGTGCATCGGGTAACTGGAGTCCCAGCAGGCCCACTGGGTAGATATGCCATCCTTATGAATAGATTAGGAATATCAGCCTCCTAGGACAATAAAAACAAGCTCATGATATCACATATTATAACCTCTAGTATGAAAATTCAAATCCTCTGGCCCGAAGCTATAGTCTTCATATTTTATGAAATGGGTACTGTCTGCCTCATAAAAGGAAGACTAATAATATAGCACAAGGTGTGAAGTCTACTAGGATTGGCAGAGAAGCATATATGTGACAACAAATTATTGAGTGATCTATGGCATAACACAATTCTGCATTGTGATTTCAAGTTAATCTATAATGATCACTTTTTTAAATTGGTAAAAATGTTCTACAAAAAAAAAAGTATTAGAACTTTTCCCAATTTTAATTCCTCACGAATAATTGTGTCTGTGTTGTTAAATGTTCAAGACTGTCTGCAACTTTTATAATTAATTCAAGGACAGTAGATTAATGTTGAGTTGCTTGGCAAATTCATGCCAAATTTTATAACGGCTTAAAAGCAAAAGTAGTTTATTTCTCACTCCCTTAAAAGTACAAAAATGGGGCCAGGGCACGGTGGCTCATGCCTGTAATCCCAGCACTTTGGGAGGCTGAGGCAGGTGGATCACGAGGTCCAGAGATCGAGACCATCCTGGCTAACACGGTGAAACCCTGTCTCTACTAAAAATACAAAAAATTAGCTGGGCTTGGTGGCGGGCACCTGTAGTCTCAGCTACTCGGGAGGCTGAAGCAGGAGAATGGCATGAACCTGGGAGGCGGAGGTTGCAGTGAGCCGAGATCGCGCCACTGCACTCCAGCCTGGGCAATGGAGCAAGACTCCATCTCAAAAAATAAATAAATAAAAATTTTTAAAAAGTACAAAAATGGATGCTTCTGTTTGGAGGACAGCTTCCCTTCAACCAGTGTTTGCAGTGATTCATACCTCTTTCACTGTGTGGCTCGGCCATAACACTTGTTTTTTATGCCTTGTGCTTACAGAGTTGCACCATTAGTAGCTTAATTCTTAATTTCTAATTGCATTGAGGCTTACAAATTTTTTTATGCTTTTTAGTAGACAGAGTAAAACTACAAAACCTTCCAAAAGCTATGCAGGCTCCATATTCACTGAATTATAAAAAGAAACTTGTTAAAGGCATAAAAGAAGAGCTATAATTGGAGACATATCACATATTTATGAATGAGAACAATCAATATTTAATGATGCCATTTTCCCAAAATTAATCTAAAATTCAAAACAATTCCATTCAGAACACCAAAGCCTTGTTTATTTTTGGTGAAAAATGAGAATATAAATAGATATTAGTCAGGGTTCTCCTGAGAAAGAGAACCGACAGGAGATCTGTTACAGGAATGTGCTCACTTGAGTATGGAGGGAACTTTTATTTATCAAAAGTTACTGTAGAAAATGTGAAAAGATAAATTAAAAATTGGAAAAGCTGCAATACAGCCATACCCTATGACTTGGCATTTTTCAGGGTACACAATCTTAGGAAACTGTTCATATCCATCCAGAGACACACACAAACCAGCTTATAGCAGCACAATTTATAATGCCAGAAAACAGACAAACAAAAAGCCTAAATAGCCAACTAGAGGTAGATTTTTAAGTTAAGTTGTGGTATACTCACAAAATGGAATATTTAGTATCAGAATATTTCATCCAGATCAGCAAACTTTTCCTGTAGATGGTCAGATAAGTATTTTTGGCTTTGCAGGCCATATGGTTACAACATTTCGGTGCTATCATTGTAACAGAGATGCTGTAGTCAATACTAAATTGCTATGTGGAAGAACAGAGAAAAAGAGAAGAAAAAAACACCAGGAATTTCTTCCACTGTCTCTGAGTTTTAGGGGTCTCTTTTTTCCCTTCCAGCCCAAACTGGAGGATTTCTTCTGCATCTCACTGTATCCACTCCATCATGCTCACTTCCAAGTTTCAGGCTGTGTGGAGTTAGGATAGGAACACAAAGTATCAAACTCACTTTTTCGAGTAGATTTCAGATTCTCTAGCTCTTCCCTGATGGGCTCACATCTACTTTTCAAAGTTTCCAGTAGCTGTCTTTGCATTCTCTCCAGATTTTTTTTGGCTGAGTTACTGAGAAATAAAGGGAAGCATGTCTCCCCCATCTCTAAAACCTGGAGGACATATTCTAATGTTCTATTTTTAAAAAGACAAAAAAAAAAAAGGAATGGAAGATTTAAAAATTCCTAAATATTGGATCTATTTATCAGTGTAAGCTCACTTGATAATTCACAATTTGAATGGGTTTTCTAAGCATATTAAACAATGAGAAGTAGGGATTTGGCAATTTTATGGTTGGTTAATTAGGTCACTGTTCCTGTGAATTGTGAAAGTTCTTCTGACATGTGGGCATTGTTTTGAGGCAAAAATGAACGATGCTTCTAGTAAAATGTGGGTCCTTTTCAATTCCCACATGAATGCGTAGATCTCTAGGATATACAAGACAAATATTCACAAGGCACAGTGGACCTGGGCACCTTCTATTTGATTTTTTAAAAATGTGTTCAAAGGGGTCTTATACAAAATCAGTATAATTAACTTTTTTTTCTCTTGCTCTCAATTTCCTGTTTTCTCAGATTCATTTCATTGTTGATGTTGTTAGTCAATGACCTGGAAAATAAAACAAAGTAAGTTAGGGAAATATATATATGAAGTTGCTGATTTTTATGGCTTGAATTTTATCCCTTCAAAATGCATATGTTGACATCCCAACACCCAGTACCTCAGAATGTGATCTTTTTGGAAACAGGGTCATTGCAACTATAGTTAGTTAAGATGAGGCCATGCTGGAGTAGGCTGGGCCCCTAATCCAACATGACTGGTGTTCTTTTAAGAAGAAATGATTTGGACACAGATACCACACAGGGGAGAACACCATATGAAGATAAAGGCAACAATGGGAATGATGCCTTTGCAAACCAAGTATGCCAAAGATCACCAGCAAACCACCAGAAATAGAAAGGCATGAAATAGAGTCCCTCTCATTGTTTTGAGAAGGCACCACCACCCTGTGGATGGCTTCATCTTGGGCATCTGGACTGTAAGACAATGTGGTTCTGTTGTTTGAGTCACCCAGTCTGTGGTACTTTGGTACAGCAGCCCCAGCAAATGAATACACTGAGAAATGTAACAATTGAAAAATAAATTTTTAGAAATACGTTTGTCCTTAAACAATTTAGAGGGTTTTTTTTTCTTTTTGGCCAGTGTAAAATATATTTTGGGAGTCATGCTAAATCCTATCAAAAATAATAACATAGTAAAGATAAAAAATTATAGGTTAACTATCTTAAAAGTAGCTGTGCAAAGAAGTCTTGAGAGTTATTAGCAGAAAAATTCTAAGGTCTCAGTGCTGCACTGTGCAAAATAAAATGAAATAAAAAGTTGGTTATACTCACACATATATCCAGCCTGTATAAAAGGAATGCTGGTAGGACATGACTGGCTCTGCTATTAATTGTACCCCAAGTAGAGACAAGACACAGCTGGAGCAGGAGAAGATTCAAATTACACAGGGAATACAACACAAGGGCTTACAAATATCAGGAGTTGATGTGGGTTTGTGTGTTGGATTGGGGGAAATTGTAACAATTTAGGAAAGTAAATGCCAGAAGCAGTGGCCCAGATGGATGAGATAAAGGCTTTATATAGTAACATTAAAAATGTTATTGCAAATGCTTCTGGCTTTTATTAATCTTACTCTATTAAAAGGTGCCATAAGGAAATCATAATAAAGACAAAATGCAGTCAACAATTATGGTATGCGGGGCTCAGGGAAACTTCTCCCATGGAGAAACATATATTAAGTTGGTAAGATTAGCATATACATCATTCAACATCATTGGGGGTCTAATCAAGGGATTATAACTAATTGACAACTATATATAGCAAGCTGAGAACCATTTATTCAATGAAACCTATGGAAACTCAGTAAGAACTGTGATCTGAGAGACCAAAACAGACTCCCCTTCATCAACCATGATGGACACTAAGGTTAAGGAAACAAAAGTTAATGATGGCTGGAGGGTTCAGCTTGGCTGGCATGGCATCTTCCTAAATTCCTATGGCTACAAGAAACCCACACTTTTGTTAAATTCTCTAAGAATGGGAGCTAGCAGGCAAATGATCAGATCCCTCTTAACCCTGATTTACAACCCAGGTCACTGCAGCTCTGAATGGACAGAGGACTGGCCTCACTGATGCTCTTTCCTGATAAGCGACTGCAGATCTTAAGCCAGTTTCAGCAGCTTCTAGAGACTGCATACAAACTGTCTTTGTGTCTATAGTTCACCCCTTTTGAAATAAAGACCCAAATTCCACCTCACTTTAATGCTAACACCCACCCCAAAGTGAGCATGGGACGTATGTTACATATATGTTTACCCATTGTGAATGTGCTTGGCTCCCCTCGGGAATAGGTACAGCTTTTCCCCAAACCTCCTGAAGACGTTTGTCTCTCTCTATTGTGTGATTCAGGACCTGTGAGGTAAAAAACCCAACCTGTCCTTCCCCCTCTTCAAAGAGAGAGCACCTGTGGTCCATGCTTGAGATGCAGTTTCCAAACTGATAACACTGTAAACCAGAAATAACATTCTAAGGCCTCTCAGTTATCTGAAAGGACCTCTCCTTTTGGCCGAGGGCATTGCAAAGTTAACCTGAAAGAGTAGTTCAGGCCATGATGGGAAGCAGGTTTGAACATATCTCATTATACCATCCTCCCTTTTGGAATTCAGGAAAATTCAACCAGCATTTACAATCTATTACCTTTGAAGCCTGCTACTTAAAGGCTTCATCTGCATGATAAAACCTTGTTCTCCACAACCCCTTATCATAATCCAGACATTTCTTTCTATGACCTGGAACCCTGCTTGCTTTGAGTTGTCCCATCCTTCCAGATCGAACCAATGTAAATCTTACAGGTATTTGATTGATGTCTCATGTCTCCCTAAAATGTATAAAACTAGGCTGTGCCTGACCACCTTGGGCACATGTTCTCAAGTTCTCCTGAGGTCATCCATTTTTTGGCTTAGAGTACATCTCTTCAAATATTTTACAGAGTTTGACTCTCCATAAACATCACCAATCAAGCTCTCCTTTCTACCATTTAGCCATCCTGATGGTCTTTTAGATGACAGAAATGTGGGAGGCTATGCCATATGGGGGAGGAATTAAACCCATTTCCCTCAACTCTGCCTCATGGAGCAACTGTGTATCCTCAGCACATGAGCAGCTGTTGTCATCTCCCCAGCTCCTGGAGGTGGAAGAGCTACTTTAGGTGGTCTTGCCAGCCCTTGAACATGAGAAATACCATTTTTCACAGCTCCATGCAAAGTAAGGCCCATATCACATGAACACCAGCAGCTGGGTGCTGCCTATTTGCCCACGTCCAACTCCTGCTCTGTAGGGAGGATTTGGGAGGGGCAGCTGGCAAAGAGTACAGCCCTTGCGTCCCTCACACATCTGTGTGGCAGGACAGCCACTTCAGCAGGCATGGCTGTTAGTCACACCTCCCATCTCTCCCAGCTTCCTAAGGCGGAAGCTCTGCTCCAGGCAGAGGTGGCAGCCAGTGGACATCAGCCCATCTCATCTCCTCTGACCAGGTTGTGAAAGACCCATAGTGGGTGACGTGGCAGCAGTTGGGTTACAGCACCAGTGCCTCTGCCACACACAGCTCCTGCCACACAGAGGATCTGTGTGAGGTAGATGGAAGAAAGCAAAATCCTTCCTCCACCTAGGTTCTGCACCACAGTGCAGAGATGCTGCCCCAGAGAGGCTAATTCTTTGCCCTTGCCAAGGAGCCTGGGTTCAATCGGATCAGACTTTGGAACAATTCATACTGCAGGACATTGTCAAAAACAATACATGAATCAGGCCAGGCACAGTGGCTCATGCCTATAATTCTAGCACTTTGGGAGGCCAAGGCGGGTGGATCACCTGAGGTCAGGAGTTCAAGACCATTCTGGATAACAAGGCAAAACCCCGTCGGTGTTAAAAATACAAAAATTACCTGAGTGTAAACCAGAAATAAAATTCTACGGCCCCTCATGGTGGCATGTGCCTATAGTCCCAGCTACTCAGGAGGCTATACTGGGATCACAGCTGGGATTGCACATGTGCCCCGACCACCTTGGGCACATGTATCAAGACCACCTTGCCATGTGCCCAACCACCTTGGTCACATGCGTCCAGTCATCTGAATGGACCCCTCTTCTTTGCCAAGGGCATTCCAAAGTTAACCTGAAAAAGTAGTTCAGGCTATGATGGGAAGAAGGAAGTAGGTAGGCTCATACTTATCAATTTCAAAATTTACTACAAAGATGCAGTAACAAAGATAGTGTGGCATTGGTATAAAGACAGATAGATACATCAAACAAATAGAATTCAGAGTCCAGAAATAAACCCTTACATTTATACTTATTTAATTTTCAACAAAGGAGCCAAGACAATTCGGTGTGGAAAGAATAGTCTTTTCAAGAAATGTTTTTGGGACAACTGGGTATCCTCATGTAGAACAATCAGTTGTCTTGTTATTGAGTTGCTGGGGTTTCTTTTACATATTGGATATTAGCCTTTTATCTATTACATATTGGGTTTTAGCCCTTTATCAGATGTCTGATGTCCTAATATATTCTCCTGTTCTGTAGGTTGTCACTTTGATTGTTTTCTTCACCGGGCAGAAGCTTTATAGTTCAACTTAATCCAATTTGTCTGATTTTCACTTTTGTTGTCTGTGCTTTTGGGGTCATAGCCAAAAAATAATTGCCCAAACCAATGTCATGGAGCTTTTCCCCTATGTTTTATTTCAGTGGTTTTACAGTTTTAGGTCTTAAATGTAAGTCTTTAACTCACTTTGAGTTTATTCTTGTTTGTGATGTGAGATAAAGGTCATATTTCATTATTCTGCTTGTGAATATCTAGTTTTCCCAACACCATTTATTAAAGAGACTGTCCCTTCCCCATCGTGTGTTCTTAGCACCTTTGTTGAAAATCAACTGACCATAAATGTGTGAGTTTATTTTTGGGCTTTCTATCTTAGTCCATTGGTTCATGTGTCTTTTTTCATGCCAGTACCATGCTGTTTTGATTACTTACAGCTTTGTAATGTGAAATTAAGTATTGTGATGCTTACAGCTTTGTTCTTGTTGCCCAAGATCGCTTTGGCTGTTCATGGTCCTTTGTAATCCCTACTTCATACCATATACCAAAATTAGCACAAAGTGGATCATAGGCCTAAATGTAAAAGCGAAGCTTTAAAATTTTTGGAAAAAATACAGGAATAAATCTTCAATATCTTGCTTTTAAAAATGATTTCCTAGATATAATCCCTAAACACAGCTAATAAAAGGGAATATAGATAAGTTGGACTTCTGAAATTATAGGTAAGTTCCAAAATTTTAAACTTTTTAAAAAAGTTTGTGCTGTAAAGGGCATAAAAGAAAAAGAAAACACACAAATCGGGGGAAAATGTATGCCAATCATATATCCATAAAGGGATTTTTATGAAAAATTTATATGAAAAATGCTTACAGTTCAATAAAGGAAAGACAAATAGCCCATATAACAAATGGGTAAGAAATTTGAATAGTTATTTCTCCAAAAAAATATGAATGGCTAACATGCAAATAAAAAGACATTCAATATCACATTATTAATTAGAGAAGGGAATGTCAAACCACAGTGAGATACCATTTTGCACTCACTAAGATAGGTAAAATAAAACAGACAATAATAAGTGCTGATGAGGATGTGGAGAAATTGAAGTTCTTATACATTGGGGATGGCAATGTAAAATGGTCCAGGAACCTTGGATGATTCCTTTTTTTTTTTTTTTGAGACGGAGTCTGGCTCTGTCACCCAGGCTGGAGTGCAGTGGTGCGATCTCAGTTCACTGCAAGCTCTGCCTCCTGGGTTCACACCATTCTCCTACCTCAGCCTCCTGAGTAGCTGGGACTACAGGTGCCCGCCACCATGCCCTGCTAATTTTTTGTATTTTTTTAGTAGAGATGGGGTTTCACCTTGTTAGCCAGGATTGTCTCGATCTCCTGACCTCGTGATCTGCCCGCCTCAGCCTCCCAAAGTGCTGGGATTACAGGCATGAGCCACCACGCCCGGTTGAGAATCCTTTTGTAGTTCTTGAAAATGTTGACTCTACAGGTACCATATAAACTGACAATTTCTATCCTCTAAATATCCACCCAAGAGAAACAAAAACAAATGTCAACACAAAAATCTAAACATGAATATTTGTAGCAGCATTATTCATAGTAGTCAAAAAGTGGTAACAAACCAAATGCCCATTAATTCTTGAATGGATGAACAAAATGTGATATATCTAGAATGGAATATTACTTGGCAATAAAAAAGGAAGTAAGTACTGATACCTGCTACAACTCAGATGAACCCTCAAA
Organism: Homo sapiens; assembly: GCF_000001405.40. NCBI lineage: Eukaryota > Metazoa > Chordata > Mammalia > Primates > Hominidae > Homo > Homo sapiens. Next base: position 26,440,633 of record NC_000015.10, on the reverse strand, counting down.
ATGTGCTAAGTAAAAGAAGCTAATTATAAGATACCACTTGTCTTATGATCTAATTTATATGCAATAGTTAGAACAGGCTAGTCCATAGAGGAAAATAAATATGTTGTTGCCAGTGACTGGTGGGGGGAGCCAAAGGCAGGGATGATGGGAGTTACTTTGCATTGTTTCTTTTGGGACATTTTGGAATGAACATGTTTGAAAATTACATTATGGAGATGATTGCAAAACTCTATCAATATACCAAAAACTATTGTACATTTTGAATGGGTGAACTTTATGGTATGTAAATTTATCTCAGTAAGGTTGCTTTAAAAAGTTATGGAGAAATGAAGATATTATCAGACAAACAAACACAGGGAATTCATTGCACCCAGGCATATTCTACAAGAAAGTTAAGGAGGTTTTTCAGGTGAAAGGTAGGTGATGTGGATTAGAAACTTGGGTCTACACAAAGATATAAAGAACATCAGAAGTGAAAGACAAAAACTGCACGATCTCAGTCATATGTGTAATCTAAAAATATTGATCTCATAGAGGCAGAGGGTAGGAAGGAGGTAACTAGAGGCTGGGAAGGGTATGGGGAAGGGTGGTTGGAGAGATGTTTGTCAAAGAATACATACAGTTAGACAGGAGGAATAAGTTCAAGAGCTCTGTTATACAGCAAGGTGACTATAGTAATAATGATATTGTTAAAAAATGCTAGGAGCGCACTGTGCTGGGTGGGAGGGGACACAGAAGATTAGGCTTGGCGTGGGGACACTGAGGAGAGAGATTAGCTCTGGCAGGGGATACTGCCAGTAAGTGTTCTTACCACGAAAAAACCAAAAATAACTGTGAGGCAGTACATTTGTTAATGAACTAGATTTAACCATTTCACAATGTATGTGTACTTTAAAACATCATGTTATACACAATAAATACATAAAATTCTATGTCATTCTAAAAAAATAAATAAATTTGGGGGAAAAGTGAAATAGAGGTGAAATAAAATATTTTTATAATTTTAAGTTTCCCTACAAGGTAACAGGCTGCCAACACATTAACTTTATATGCTTCTAACAACAATGCACTGTAAGTTTATTACATACACATAAGTGAAATATATGACAAGCACAAGTGGTAAGGATGGAGAATCAGGGAAGAGAAAAAGAGCTGTGCTAACCTTTTTATTTGCAATGCTTTATGAAAAATAGGGAAGAAAGAAAAAGAACAGAAGTGAGGTTAGTGGGTAATGAAAGAAAAACCTTAAGAGAGAAGCTGTCCACTTTACAAGTGGCTGATCATCTTCCTTAGAATCCAAACTGTCCATTCCAAATGATGGGAGCATGGCCCAGCAGTTAGGTAAAAATCAAATGCAATGTCCAGAGACCCAAATAAACAGAATGCAGGAGTGCTCAGTGTGTGATTGCTTTAATCTGCACGGCCTTCCTATCCTAGATGACTTGGTGCAAAGGAAGAAATAATCATGCACTGAGAAAAATTGGAAGGACATGTATTCCCAATTCCTGGTAAGGAGAGGGAGATGGGAAACCAAATAAGAATGTCTGAGAGTCCCAGCTAATAGATTTGCTGGAACGGAATTCTATTTTAACACTACTACTTGTACTGGTACTACTACTCTTGCTACGACTGCTGCTAACAGCTACTGTGGACTGAATGCTTGCTGCTTGCTGGGCTGTGTGCTTTGCATAGGCTGCCTCACTAAGTCCTTATAAGGATCCCAAGAGGAAGTTACTGTTAACCCATTTTACACACATGGAAGCCGAGGCTTTCAGAGTCTAATCGCACCACTCAGCTCATTTGCCTGTTGCCGTGACACTGGTCTCGCTGTGACACTGGTCTTGCCTTGACTGTCTCTTCCACAGTTTGTGCTCAAGTCACTATACTGGGTGGGAGGGGACACAGAAGATTAGGCTGGGCATGGGGGGCACTGAGGAGAGAGATTAGCTCCGGCAGGGGATACTGAAAAAGTACACAATACATCCTGTAGTGTTCAGGGAGGTGGCATTCTTGCTGGTACAGGGATGAGAAAAGCAAACAGTAATTAGTAGAAGGCACCAGCACAGCACAGAGGAAGTATTGTTGAAAAACGTCTAAGGCTGAATAAAGGCTCATGAGGGAAGCAGCAGGCAATAAGTTGGAAAATTGAGCTGGGGCTGGATGCGTGGGTGTGAGAGAGGCCTGCAAATGCCACATTAAAGGCTGTTGTTTTGTGCACTGTGAGTGCTAGGGTCTAAATGTTTGTGGCCGCCTTGAATTCATATATTGAAACCTAATCACCAATGTGATGGTGTCAGCAGATGGGGCCTTTGGGAGGATATAGTCATGAGGCTGGAGCCCCTGTGATGGGATTAGTGTCCTTATAATAGGGGCCCCAGAGAGCTCCCTCACTCCTTTCATCATGTGTGGACACAGACCCCTCTGTGAATCCACTGATGCTTCAGTGACCTCTGGGCAGTGAGGGAGAAGTGGACACTGAAAGGTCTCCTAAGGCCCAGGCCCAGGAGTCTTGAACATCTGCCATGTTTTGTTGGTCAAAGCAGGTCACACAGCCAGCCCAGCTGGAGTAAGGCAGAATCTACCTTTGGTAGAATGAGGGATAAACTCCCATTACCTGCATACCAGGACAAGGAAAATGTATGGCTATTACTCAGCATCCCCCCTCCCCCCAGATGTCCTATGTGTGACACATCCAGCCCTTGAGCCCACTTCAGAGTATGGAGGGCCATGGAAGAGCAGGGCCTTATCACTCACTCCAAGCAGAAAGCACCTTCACACCCGGTTCAGATCCAGCAAGGACCATGTCTCTGGGTCTAAGAGAGCCCTTACCCTAAGACTAGAAAGACGAAGGAGGCTTGCTCAGTTTCCACTGAAAATAAAAGAACCACACAAGACTAGTCCCCCTCCGTGGGCACAGACCAATCCCATTTTGGAACATACTGCAATCAGTCCCAGAAGGACGATGGGCATGTGAAAGACCCTGCCCAGGAAGCATCTTGTTCCTTACCTTGGCCTTCATGTGGGGGTATTTGAGGACATTCCCTATACTAGATTTAAGAGAAGATAGTATGCTAGTGAATCCATGCAGATGGAAGTTGCTTTCACCTGTCCCCAAATCTTCATGATTCCCCCATTGTCTTAGTCCATTTGGACTGCTATAACAAAATGCTATAAACTGGAGTAAGATAAATCAATGCAACTTATATTTGTGGAATTGATGCTGTGTGTATGCCTTTTGCTAGGTGCTAGGAATAATGACAACACTATGAACCTTAAAAAAGTTTCAGTCTAGTGGGTGAAATGGAGCTACACATAAAGGAGCCTGATTCAAGGCAAAATGGGATACATACTATAACATAGAGAGCAAAGAGATGACTTGTGAGAGATGCAGAGACATGTACCAAGCTACAGGGAATTAGAAGCTTTAGAGCCAATTGTCCAACTCACTCAAATATGTTAAAATTTTTACATCCTTTTTTTGTGTGTGTGCAAGTGCCATTCCATAAATGTGTTTTGCATTTGTCGTTAAGTCAATGATGTGCTGGACCTGCTGTGCCCACAGGCCTCTTCAGGAACTCCTTGCTCTTGGGTCACTTTGACCTTCGTCTGGACCCACAGTCCTCATCACAGTTGAGGGGGACGAGCCAGGAGCTGCTGTCTGGCAACAGCTCCCTGGAGGTCACCACCCCAGGTGGGGAGCAGCCTGCACAGGACTGGAGGAGCTAACCCATTCTGATGCCTCAGTGTGAGCCCTAAAAATAAGTGTCAGACACCCACACGCACACATGGGTCCACACATGCACAGAAAGTTCTAGAAGAACCCACGAGGCAGTGTGAGCCTGAGAAACAATTACAAAGAAGAGAACGGAGCAAAAGTCATGGGCAATGGCAGAAGAAGCAGAGCCAGTAAGGAACAAAGTTTTAGAACCCGTGTGATGAGATAAACCCGGAGCCCCACCACGTTAGGTTCGGTGCCAGGGAGGTCTGCCGGAGGGCTCCTCAGTGTGGCCCAGTTCCTCCATGGATTCCTGAAATGCTGTGGAGGCTGGAGCTGCCAACGTCCTCCATCAGGGCATCATCTCCTATTTTGACCATGTCTACAGCCCTTAATTATACCCCTTGCATCCATCGTCTGTCTTCTGCCCCTTGGACCCACTATTACACGGTTTCCAAACTCTCAGGCAATGGCTCAGTCTCACCCTGCTGGGCTCCTGTATACACTGTCCCCTGCCCACAGTATGAAGTCCAAGGGTTTAGTGGGGCCCAGCAGGCTCTCCTCCCTTTGCCTCAGGTCCAGTGCACAGCAAGCTCCCATGTACATGAGGAATTCTGATTCACCTTGCCATGTGGAGCCAAAGAGTCCATAAGCTTTCTTCATTAAAAATTTATTTTATTTTTAAGCAAATAAACACTCACATAGTTTAAAACCATAAAGTATTAAGGGATTTTGAAAACTCTGCTTCCCAGCTTTAGACTCAGACATCTATTTCTATCCTCCTCCCTCAATATCTTGTTTTTTCTTGTACAGCATTTTGCGCATGTATTTGTCAAGATGGAGATATACTATTTTCTTTCCTGTAATACAAACATTTACATACAATGCAGGCTGAACCCAACGTTCAGGTGCTTTCTGTTCACCCATGACTTCCACACTCCTCCCTCCGAAGAGTGACACATATTGAGTGGGCAAACACCTCTGGCAGAGTAGCCATCATCTTCCCAGAAAGATATTAAAAGAAAAAAAATACAAGTTATAATGGTTGACAAAATAAAATCAATAAATAACTTTGAGAGAAGGAAGGCTAAACACATCTCTCATTTCAAAGGAAAAAGCATTTGTAAAATGTAAGATTCATGCAAGTTTGTGATTTACATTTTTTTAATTCAGAAAAATAGTGCTAAAGAAAGTTATGGTTTAGAATGGACACAAAGGCCTTAATGGCAAAAAGGCCAAGAATAGAATTTGCTCATGTTTTCCAACAGGAAATAGTGCCTGGCACATAATAGGTGTTCAGTAAAAGTTTTGATGAAATCATACGTGTATGAATGAATGATGGGCCCAGGGGCTTTGAGTTGGGGGAGAGACAGACCTAACAGCAAAGAAATAATGAAATATCAGTGGCACCCAAAGAAAGATACTACTAAACCTGTTTTGTAATTCTGATGCAACACTTTCCTAATCTGTGTGAAAAATCATTTTAAAAGAATAATGAGATTTGAGTTGTGATTTAATTGACTCAAACCTACCTTAAAATTCACATAATAATATGTATGTGAGTTGAGAACAATCACTACTGTGTTAGTCTCTAGTTGCTGTAGAATCACATTCACAAAAGCATCAGAGAGGAAAATAATCTAGGATTATTATGTCTCTCATCAGCCTGAGACAAGCTGGCAAGTCAAACAAGGGCCCTATTCTTCGCTTAGAGGGATGAACCCATTCATGGCCCCCAAAATGCAAGAGAGAACATGCTGCCCTTAAAAATATAATAATGAGGCCGGGCGTGGTGGCTCACCACTGTAATCCCAGCACTTTGGGAGGCCGAGGCAGACAGATCACAAGGTCAGGAGATTGAGACCATCCTGGCCAACGTGGTAAAACCCCTTTTCTACTAAAAATACAAAAATTAGCTGGGTGTGGTGGTGTGCAGCTGTAGTCCCAGCTAATCGGGAGGCTGAGGCAGGAGAATCAGTTGAACCCGGAAGGCAGAGGTTGCAGTGAGCCAAGATCGTGCCACTGCACTCCAGCTTGGCGACAGAGCAAAATCATTATCATAATAATGAAAAAGTTGGGAATAATATGACACATAGGGACCTCTCTTAGAGGCCTGCCACTCCTTCCTCACAAGCATGGAAATACAGAAAAACCCTGTGTTCCTCCGAGGAAAATTCTAGGCCCCTAGCTATCCCTAACCTTTTACAAGGTTAAAAAGCAACCTTGTAAGCAGGAAGGTACTCGAAGCCTAAAACAATAGTCAAGGAAATTAAAGTCACGAGATGTTCGGTTCCTATAGAAACTAAAGAGAACATGTTAGCATATACCCCTGAGTTCTTTTTCAGAAACCCAGACCTCCACCAAAGGGGCAGATAAGGGGCAACCAAGGACTGAATTCCAACGACGGTTCTTTGTTCTTAATTTCTTCCTGAGGGCCCAGAGGAAGTCATGCTCACAAGCCAGACCTAACATTCTTCTTTGCCGACCCCAAGACTTTAGTCAAAGCTCCCCTCCTTAACCAATTGCAAATCAGAAAAACCTTGATTCTACCTATGACCTGTAAACCCCACTTTAAGATATCCCACCTTTTCAGTTTAAACCAATAGTGAACCTCCATGTATTGATTTATGATTTTGCCTGTAACTTCTGCTTTCCTGAATTTCCTGCCATTAAAACCCCTTACCTGGAAGCCACTGGGGAGTTTGGGTCTTAAGTGTGAGCTGCCCGATTCTCCTTGCTTGGTGCCCTATAATTAATGCCTCACTTTCCCTTGCTGCAAAACCCAATGTCAGTGTTTGGCTTTGCTGCCCGAGATAGGCAGACTCAAGTTCAGTTCGGTAACAGTAATGCAAGTGCTCTGGAGAATGACTGACACTGTGGACCAGGCCCAGGTCCTCCTTGGGTCTGTGCCAACACAGCTCCCTGGCTCACTCCAACTTCCCAGCTGGCCACAAGCAACTTAGTATTCAACCTCAGCAGGGCCAAGAAAAGTCTCCCGTTTATTTCCTTCCCCAGGTTTTTCCTAATCCCTGGAAAAGCGATGTGATAACCACCTCATTTAGGGGCCACTCCAGGGCACCATCTGGCTGCATGACCCACACACATGTAGCCAGTCTCATGGCCCAGCCTTCAATATTAGCAGATATGGGAAATCAAGAAAAAATACGCTTGTTACTTTCACTTGATCAAGGATCCGAAATACCTGAGTCCATTTCCACACGGCAGCCACACCTTCAAGCCCCACAGAGAACTGAAAACATGAGAGCGAGGGATCCCAGCTGCTCCAGTCTCCACAACAATTCAGGAATCCCATAGAGGACCTGGGTGGCACTGATCCCCTCACTGTCAGCTGCAGACCTCCCTGGCGCCCCGCCTGAGGCTTCGAGACTCTTGTCGGCTCCTGGTTCTGCCCTTTACTGCTCTGTGCACACTGGCTCTGCTTCTCCCACCATTGTCCGTGAGTTTCCCTCTGTTCTCTTTGTGGTTTTGCTTCTCAGGCTCACACTGCCTCCTGGGTTCTTCTAGAACTTTCTGTGCATATGCACACACCTGTGTGTGGGCATCTGGCACTTACTTTTAGGACTCACACTGAGGCATCTGAATGAGTCAGCTCCTCCAGTCCTGTGGAGGCTGACCCCCAACTGTGGTGGTGACCTGCAGGGAGCTGTTGCTGGACAGCAGTTCCTGGCTTAGTCCCAGTCTCTGCCCGCTTGACTGTGATGAGGACTGTGGGGTCCAGACATGAAAGTCAAAGTGACCTAAGTATAAGGGGTTCCCCAAGGGGTCTGTGGGCACAGCAGGTGCAGCACATCATTGACTCTATGCCAAATACAAAGTACGTTTATGAAATGGCACAAAAATGAAAAGATTTAACATAGTTGAGAAAAAGTCCAATATGATGTATATTAACATATTAACAGAATCAAATTGGACTATTGAGAATGAAGTCCCCTTTTACTGTGAACCTCCTCGGACAAGAACACTTGATTCTTGAAAAAATCAAGTGCACAGGAGCCTTCCTGTGTGTCTGCTTTGCTTGTTCATTCCTAGAATAACTTTCCCCATGCATGCTTTAGACTGTCTTTTAGAGAGAAAATAATTACATATCCTTAGCATTTAACTCATATGAATGACATGACATTTCCCAAAAGTGAAATGTGGCTCAGTATGTGGTATTTAGTCTATAGGGTATTGTACATCACGACTGGAAAATAACAAATGGTTTTCATCTTGAGGGTTGACTAACTCAATGTCCGTTTTTAGCATTGCCATAAGGTAGAGCTCTGTCGCTGAGAAATAAGTTGTTGTTACTAGGAGGGACGCACTGGTCTGCACAACTTTACTAATTTTTTTTTTTTTTTTTTGAGACAGTCTCACTCTGTCACCCAGGCTGGAGTGCAATGGTATGGTCCCAGCTCACTGCAACCTCTGCCTCCCGGGTTCAAGCAGTTCTCCCACCTCAGCCTCCCGAGTAGCTGGGACTACAGGCGTGTGCCACCATACCTGGCTGATTTTTGTATTTTTAGTAGAGACGGGGTTTCACTATGTTGGCCAGGCTGGTCTCGAACTCCTGACCTCGTGATCCGCCCGCCTAGGCCTCCCAAAGTGCTGGGATTACAAGCGTGAGCCACTGCGCCCTGCAATTTTACTAATTTTTTTAATTGAAAATTTTCTAGTGATAAGTGAAGATTCACATGCAGCTGTAAAAAGAATATAGAAAAACCCCTTGTACGCTGCTCATTTTCCCCAATGATAACATTTTGCAAAATTATAATTTCACAATCAGGATATTAACATTGATGTAATCCATCAATCTTATTCAGATTTCCCCAGTTTTACTGATACTCATTTGTGTGTGCATGTGTGTGTGTGTGTGTGTGTGTGTGTTTATTAGGCTGCACACAAATTTCTCACCTGTGTTGGTTTGTGTATCCACTGCAAGAGTACATACACCAAACAGTTCCCACACCACAAAGACCCCTTTTGTTGTTGCCCTCTTATAAATACACCCACTTCCTTCCCCCAACTCCCTGGCAACCACAATCTTTTCTTCATTTCTAAATGTGTTCATTTAAAAGAATGTTATATTATTGAAAAATACAGTATGTAACCTTTTGGGACTGGCCTTTCTTCACAAAGCATAATTCCCTGGAGATTCATCCAAGGTGTTGCATGTATCAATAGTTTGTTCCGTATTTCCAAGTAGGATTCCATGGCATTCTTATAGAACACCTTGTTTATCAATGTACTTATTGAAGATCATGTGGGCTGATTCTAGTTTTAGGTGACTACAGATAAAGTTACTTTCATCTACAGGTTTTGGTATGAATATGATTTTTATTTTTCTGGGATAAATGCCAAGGAGTGCAATGGCTGGCTCACATGGTAATTGCATGTTTAGTTTTATAAGAAACTGACAAACAATTTTTCAGATGAGTTGTATTATTTATACTCCCACCAGCAATATGTGTGTGTATCCTTGCCAGCATTTGGTAGCATTAGTGTTGTTTTCCTTTTAGCCATTCCTATATATATATGCAGTGATTTCTCATTGTGGTTTTAATTTTCATTTTGTTGATGCCCAATGAGTTAAACATCTTTTCATCTTATTTGCCTCTTGTATTATATACTCGTTGGTGAAAAATATCTTCATGACTTTTGCCCATTTTCTAATTAGATTGATTGAGTTTTAAGAGCTGAGTTTTAAGAGCTCTTTGTATGTTCTAGATACTAATCCTTTGTCAAACGTGGTTTGCAAATATTTTCTCTCAGTGTGCAGCTTGTCTTTACATCCTTTTCACATGGGGCTTGACAGAGCAAAATATTCCACTTAAATAAGGTCTGATTGATTGATTTTTCCTTTTGCAGATAGTGTTATTATGTCAAGTCTGAGAACTCAACCTAGTGACAGATCCCAAAGATCTTATGCTGTATTGTTTTCTAAAACTTTTATGGATTTACATTTTAAATTTAAGTCTGTGGTTCATTTGAGTGAATTTTTATATAAGATATGAAGTTTAGGTTGAGGTTCCTTTTTTGCCTGTGGGTGTCCCATTGATCCAGGACCATTGGTTGAAAGGCTATACTTCCTTCATTGAATTGCTTTTGTACCTTTGTCAAAAATCAACTAAGTATACATAGGTATTATGTGTCAATTATAAATAAAATAAAACTTTTAAAAAACCAATCAAGGCCAGGCACAGTGGGATGCATCTGTAATCTCAGCACTTTGGGAGACTGAGGCAGGAGGAATGCTTGAACCCAAGAGTTTGAGATCAGCCTGAGCAACACAGCAAGAATCTGAGAACCTGTCTCTACAAAAAATAAAATAAAAATAAAAAATAAAAATAGCCCGGCATGGTGGTGTGTGCCTGTAGTCTCAGCTACTCAGGAGGCTGAGGTTGGAGGATCACTTGAGCCCTGGAGTTCTAGGCTTCAGTGAGCTATGATTGCATCACTGCACTCCAGGCTGGGTGGCAGAGCAAGACTCCATCTCTTAAAAAAAATCAATGGAGCTTACTTTTGTGGGTCTATTACTGAGTTTGCTATCTTATTCCATTGCTCTATGTGTCTATCCACATCCACACTATCATGATCAGTGTAGCTTTATAGTGAGCTTTAACACAAGGTATAGTGATTCCTCTTGCTTTTTTCTCTTTGTTCAATATTGTTTTAGCTATTCTAGGTTCTGTTCTTTTCATATAAATATTAGAATAAGCTGGTCTATATCTATAAATAACTTTTATAGGACTTTCATAGGTATTTATGTGAAAACTATAGATAAATTTGGTGAGAATTGACCTCTTAATATGTTGAGTCTTTCAGTCCATGAACACAGTGTGTTTTTATATTTATTTAAGTCTTTGATTTCTTTCATTAGCATTTTACGATTTTCATCATACAGATCTATACATGCTTTGTTACATGCATATCTAAGTATATCATTTAATTTGAAGTGATGGTGAGTGGTATTGTGTTTTCAATTTTGGTTTCTGTATGTTCCTTGCTATTATATAGATATGTGATTAACTTTTGTGTGTTGATCTTGTGTCCTGTGATGTGCTTAAAACACTTAAAAGTACTAGGAGTTTTTGCTTTTTTTTGTATATTTCGGGAGATTTTCTATGTACACCACTACGCCATTTGAAATAAGGACAGTTTTATTTCTTCCTTTTCAATCTGTAAGCCTTCTATTTCTTTTTCTTGCCTTATTACACTGGTTAGATCTTCCAGCACTATGTTGAATAAAAGTGATGAGAGTAGATATCTTTGCCTTATTCCCAATCTAGGTGGAAAATATTCAGTCTTTCACCATTAAGTATGATATATACCATAGTTTTTTGTAGAGCTTCTTTGTCAAGTTGAGGTAATTCCTCTTTGTTGATTTACTGACCCCTGACATAAGTGATGCTTCTGGGGTGTTGGCATTTTCTTTTTCTTCTCCTGGGTAGTGTTACACAGTGCTAGACAAATTGTTCAACTTTGTACTAAGTCATCAATTGTGTGTTTATATTTTCTGAACTTTTATGTATGTGTGTCATATGCCAATATATGTTTTTCAATGGCTGATAATTTTCTGGAATCAAATTTAACAAAAAGTATGCAAAGAATTCTAAAAGCTACCAAAGAGAGGAAAAAAAAGGATAACCTACAAAGTTGCAAGAATTAGTCTCTCATGAAAAACAGTGAACCAAAGAAGATAATGAAAGACTATTTTTAAGATGCTGGAAGAAGGGTCCTTTTAAGCTAGAATTCTATATTCAGTAAAATTGCATTCAAATGTAAGAGCAAATGATGACTTTTAGATCATCAAGAATTCAGAACTTTTATCCTGATAGACTCTTTCTGTGAAAATGAGCAGAAATTATATTTCAGCAAGAAAAAATAACATGAGGAAGAAATAGAACAGAAACAAATGATGAACAATGACATTAGTGAAAGATATTTTTCCTTATATGAGTTGCTTTTCAGCTTTACAATATAAATCTGGCAATAAAATGCCAGATTATAACATGGGGGAGGCAGAGGTAGGGGCGTGATTTCATACTGAGACTATTACCTTGTTTAGAAGGATACGGACATTGATTAATTGTTGATTTTTTCAAATACATATGGTAATAAATTATAGGCAACACCAAGGAAAGAAAATGTATAAACTTCAATCAGTAGTTCAAAACTGAATAAGCAATTATGAAAAATAAAATAAGTAATGAATTGAAGTTTTTTATTTAATTCTAAAATGTACTCCTTTGTGCGTATTTCTGTTTCCTTTCAAAGGATCCAATTATACGAAACAGCACCTGCCACTGAAACTACTTCACAAGCAATAATTTTCATTATTTTGACTGCAATAGCAAAATTCTTACCTGTTATCTGATTTGCATTTACTGAAATAGCTCTCAAAAGATTCAAAATGAATTTCTGAATAATCTCACAAGTGAAAACTCTAAAATTAACAGGAACTCTACTAAAACCACTAAAGTTTCAATTTCAGAAATCAAAGAAGAGATCCTTTTGCATTTCGCTTTTTCCTGTGTTGGTGCTGAAGTCAAGGGAAAAAGACTGCAGAGTAAGCTGAACAGGAGCTATTCAAATTGTTTAATGGCAGTGATAATTAATGACCTACCCTGTTATCTTACAAAGCTGGTATGGAAAGCAAGTCATATTAATAGCCATATTAACAAAGTCTACATGAAAATTTAAATATATTATCATTTGCATAGAGGAATAAAAAATATGAGAACATAGGACCTCTTAAAGGAGCTATAATTTTTCTTTATAAATATTGAGAAAAATTGGGGAAACTGCAATATCCAACCACAACTGGTATGTTAAATGCGTTTATACAAGAGAGCCACTTAATGGGATTATTTGGATATATACATTTTTAACAGCAAAATGTTTTTATAATATAATAAGTGAAAATAATCACTTTACCAAGCAAGATATATATAGAAGAATTCCATTTTTAAAAATATGTATTCTACAAAAAATTTGCCAGGCGTGGTGGCGGGCTTCTGTAGTCCCAGCTACTTGGGAGGCTGAGGCAGGAGAATGGCCTGAACCCGGGAGGCGGAGCTTGCAGTGAGCTGAGATTGCGCCACTGCACTCCAGCCTGGGTGACAGAGACTCTGTCTAAAAAAAAAAAAAAAAAAGTATTTTAATACAAAAGTATATCTGTATCTATATCCATATCTATATGTACAGAGGGGCAGGAAGGCCTGAAGCATGAACATAAATGTATGCATATGGTGCTACATTTTTGGTGTTGCATTCTTTCGTTTAGTTTTTGATTTTCCTAATTTTCTAATCCAATTAACACATATTGCCTGTGTACCAAAAAACAAAGGAAGGAGGGTATCCACTAAAAGAATAGTGAGAAAGACCGTGGCAACTATTTCTATCCAATTTCTCTTCAAAACCCAAAACAAACAAAAATCAACTAACAACACATAATTATACACATCAATAAGAAAAAGAAATGCAACTAAAAAAAATTCCACAAAAATCGTAACTAGAAGTTTGGGAGCACTAAAAACTCTAAAATACTTGTAAGTAAAACTTAAACACCAAATTCAGCAGAGCTGTAGCTGAAGCTTCCGCTTGCAGGCATTTGGGGCAAACAGGAGGAATCTGATTAAACCTGTGAAGGAGAGAGGAAACAAAAGAGAGCCTAAGATGGAACAGAAATCACAGCCTGAAGTACAGCCCTAGATCACAGAATTGATTTCAGGGAGGAGATTTAAAATTCCATGGGGTCTGAGATAATAGCCCCAAACATGCATGCATTGCTTCTGGAGGTAGGAAGTGGATAAAAATGTTGAAAAGGAAGATGAGCCCTGTGGGTATGGGGTGGTAAAGAAGAACAGTTTAAGAATTTAACAGACAAAAGAAAAAATAGAAAGGACTCATAGTCCATTCCTTCCTATGCAGGCAAGAGTTAATTCAACAGACCTAGGTTGTTCAAACCTTGCACATTCCCACCGCACCACCCCTCTCCAAAAAAAAAAAAAAAAAAAAAAACCCTGTTTTAAGAACTGGCCCTTGGCTACATCCTTGGAGATGAGCTCTGAGCCCTAGGAATATTCGGCCTGATAAGAGTGATTTGGTATGCCTGAGGCCTTGTGCCACACTGTGTAAGTTTGATCAGGTATTTTATGCTAATAACTGTGGCTTATGGCGATTGCCTGTTTTTGCTCTGGGGGGCTGGAGTCTGGGTAGCAGAGGTATGTAATGCAGTTGCTGCATGGCTACATAACTAACCTCCAATAACAACCCTGGACTCAAGGCTCAGGTGAAGTTCCCTGATCGGTACACTTTGTACCTGTTGTCAGCCATCATTGCTGGAATAGTTAGCTGCATCAGCATGCCTTTACTGGAAAGGACACCTGGAAGCTTGCACTCGATTTCTCTTGGACTTTTCCCCATGCATCGTTTCCCTGTGTTAATTTTAAACTACAATTTTGCTTTATTAAACTGTAACAAACATATAGCTAGACTAAGAAGAGAGAAGACAATAAATAAATGAAATCAGAAATAAAAGAGAAGACAATATAACTGATACCACAGAAATACAAAGGATCATAAGAAATGACTAAGAAGAATTACATGCCAAAAAACAGATAACATAGAAGAAAGAAATACATTTCTGAATGCATACAACTACCAAGACTGTACCATAAAGAAACAGAAAATCTGAACAGAACAATAATGAGTAAAAAGATTGAATCAATAATAAAAAGTCTCCAATAAAAAAAAAAAGCCCCAGATCTGATGAGTTTACTGCTGAATTCTACCAAACATTTAAGGAAGAACTAATACCAATCTTTCTCAAACTCTTCCAAAAAATCAAAGACGGAATAATTTCAAACTCTTTTTACAAGACCAGCATTACCCTGATATCAAAGCCAGAAAAGAGCATTACAAAAAAAGAAAATTATAGGCCAATATCCTTGATGAACGTAGATGCAAAAATCCTCAACAACAAAATGCCAGCAAACTGAATTCAACAACACATTAAAAAGATCATTCACCGTGATCAAGTGGGTCCATCCTAAGGATGCAAGGATGGTTCAACATATGCAAATCAATAAGCATAATACAACATATTAATAAATCCAGGACAAAAATCATATGGTCATCTCATTAGATACAGAAGAAGCATTTGACAAAAATCAACATCCTTTCAGGATAAGTACTCTCAAATTAGGAGCAGAAGGAATGTGCTTCAACATAATAAAGGCCATATATGATAAGCCAACAGCTGACATTATATTCAATGGTAAAAAGTTGGTACCCTTTAATCTAAGATACAGAACAAGAGGATGCCTACTTTCATGACTTTTATTCAACATAGTATTAGAAGTTTTTGGCAGAGCAATTAGGCGAGAAAAAGAAATAAAAGGCATCCAAATAGGAAAGGAAGAAGTGAAACTGTCACTGCTGACACATAATCTTTTATTTAGAGACCCCTGAAGATTCCCCCAAAAAACTGTTAGAACTAATAAAAAAATACAATAAAGTTGCAGAATATAAATTCAACACACAAAAATCAGTAATGTTTCTATATAATAAAGACAAACGATCTGAAAAGATAATAAAGAGAACAATCCCATTTATAACAGCTGCAAATAAAATAAAATAAAATAAAATAGTTATGAATAAATTTAACCAAGAAGGTGAAAGACCAGTACAGTGAAAAGTATAAAACAGTTATTGAAGAAATTGAAGAAGACACAAATAAATGGAAAGTACTCCATGTTCATGTATTGGAAGAATTAATATTGGTAAATTGTCTGTAGTATCCAAAGTAATCTACAGTTAATGCAATCTCCATGAAAATTCCAATATAACTTTTCATAGAAATAAAAAAAATCTTATAATCCATATGGAACAGCAAAAACCCCTGACTAGCCAAGACAATCTTGAGCAAAAAGAACAAAGCTGGAGGTATCATACTACCTTATTTAAAATTGTACTACAGAGTGATTATAATTGAAAGAACATGATACTGGCATAAAAATAGACACATCAGGCAATGGAACAGAATAGAGAGCCCAGAAATGGACCCACACTTGTGAAGTCAATTGATTTTCAACAAAGGTGCCAAGAATGTATGATAGAAAAAGAATAGTCTGTTCAATAAATGGTATTGGGGAAAACTGCATATCTATATGCAGAAGAATGAAATTGGATCCTTATCTCATACCCTATATTTGAATAACTCAAAATGGATTAAAGACTTAACATAAATACCTGAAACTATAAAACTACTAGAAGAAAACATAAGGAAAAAGCTATATAACATTGGTCTGGGCAATGAGTTTTTAGATTTGACCTCAAAAGTACAGGTAGCAAAAGCAAAAAATAGACAAATGAAGTTACATCAAAACAAAAAGATTCTGTACAATAACAACAAAAAAAACAGAATGAAGAGATCATCTATGAATTAGAAGAAAATATTTGCAAGCCATACATCTAATAAAAAATCCAAACATATAAACAATGCAAACAACTGTATAGAAATAAAGAAAACCCAATTTAAAAAGTGGGCAAGTGATCTGAAAAGACGTTTCTCAAAAGAAGACATCTAAATGGCCAACAGATCCATGAAGAATGCTCAACATCATTAATAATTAAGGGAATGCAAATTAAAACCACAATGAGATATTTCCTTACACTTGTCGGAATGGCTATTATCCAAAAGACAAAAGATAAGGAATGTTGACAACCATGTGGGGAAGAGGGAGCTCTTGGACACTGTTGATAGAATATAAATTAGTATAGCCATTACTGAAAACAGTAGGGAGTTTCCTCAAAAAAATAAAACTAGAACTCCTATATGATCCAGCAATCCCACTTTTGGGTGTTTAACCAGAAGATTTGAAATCAGTATGTTGAAGGTATTTCTGCATTCCCATTTTCATTGTAGCATTATTCAGAATAGCTAAGTTATGGAATCAACCTCTGTCCATCCCCAGGTGAATGGATAAAAACAATGTGGTGTATATACATAATGGAATACTATTCACCCTTAGAAAAGAAATAAATTATGTCATTTGCAGTAACATAGATGGAATTGGAGAACATTATGCTAAGTGAAATAAGCCAGGCACAGAAAGACAAATACCCAATGCTTTCACTTACACATGGAGTCTAAAACAATCAACCTCACAAAAGCAGAGAGTAGAATGGTTGTCACCTGAGGGTGGGGTAGGAGGAATAGGGAGATATTGGTCAAAGAGTACAAAACTTCAGTTAGAAAAGAGAAATAACTGGTTTTTGTTGAGATTTATTGTGTAGTGTGATAAATGTAGTTAACAGTGTATCCTATATTACAAAATTGCTAAGAGAATACATTTCAAAAGTTCTTACTGCAAACAATGATAAGTATTTGAGGTGATAGATATGTTAATTAGATTAATTTAATTATTCCACATTGTAGTCATGAGTCATAACATCACTTTGTACCTCATAAATATATACAACCATAATTTGTCAATTTTCAATTTCAGAAAATAAGGGGGAATAAAAAGTATCAGAGACAAAAGAGTTGAAATAGAAAATGGGTACAGGAGATCCTGCCTTCTTATAATTGCAATCCCTGAATATCAAAAACAAAAAGATAGAATAGAACCAGTATTTAAAACTATAATCCAAGGTCATTTTTAGAAAGAAGACTGGAGTCAACATACTGAAAAAAGCTTCAAGGTACATGGACAAACTAACCCAGAACGATTAACTGTAAGACATATCTTAAAATGTTCAGACTTTAAAATGAAGAAAAAAAGAAATCTCAGGGCCTCCAGGAAAAAGACCAAATAACCTACAAAGACAGAAGGGGCAGGCGCCAGACGTTCCAAAAGCAACACACAACTCAAGGCAATAAAGGTGAAGCATTTTTAAGACACCCCAGAAAATAAAGTGTGAACAAAGGATTTATATCCAGTCAAGCTGTCTTTTAAACAGTAAGGCTATAGAAGAAAGGTTTTAAATAGGTAGGCGCTCAGAGAATACTGAACTCATGAACCCCTCTCCAAGGAGCCAAGTTCATCCGGCCAAAGCATGACTGGGGAAACTTCGTCAAAAGGACTGTTAACTATGAGATGTTTAAAGGGTACTCTTTTCATCTTTGTACTTCCAGCCCTGAGATTAGCACCTGGACAGGGCAGTTTATCCCACTTTTACTGTACAACGGAGGTTTTAAGAGGAAAGAAAGAAATCTTGTAAACCCTCCTACATGTGGGATTTTACTAGGCTTAGCTGTGGGGCGTGAGAAGACCTCGCTACTGGAGAAATACGTATAAGAGGAAGATAGGAAATGAATTTACAGGAACTAACCTAACCATGGAACCAACAGCAACAGTAAGCAGTGTGGGGGGCAAGCAATGCTGGGTCCAAGCCAGTACCAAGACTCTTTGGCAGCTAAAATATCAGGAGAAAGAAGAATCCGATTCAGGCAACAATTGGTCCACATTCTTTAAGGCAAAGTTGGCTCAGCTGAGTAGCTGCTGCCCCTTCAAATGGTCAGGGGCTTTCTCCTTTGCTGGAGAGCCCACTACTCACTACTGCATCCCTAACATAAGGCTAGATGCCAGCTCGTGTGTGTCATTCTTCTTTTCCAGTTCTTCTGACGCTTCCCTAATGTGAGTTCTCTCTCTGGCACCTGTATGCACTTGAGAAAAGAGTTCAAAACCCTTACTAAAATGTAGAATGTTCCATTTGTACAGAGCTAGTAACAAGCTTACTCTTACTTCAATGTGCTGAGGTTTCATATGGCTTTTAAAGCATTGATATGGTGTGTAACTGAAGTCAAAGACTCGACACATTCTCAAAGAGAATTAAAGAGCTTAAAATTTAGTTCTACTATCTTTCTGGGAATTGTAAAGCAGTTCATTCAGTAAAAAAACTGATAAAGCATAGCTGTTGAAGTTCATCCAAAGCTTTTGACACTTCTAGTTCCATTTTTAGAGGTATCACTATCATCAATATGATATGAATCCTTTCACACCTTTCTCTAAACACATGCACACACTCATATATGTATATATAGTGTGTTTATGTGTATGTATATAATATGTATATATCCCCTCTGAAAATATATAACAT
Source organism: Homo sapiens (assembly GCF_000001405.40). Classification (NCBI taxonomy): domain Eukaryota; kingdom Metazoa; phylum Chordata; class Mammalia; order Primates; family Hominidae; genus Homo; species Homo sapiens. The sequence goes on along the minus strand of NC_000015.10, from coordinate 26,421,810 downwards.
CCATACGCATACTAACACAATGTTGAACAAAACCTCATTAAAAAAAGAGAGTATATGAAGTTCGAAACACAGGCAGAATTAAATAAAGTGTTTAGGGATACACACTTAGGCAGTAAAACAAAAAAGAACAAGAAAGTAATTACCAGAAAATCAGGATAGCAGTTAACTTTTAGGAGAAATAGGTGAGGGGCCGGTGTGGGGGTGGAGGAGTAATTGGTAGTAAACACTGGTGGTTTCCAGGTTGGTGGCAATATTCTATTCCATGACCTGGGAAATATTCCCACAGGTGTTGACTTTGTGATAATTAGTACAATGTTAGTGCAATGGCTACCTTTATTTTGAACACTTTATTGTGTATACGATATACAAAGAGTCAGTAAGAATGGTGCAATTGTAAAGAGCCCTGCTAACAAAAAGGAGCCAGGGGTCACGCCTTCTCAGACATGCCCTTCCCCACTGGCAGACACTGAGCAGATGGCCAGGAAGTCCTGGGAAGGGGATCCTGCCACAAGTGCCCAGCCCAGCAAGCCTTGCCTCCAGTGGCAGAATTAAGACTTCCCTCCCCCATGGAGAGACACCAGGTGGCCAGGAAGTGCTGGCCCAGAAATTTCAGCCACAACAATCACCCAAGAGAGCCTCTGGAAAGCCTCTGTCTCCTGGCCTGAGACTCCACTCCCTCCCACAGAGACCACTGGGGGTGAGCAGCACTGCAATGGGAATCCCACTGGAGCAAGTGGGCTGAGAAGTCATTTCTTCCCTCAGGCCAGAGACTCCCTTCTTCTCTGGGAAGTCCTGCCTGGGGAGGGCTCTCTGTGACTTCAGAAAGCACCAGGGAATCCCATGGGAACCACAGCAGCACCCCATAAACCAAGCCAACCGGAATAGCACTGGAAAGGCTTTGAAAATGTTACTTTCACTGGAACCACGGCCCACAAAAATAGGCCACGACCTCTGTACTGAACAGTGAGGCTGCCTGCCAATGAAGAAGCTAAGATAGCATCTACGGTCTCAAAATATAATATCTCAAATGCCAGGACACAACTGAAGATCACTTGTCTTGCCAAAAGCCAGGAAAGTCACAACCGGAATAAGAAGACAATCAGCTGATATCAGCAACAAGATGACTTAGAAGCTGGAATTATCTGGCAAGGAATTTAAAGTAGCCAACATAAAATGCTTCAATAAGCAATTACAAAATTATCTTGAGGCAAATTTTAAAAATAAGAATTTGTCAGCAGAGAAATAGAAGTTATAAAAAAGAACCAAGTGGAAATTATAGAACTGAAGAATTTAATAATTTTTTTAATGCTGGCAGATGTGCTTAAAAGTAGACTGGAGATGACAGAGGGTAACATCAGTGTATTTGAAAAAAGATCAAAAGATTCACTCAATCTGAACAAAAGAAAGAAAGACTGGGGAAAAAAAGTGTAGAGCCTTTGGGCTTGTGGGATAATAACAAAAATTCCAGCATTTGTATCATTGGAATTGCAGAAGAAAAGAATGAGAGTGGAACTGAAAGAATATTTAAAGAAATAATAGCTGAAAACTCCCCAAATTGGTAAAAGACATAAACCTAGAAACTCAAGAAGCTTAGAGAATCCCAAATAGGATAAATCCAATGAAATCAACATAAAAACACATCATAATTTAGACTTTGGCTCATTTTTAATTCAATTGTTTTCTTATTGTTGAATTTTGAGGATATTTTGTTTATTCTGGATACAAGACCTTTGTCAGATATGTGATTAGCAAACACATTCTCCTAGTGTGTGCCTTGTCTTCTTATTCTCTTAACAGTATCTTTGGCAGTGGAAACTTTTTTCTTTTTTTTTTAACTTTTAGGTTCGGGGTACATGTGCAGGTTTGTTATATAGGTAAATTTGTGTCATGGGGGTTTGTTATACAGATTATTTCGTCACCCAGGTACTAAGCCTAGTACTCATTAGTTATTTTTTTCCGCTCCTTTCCCTCTTCCCATCCTCCACCCTCACCACTAGACCCCAGTGTCTGTGTTCTCTTGTGTCCATGTGTTCTCATCATTTAGCTCCCACTTATAAGTGAGAACATGTGGTATTTGCTTTTCTGTTCCTGCCTTAGTTTGCTGAGAATAATGACCTCCAGCTCCATCCATGTTCCTGCAAAATATATGATCTTGTTCTTTTTTATGACGGCATAGTATTATATGGTGTATATGTACCAAATTTTCTTTATCCAATCTATCATTGATGGGCATTTAGGCTGATTCCATGTTTTTGCTATTGTGAATAGCGCTGCAATGAACATTTGTGTGCATGTGTCTTTATGACAGAAGGATTTATATCTCTTTGGGTATGTATCTAGTAACGGGAAGGCTGGGTTGAATGGTAGTCCTGTTTTTAGCTCTTTGAGGAATCACCCTACTGCTTTCCACAATGGCTGAACTAATTTACACTCCCATAAACAGTGTATAAGCCTTCCCTTTTCTCCACAACCTGGAAAAGTTTTTAATTTTAGTAAAGTCTAATTGATCAATTTTTTCTTTCATGGGTTATGCATTTGTTGTCTTATCTAAAAACTTGTCACCAAACACAAGGTCATACTGATTTTCTCCTGCATTTTCTTCTATAAATTTCACAGCTTTGCATTTTAATTTAGGTCTATAATCCATTTTGGGTGATTTTTCTGTAAGGTATAGGGTCTATGTCAGGGCTCATATTTTTGTGTATGGATATTCGATTGCCCCAACACCATTTGTTGAAAACGCTGTCCTTTCCATTGAAGTGCTCTAGCACCTTTCTAAAAAAATCAGCCAACTGTATTTATGTGGGTCTGTTTGCACAGGGTCCCTGTTATGTTCCATTGATAATTGTGTCTATTTTTATAACCAATACCCTGCTGTCTTTAGTACTGTGGCTTTACAGTAAGTATTGAAATCGAGTAATGTGAATCCTCCAACTTTCTTCCTTTCTTTAAACATTGTGTTGGTTATTCAATTCATCAAGAGATGTGGGCTACTCAGGTTATCTATTTCCATGTGAGTCTGGTAGTTTGCATCTTTAGGGAAGTGGTCCTTTTATCTAAATTGTCATTATGGGATGAGAGTTGTTAATAGCTTTTATTATTATTTTAATTATTATTCTTTTAATAATTGGAATCAGTAGTAATTGGTAATTCATGCCTTCTGTATTTTACTTCTTGATTAGTCTGGGTAAAGAACTGTCAATTTTATTGATCTTTTCAAACAACCATCTTTTGGTTTCATGGAATTTCTTGATTCCTTTTGTTTTCAAGTTTATTGATTTTTAACTCTAATATTTATTATTTAGTTCCTTCTGCTTGTTTTAGGTTTAATTTGATCTTTTTTGTCTCTTATTACTAAGGTAGAAGCTTGGATTATTTATTTTAGATCTCTCTTATTTTCTAATATATGCACTTAATGCTACAAGTCCCTTCTAATCATGGTCTAAGCTGCATTTTATCAATTTTGATAAGCCACATTTTCATTTTCATTTAGTTTAAAATATTTTTTTAAATTTCTCTTCATACCCCTTTGACTCATAGATTGTTTAACTTCCTAAAATTTGGGAATTTTCCAGATATCTTTCTGGTGTGGATTTCTAGTTTAATTCTATTGAGCTATTAGATTGTATTTTGTATGATTTCTGTTGTTTTTAATGTATTAAGGTGTGTTTTAAACTCAGAGTATGGTCCATCTTGTTGAATGTCCTATGTGCACTTGTAAAGAATATGTATGCTGCTGATGTTGAAAGAAGTTTCTATAAATATCAGTTAGATCAAGTTGATTGATAGTACTGTTCAGATCATCTACATCCTTACTAATTTTCTGCTTTCTTGATTTATCAGTGACTGAAGTCTCCAAATATAATTGTGAAATTGTCTGTTTTTCTTTTTAGTTGTACAAGTTTTTGCCTCATATATTTTGGTGCTTGTTTTTAGGTGCATACACTTTAGGATTTTTATGTCTTCTTGGAGAATTGATCTCATTTATGATTATGTAACATCACTCTTCATGCCTGGTAATCTTCATTGTTCTCAGCTGTGTCTTAAAGCAATGTAACTATTCTGGCTTTCTTTTATTAGTGTTGGCATAGTATATGTTCCTCAATTCACTTACTTGTAACTCGTTTGAGTTTTACATTTAATGTGAGTTTTCTTAAGCAGTATATGGTTGGGTCTTTTTTATATATCCAATCTGACAATTTCTGTCCTTTATCTGGTATATTTTGACCATTAACGTTTAAAGTGGTAATGAATATAGTTGGATTAAAACCTGATATCTTAGTAATTGTTTTCTATCGCATTGTTCTTTTTTCTTCTCCCCATTTTTCTGCCTTTAGGGTTTTAAATTGCATATTTTATATAGTTTCTATATATAGTTTCTAGAAACTATATATAGAAACTATATATATAGACCCTATATATAGAAACTATATATAGAAACTATATATAGAAACTATATATAGAAACTATATATAGAAACTATATATAGAAACTATATATAGAAACTATATATAGAAACTATATATAGAAACTATATATAGAAACTATATATAGAAACTATATATAGAAACTATATATAGAAACTATATATAGAAACTATATATAGAAACTATATATAGAAACTATATATAGAAACTATATATAGAAACTATATATAGAAACTATATATAGAAACTATATATAGAAACTATATATAGAAACTATATATAGAAACTATATATAGAAACTATATATAGAAACTATATATAGAAACTATATATAGAAACTATATAAAATATAGTTTCTATTGCCTCCTTTCTTTATATATCAATTATACTTTATAAGTTTTTTGCAGTGATTGTTCTAGGGTTTATAGCATACATTTTAAAACAATCTAAGTCCACCTTCAAATAGCATTATTTCATGTGTAGTGCTAGTACCTTATAACAGAGCATTCCCAATTTCCCTTCTATCCCTTACGAAGTTATTCATTTCATTATTCTATATGCTGTCAACTTCAATATGTTAGTATTATTGCCTCAGACAGTTCTCTTCTAGCTCAATTAAGAATAGAAAAATAAAATATTTATTTTACTTTCATTTATTTCTTTTGATACTTTCTCTCTTTTGTGAGAACAAGTTTCTGACCTATGTCATTTTCCTTCTGCCTGAAGACATTTTAACATCTGTTGTATGGTAGGTCTACTTGTCAATGAACCGGATCAGATTTTCTTTGCTGAGAAATATTTTTCCTTCACTTTTAATAAAAATAAGATAAAAAATTTATTGGATATCAAATCCTATATTGGCAGGGTTTTTATTTTCTTAAATATTTTACTCCAATCTTTTCTTTCTTGGATGGTGTCTGCTGTTATTTGTATTCTTATTCCTCTGTAGATAGGTTGTTTTGTCCCTTTGTCTTCTTTCAAAATTTTGTCTATTTCTTTATGGCTTGAATATGTGTTTTCTAGTTTTTTTTTTTAATTTTATACTCTGCTTGTTATTCTGTGAGCTTCCTGAATCTGTGATGTGGTATCTGTCATTGATTTTGAAACTCCTTCGTCATAATTTCTTCAAAGATTTCTTCTGCCCCATTCTCTTTCTGCTCCTTCTGGTGCTCCAAAAATGTGCATGTCACACCTTTTCATATTGTGCCACAGTGCTGGGAACTTTTCTTCTGTTATTTGTATTTGTGTGTGTGTGTGTGTTTCCATTTGTGAACTATTGACCTATCTTAAAGTTCACTGATTTTTTTCTTCAGCTGTGTTGAGTCCACAGATGAGCCTGTCAAAGTTATTCTTCATTTCTATTACTTTTGATTCCTAGCATTTCTTTTTGATTTCTATAGCTTCCATCTCTCTGCTACCATTCCTATCTGGTCTTTTATGTTATTTACTTTTTCCATTAGTACCTTTACCATATTAGTCTTTGCCTTAGTTCATTTAGTGTTGCTATAAAGAAATAGCTGAGGCTGGGTAATTTATAAAGAGGCTTATTTGGCCCACGGTTCTGTAGGCTGAACAAGAAGCATGACACCAGCATCTGCTTCTGGTGAGGCCTCAGGCTGCTTCCACTCATGGTGGAAGGCAAACAGAAACTGGTCTATCTGGAGATCACCTGGTGTGGGGGGGAGAGGTGCCAGGCTATTTTTTTAATTTTTAATTTTTTGCAGGTACATAACTTATGGGATACCTGAGATACTTTGATATAGGCATACAATGTGTAATAATCACATCAGGGTAAATGGGCTATCTGCCACCTGAAGCATTTATCCTTTGTGTTACAAACAATTGAATTATACTTTTTTAGTTATTTAAAAATATACAATTATTATTATTGACTATAGTCATCCCATTGTGCTACTAAATACTAGATCTTATTCTTTCTAACTATATATATATATATTTTTTTTTTTTTTTTGAGACAGAGTTTCTCACTGTCACCAGGGCTGGTGTGCAGTGGCACAATCTCAGCTCACTGCAACCTCTGCCTCCCAAGTTCAAGCCATTCTCCTGCCTCAGCCTCCCAAGTAGCTGGGACTACAGGCATGTGCCACCATGCCCGGCTAATTTTTTAGTAGAGACAGGTTTTCACCGTGTTAGCCAGGATGGTCTCGAACTCCTGACCTCGTGATCTGCCTGCCTTGGCCTCCCAAAGTGCTGGGAATACAGGTGTGAGCCACTGCGCCCGGCCACTGTATTTTTATACCCATTAACTATCCCCACTTCCTCCACGACCACTTCCCCCAACTTCACTATCCTTTCCAGCCTCTGGTAACCATCCTTCTACACTCTATCCCCATGAATTCAATCGTTTGAATTTTTAGCTCCCACAAATAAGTGAGAACATGTGAAGTTTGTCTTTCTGTGAATGGCTTATTTCACTTAACATGATGACCTCCAGTTTCCTCCACGTTGTTGCAAATGACAGAATCTCATTCCTTTTTATCTTTTTATGACTGAATAGCACTCCATTATGTATATATACCACATTTTCTTTATCCATTCATCTGTTGATGGACACTTAGGTTGCTTTAAATCTTCTTTTTTTTTTTTTTTTGAGATGGAGTCTCGCCCTGTCACCTGGGCTGGAGTGCAATGGCATGATCTTGGCTCACTGCAACCTCCACCTCCTGGGTTCAAGTGATTCTCCTGCCTCAGCCCCCCAAGTAGCTGGGATTACAGGCACATGCCACCACACCTGGCTAATTTTTTGTATCTTTAGTAGAGATGGGGTTTCCCCATATTGGGCAGGCTGGTCTCGAACTCCTGACCTCAGGTGATCCACCCGCCTTGGCCTCCCAAAGTGCTGGGATTACAGGCGTGAGCCATTGCGCCTGGCCAGGTTGCTTTAAATCTTGGCTATACTATATAGTGCTGCAATGAACACTGGAGTACAGATATCTCTTTGATGTATTGATTTCTCCTCTTCAGCCTACATATCTAGCAATGAGATGGCTGGATCATATGGTAGCTCTATTTTTGTTTTTTTGAGGGCCAGAGTATATTTAACAACCAATTCTTGAGAGAACTAATAAAGAACTCACTCAACCCACCCATCATCAAAGAAAGCACTAATCTATTCATGAGGGATCCACTTCTGAGGCCCAAACACCTCCCACCTGGCCACACCTCCAATGTCTGGGATCAAGTTTCAACAAGAGATTTGGTGGGCACAAACCATATCCCAACTATAGCAGTCATAGTAATTTTAAATTCCTTGTCTGATAATTCTGACATCTGTGTCATATCTGAGCCTTGTTCTGATAATTACTTTGTGCCATCAGACTGTGTTTATTCTTGCCTATTGGCATGGCTTTTAATATTTATAGAAATTGGCCCATTTATTTTTTATTATTATTTTTTTTTGAGATGGAGTCTCACTCTTTTGCCAAGCTGGAGTGCAGTGGCGCAATCTCGGCTCGCTGCAACCTCCACCTCCCGGGGTACAAGCGATTCTCCTGCTTCAGCTTCCCAAATAGCTGGACTACAGGCACATCCCACCATGCCCAGCTAATTTTTTTGTATTTTTAGTAGAGATGGGGTTTCACCATGTTTCACCATGGTCTCGATCTCTGACCTTGTGATTTGCCTGCCTCAGCCTCCCAAAGTGCTGGGATTACAGGCATGAGCCACTGCACCTGGCCCAGAAATTGGCCCATGTTTTATAGAGTAACAATTACTGAGATGAATGCCTTTAGTGTGTAATTTGAATATCTGCTGGGCTGTGTTTCATGTTTGATGTAGGTATAGTAGCAGAGCCTTCAAATGATTCTACTGGGCTTGCTTTTTCTCTCCTTTTGGCTTTGGGGTTTCTCTTTGTACTGCTCCTTAGAGACTCTGTGTCTTGCAGCAATTTAAACTGCAATCCACTGTTATTAATGGAGGATTGTTGGTTTGACGGTATTATGTGAGGGAGAAAGGTATTCTCTGATCTTCTGATTACACGTCAGTCTTTTAGTGGGTCTGTGACTCAGGGATGTGTCCCTCAGAAATGTCTTAGGAGTGGCCCCCAAGGTGCTGAGCATTCCCAGGCTATTTTCTTTATGCCCTCTCCTCTATTGACTGTGGCTTTTTTTTCCTTTTGGTGTGACAGGAAGGCTGGAGCAGCCTAGATGGGGCAGAGGTTTCTTCCCCCAACAAAAACAAGGTTTCAGAATTGCCATTTGTTTGTGGAAGGATTTGGGAGGGTTCAGGATGGCTAGTCCTCCCACCCCCTGCCAGGTCATGCTGAGAGCTCTCCCAGATCCTCCTGTGAAAACTTGGTAGAGATCCTAGAGGAAAAGCCTGGGAAAATGCAGGAGTTCCCCTCAGACTGAGGGAGCTCCTCAGCTTCTGGGAAATCATCTGAATTGTTATTAAGTGTTCCTGCTCACATCTGGCATCTGATGCCTTCTGCTCCAGGTAAGCAACTCTTGAGTCCTGTATCTCTTGGGATATGCCAGATTCTCCTGATTTTGTAGTGGTGATTTTTCTTGTGACCTCAGTGCTTTACGTGGTTGAACAAAAGTTGGAAGGCCTCCACTGCTTTTTGTGACACTCTGCTGGCTTTCTTCCAACCACTTACGCCATTATTTTTCAACCAATCTTTCTTTTGCCTTATCTTTCTTGGTGCCATGTAAAGGCTGGTGTTCCTCAGGGTTCTGCCTTTGGATCTCGTCAGTATGAGAAAACATTTACTTTGTCCAACATATGCACCCCCATGACTTAATCCATGATTTATTGCAAAGAAAAAAATTGCAGATTTCTCTAACTCTGTCCTCCTCCTTTAATTTTAGACACAGTGTTTTAGAGTCGTCTCAACCTCTTACAAACTGTTTGAGCATCCTACCCTAAACTGAGGTTGTAATGTTATCCTCCCTATCCTCAGTCCCCACATACTTCTGATCCGTAGTCAGACGCGTTATCCATTGCGCCACTGGCCCACGGTTAAAGTCCCCACATACTTCTTCCCTTAGCACTGCCATCTCCCATTCAGGTACCAACCCTACCTGTGAGTCAGCCTTCCTCTTTGATCCCACATATCATGTCAGTTGCCATGTTTCAATCCGTCACCACTACTACTTTCTCCAGTTTCAAACCTCAATAGGATTTTTCCCTGTGCCAAAGTAATAATCCTCTAAAATGCTTTTCTTACTTGTCAATCACTTCTGCATAGGCTCTGCAGTTATTTCAGAATTGTACAAATTAGATAGTGCTCTTCTCCTTTGTAATATTCTTCAGGACTTTTTTTGAGACAGAGTCTTGCTCTGCCACCTAGGCTGGAGTGCAGTGGCGTGATCTCGGCTCACTGCAACCTGGTTGCTTTTAAGATAACTTCTTTCACAAGGCTCTTCATTATCTGGTCCCACTGTTCTCTTCTCCCCCAGACACAGCCTCACATGACTCTTCAGCCTCAGTCTCATCAAGCTTCTTTAGCAGGTCGTGTTTGTTCAAGCATTTCACCTGCTCCATCCTCATCTGGACAGCACCTCTGCCTGGGGTCCTGGCTACCACTACCAGTCCCTCAAGATTCAGCTCTCAGGTGGCCTCTTTAAGAATGGCTTCATTGGTTTTGGGTTAGGAGTGCCCCTTCTGTGCCCATAAATCACATGGGTGATTTTCTTTTCTTTTTTTTTTTTTTTTTGAGACGGAGTCTCGCTCTGTCCCCCACGCTGGAGTGCAGTGGTGTGATCTCGGCTCACTGCAAGCTCTGCCTCCCTAGTTCACGCCATTCTCCTTGCCTCAGCCTCCCAAGTAGCTGGGACTACAGGTGCCCGCCACCACACCTGGCTAATTTTTTGTATTTTTAGTAGAGACAGGGTTTCACCATCTTAGCCAGGATGGTCTCCATCTCTTGACCTTGTGATCCGCCTGTCTCAGCCTCCCAAAGTGCTGGGATTACAGGCGTGAGCCACCGTGCCTGGCCTGGTGATTTTCTTATTTATGCCCTCAGTAATCTTTGAGCATATTGCGGACAGGGGCTATGTCTGCTGGGCTCATGGTACATGCTCAGTAAATATTTGTAGAATGAATGGATGGATAAATGGGAAAACGGCACTTTCATTTATTCGAGGGTCACCTACCGCCACTCATTTTATATTACCCATGGTGCTGCCAAATCTTTTATTCTTATAGGATTAACATTTTGCTTGCTTTTTTTTCCTACCTTAAATCCCCAGGAAGCAGCTCTGGAGTGAGGCTGTAACGACAACGTGCTTGGGGCCTGCCACTTGCTCTGTTGGGCATGTGGCCTGATGCATTGGAGGTGGTCACAACCCTCCAGCTTCCTGCACAGCCTGTGGTGCACGGACGAAGACCATGCAGATTAGTCTCTTTCCCTCACTCTGTGACTGTGATCATCTAGTTCATTGCTCTGTGTCATCATCATCTGTGACCCCAGAATGATGGTGGTAGCAGATTGCACAGCCTTTCTTTTGATGTGGAAAGGAAGAGGATACATCCACAGAGCATTAATCCTATCCCTTTAAGTGTGGCATCTGAAAAATGTCACCTGAAATGTGGACAAAGAAGAAATACTTTAATCTGCATATGCTTATTACTTCTTCGGGCCATGTCAATTAACTTTTACCAGAATGCCAGATTCTATTACAAATAATAACTATTGTCTAAATACCACAAGAGAGACATTTGTCAGGAAAAATACTTGAGCTCCAGGAACTGATTATCTTTACATAACAATGATTATGTGGAAGGTTGTGTGATCCGAGGGCACGCGGAGGGAGAAGTGGCCAAGGCAGGCCTTGTGAGGAGCGTAGCCAGGTGCTATGCCAGCTGCACATACAGGAAAGTGCCATTCGTTTGTGTGCACAATTTTGCTCTATTTCTTTTTTTTTTTTTTTTTTGAGATGGAGTCTCACTCTGTCATCCAGGCTGGAGTGCAGTGGCGCAATCTCAGCTCACTGCAAGCTCCGCCTCCCGGGTTCACGCCATTCTTCTGCCTCAGCCTCCTGAGTAGCTGGGACTACAGGCGCCGGCCACCACACCCAGCTAACATTTTTTTTTTGTATTTTTAGTAGAGACGGGGTTTCACTGTGTTAGCCAGGATAGTCTCGATCTCCTGACCTCATGATCTGCCCGTCTCGGCCTCCCAAAGTGCTGGGATTACAGGCATGAGCCATGATTCCCAGCCTGCTCTATTTCTTGAAAGCAGGGTAGACTGCAAGTATTTTACAGCACAGTTGCTATTTAGGGTAGCATAGATGCAGGATTTCTATTTGGGTTTTATTCCTATTCCTATCATTACTAGTTATATGATAGGACAGGTAGGTATTTTACAGGTAACTGAGATTGAGGGACATTAATGTGTTCGAGCTGGTGTCTGAGTACTAACAGTTCCAGGATGCCACAGCTGAGGAGGAGGGAGAGTTTGAGGAGGAGTGTGCCGAGGAGGAGGTGGCCTAGGTCCTTCCTTTACCAGGTAAAGAGTGGAGGCAGTGTGGATTCTTTACTTATGTGTTCTGATAGCCATGTGTTCTGTGTTCTGATAGCCATGTGTCACTGTGCTTCACATCACATCCTTTATGTCTTCACATCACATCCTGTCGCATTTTAAAGCATTTTCATAGTATGCGGTTTTGGCTAATAAAGCATTCCTTTTTTTTTTTTTGAGATGAAGTCTGGCTCTGTCACTCAGGCTGGAGTGCAGTGGCGCCGCCATCTAGGCTCACTGCAACCTCCACCTCCCGGGTTCAAGTGATTCTTCTGCCTCAGCCTCCCCAGCAGTTGGGACTACAGGCATGCGCCACCACACCCAGCTGATTTTTGTAATTTTAGTAGGGATGGGGTTTCACCATGTTGGCCAGGCTGGTCTCGAACTCCTGACCTCAGGTGATCCGCCCCCTCTTGGCCTCCCAAAGTGCTGGGATTATAGGAGTGAGTCACGGTGCCTGGCTAAAACATTCTTATAGAAAAAAAAAAAAAAGAAAGAAAAAAAGTTAATGTCCCTGCGACTCAGTTATCTGTAAAATGGGGAGATAATAATACCTGCCTTCTACAGTTGTTATGGGATTAAATAGGGATATCACCAGTGAAGTTCTTAGAACAGAGCCTATACATATTATGCATCCAATACATGTTAACTATCATCATCATCATCATCTTTGTTATTTTTACAACACAAAGAGTCCTGGCAATTTGGGAACATAAAACAATCCCGGTTTGGCTCCTCTACATAGGTCTGCACTGTGAGCTGAATACTGTTAAGCATAATATGGCCGATCTTTACCTGCAGTCTTGGAGTTTCGCTTTGGTACCCTGCTGTCATTACTAAGTTACATACTCTCCATGAATGCATCCCAACCCAAGGAAAAAATGTTGCTTCTTTCATTTATTCTAGGGTCACCTGTCACCACTCATTTCATATTACCCATGGTGCTGCCAAATCTTTTATTTCTTATGGGATTAACATTTAGAAAAACCTGGCACTCCAATTTTTGATACCATACTCTCTGTGAAGAGTACATGCTTGGTCTGTATACCTTTCTGTGGACATGAATTTTAGACATTCTCACTGAAGCAGGAGTTGCCCCAACCACTTTTAAGCCTCTGCTGCATAGCATGGTCTAAGGCCAGAGGAAAACGTCAGGCAGGAGGCATCACTGTTTCATTCTTTGTGAAGGATAACCCTGTTCTCTTTTGAATATATTGATTAATTAAGAAACAAAATAAGTCCTGTTTTAAAATCTAGTGAGAATATTTCTAGTGGGGTTTGGATGTAACCATAGTCCCTTAAGTTAAGTCCAAGCAGTTCTTCTCAAAAGGCTAATCTTTCTCCTGAGGCTGACTCTTGTCTGTCTTAAGAAATCTAGGGCCAGCATGGTGGCTCACGCCTGTAATCCCAACACTTTGGGAGGCCGAGGCGGGTGGATCACAAGGTCAGGAGTTCAAGACCAGCCTGGCCAATATGGTGAAAACCTGTCTCTACTAAATATGCAAAATAATTAGCCAAGCATGGTGGCGCATGCCTGTAATCCCAGCTACTTGGGAGGCTGAGGCAGGAGAATTGCTTGAACCAGGGAGGCGAAGGCTGCAGTGATCCGAGATCGCACCACTGCACTCCAGCCTGGGTGACAAAGTCAGACTCCGTCTAAAAAAAAAAAAGAAAAAAGAAAAAAGAAAAAGAAAGAAAGAAATCTGACAGTTTCCGGGTAAACTCTCCTTGGTATTAATATTACAGAATAGAGCATAGAGGGTGCTGCATGAGGATACTCCACTTTTCTCTGTATTTTGATACATGCTGGCAAGTCTCCTTTTTTAGGTACATCAGAACCAATCAGTCTTTTTAGAGTGTCTTGTGACAAGGCTGCAATTCAAAGTGCGCAAGCCTGGTAATGTATGTGGAAGCTCCTGTTGTGGAAACTCCTCTTATGAAAGCTGTCAATCAATCCTGTTATTGGACAGCTTATATGTTGGAAAGACTGGGTTTTGGTTGAGAGTCTCATCAAGTCAGATAGTTACTGCATTTACTGACATTTTAGTGGTTACGGTTAAAGGAAGTTCCATCGGTTTTTGAATTGAAAAAAATTATATATATACACATAAACATATTTGCAATAAAAGCAAGACTGATTGCTATAGGTTCCCAGAAATACACTTTTTGAATTAACTTTTAAAAATAAAATCATATTAAGGAATTCTGATAGAGTAACTGAAAAGTCCTGATATAAGCAGAACATAGCTCTAAATCAAACTTGATTTATAGTTGATAATAGAAACCAATCATGTACTAGGAAAGGAGATGTGCTGAGAAGGCAGTTCCATCTCCTTTTTTTTTTTTTTTTTTTTTTGCTCAAGGTATCTCACTTGATTGTGCTATTTTCAGAACGACATTCTGCTTACAGCCGAGGAACTCAGATGAACTAAGATACGGTGTGCATGATACCCTTGCCTTCACTTCATCACCTTCTTGCTATTGACACCCTTATCTTCTCCATGGAAGGTAATTCCATGGAGACAATACCTAGTTCCTGGTCTCTGTACATATACTAATGGAAGAGATTATGACTGTGGTATGCTAATGAAAAATTGCCAAGGGTTTTTGGGTGTTGCAATTTAATCTCTTGATCCATTTAGTTGCAGAAAAGCTAAATGTACTATTCCTGGGTGCACATTAGAATCACTAGGGGATCTTTGAGAAAATATGCAGACTTCTCCCTACCTCGGACATTCTGATACAGTGAGGGCCCGGGCATAAGCATTTTTAGAGTTCCCAGGGGATTCTGTTGCAGAGTCATGGTTGAGAATTTTGCTAACTGTGAAAAGATATGCACAACAGTTTTTATTGACACTCTCCTAATTCCTATAGCTTGGTCCTATATACCTCCTGAATCTGAGGATTTTAAAATGATGGATTCCTCTAAAAGACTATGGTACAAAATTGTAGCCTGTAAGATGTGCTAAGTCTAAATAGCCTTGAGGAATTATCTTAGAAATAATGTTCTACAAGAATTGAGATGTACTGCCATGGTTACCAGTGTGAAAGACAAAAGAGTAAATCATCTGTTTCATTAGTGACAAGTGACTTTCCATTAAAATGCCTGGCATTTTTACTACTTATCTGAAAACAGATGTAAGCATGCAATCTTCTGACATTCAGGTACAACTGCACCTCCCAGGCTACTAAGAAACATCTCAAATTCAGGGATCCATTTCAGAAAATTTGGCAAGTTAGATACATTTTTGCCAATCCCATTGCAAAATAAATTTTATGCAGGCAAATAATGTGTTTAGATTAACACTGTCACTTCTGTTCTCAAATGTCTTTATATAAGTGTGACCACTGAGAAGGCAGCAGAGCCTGGCAGGCTACTCAGTGACCACATGGCAGGAGGTGAGCTCTGCTCAGAATCTCAGGACGAGCAACGTGGGCCACCCGACTCTCCCTGGAGAAAGAGGAGAGCCGCTGCAGGGCTACATTTCTCATCTACAAGAGGCTTCTGAGGCTCCAGTGAAATCACATGTGTACAATCACGATGAGGGAAATAAACCATACACAAATGGAATGTAAAAATAGGGAATTTCCACCACCTTGTAGAATCACTGGGGCCAAAGACAATGGCTTTGTACAATGCAGGAACCTTTGCTTGGCTCTCTGGTTGAACAAGTGCTTAACGACTGTGCTGTCCAGGGTGATGAGGCTAATGCATGAAAAAGTATAATGAAATAAGAAATGGAATCGAGTATAGTCTTTCAAAGAGTTGGAGAAAATTCAAGCATCCCTTGGTCATCCAGCTTTGAGTAGCCAGGAGGAAGCCTTTCCTTGTCTGCCTGCCTCCCTTCCCCCATGTGCCTGGCATACATGAGTAGCCTCTCATTTGTCTGGGCCAGAGTTTTGGTTACACATGGGAGAGGGTTTAGTTCTTTCTGATACCCTTTCTGCCATAATAAACAGAAGTCAACTGCTTTACATATCCATTAATATTTTCCTTCCTCCTTCCTTCCCTCGTTCGTTCGTTTGTTCCTTCCTTCCTTCCTTCCCCTCTTTCTCTCTTTCTCTCTTTCTTTCTCTCTTTCTTAGATGAGTCTCACACTGTCGCCCGGACTGGAGTGCAATGGCACTATCTTGGCTCACTGCAACCTCTGCCTCCCAGGTTCAAGCAATTCTCCTGCCTCAGCCTCCCAAGTAGCTGGGATTACAGGCACCCACCACCACACCCAGCTAATTTTTTGTATTTTTAGTAGAGACGGGGTTTCACTATGTTGGCCAAGCTGGTCTCAAACTCCTGACCTCGTGATCTACCCGCCTCGGCCTCCCAAAGTGCTGGGATTACAGGCGTGAGCCACCGTGCCCGGCCAATATTTTCTATAATGTGACATAGCTATGCTGATCACAACAGGAATTGCTAAGCTCATTTCTGTAATTTCAAGTGGAAGTATCATTCTTCCACATGACAAATAGCTATTCAGAATTACTATATATTAGACACTGCTCTAAATACCAAAAATATTTTGTGACATAGAAAACTAAAGGTCAGACAACAAAATCTTATATGATTACATGAGATTCACTTCCTGATTTAACAAAGTATAGTATTACAGGTTCTAACCCTGGCTTTGCTTAATCTTTCTTTTCAATACACTTCTAGCCCCTTCCACCCCATCTTATCCTAAGCCGTTAAGGAGAAAGGATAGAAGTATTACATATCAAACAGTCTAATCCATCCTGCATCTTCCGCACTGCTATTGTGTCTCTACTCTACTAAATTTATTTCTAAATTTCTGTTATTATTCATTCTTCTTGTTGTTGTTGACAGGGTCTCACTCTGTTGCCCAGGCTGGAGTGGAGTGGCATGATCATAGCTCACGGAAATGTCTAACTCCTGGGTCCTCAGCCTCCCTAGTAGCTGGAACTACAGGTGTATGCCACTGCACCTGGCTAATTATTATACTTTTTTTGGTAGAGATGAGGCCTCTGTAGGCCATCCAGGCTGCTCTTGAACTCCTGGGCTCAAACAATCCTCTTCCCTTGGCCTCCCAAAGTGCAGGGATTATAGGCATGAGCCACTGTGCCCAGCCTTATTATTCATGCTTAACCAGAAATCTCTGCTGTATTTTACAATGGAG
Organism: Homo sapiens; assembly: GCF_000001405.40. NCBI lineage: Eukaryota > Metazoa > Chordata > Mammalia > Primates > Hominidae > Homo > Homo sapiens. The sequence continues at coordinate 26,404,768 of NC_000015.10, read as the reverse complement.
ATAGAATAGATCAGCTATGTCTGTTTCCGGATCTGTATTCTCTTCATTCAGACTTGGGAACACAGTGCGAACATGGCATTGTCTTACTTGCCTTACAAAAAATACTAGAGCCCTTTACTACCAAAACCAGAGTCTCAAAAGTGACTACAGCACACACATTTGGTTAAGAGAAAACTCATAAAATTGAGTCTGCAAGCCAGATGGGAACCCATAAGAGTCTGTGCTGGCATTAGAAAAACAGTGAAGCTCATTTAGTCCATTGACCATCAGCTATCTGAGTTTCTCTGCACAGCTCTTAGGGGTGACCACCCAACTTAACTGATTTATTTAGTTCTGTAGTCTGTCTATGATTTGAGGTCATGTAAACCAACCTTAATGAAAACCTCCAGTGAAGGAGAGTTCAGAAAACTCCAGGCTGTCAGAAAGTGGTTTTGTCATTGTTGTTGTTGTTAACGGTCACTTTCATATTCTGGTATTTTCTGATATTCTGATATTGTTTCAGTCTCCTTACAGGACATAGGTGGCACATTGAAGAAAGCTTCAATGCAACAATAATTTACAATAACATGGGCACAGTAATGGAAAACAGCAAAGAACTGTGAGGAACTTTGCTGGCACTTTTTCCAGGGCCAGCAGCTGGAAAGAGGGGCCACAAAACATCAGCAAGGAAACTGCTGTTCTAAAAGAAAGACACAAGAAGCTGTGCTTCCAGAAGAGAAAAGTAGTCACTGCCACCCCAGGAACCTGGCATGGAGGGATGCAGTGGTGTAATACCACTCTCTCCTTGCACCACCCACAAGCCCAGCCCATCCTGGGGACAGACGCATGCTGAAAGTGGAGGTCGGGTCTGGAAGGGCAAAAGCAGATGGCCCAGCATAGCCCACCACTTTTCTTTGTCAACATCAAGTATTTCTGTGTCTGTACGAAAAACCAAGGTTCTGTCCCAGGGAAATGACGGAGTCCCATCAGCTACAGGATCATAACAAGGAGATGTCAATTCAGTCATACTCGCCTGAAAGCTACAGCACCTTGAACGGTTCACCCAACCACCTCATCTGCATGTGGTTCTCGTGGCACGTAAAGCCCTAACTGGGTGGTCTCAGTTTCACACCGCTATGACTTTGTTTTCTGCTGGAAGCAGTTCCCCTTATCACCAGAGCCTCCAAACCTAGAAAAGCCAAGAAAGCAGAGATGGAAGCAATTCCTGATGTGGGCTATTTGGGGCAAAACTGGTATCTCCCCTTATGTCCCCCGTGAGTAAGCATTCCACAGACAGTTTCAAAACATTATGTTGTATACTGATGTACACCAGAAATAATAAAACCATCAGAATTCCCTGTCAGTTGCTGATTCTCTAACAAAAATAAATCCAACCTTGGCCCCTAATATAACTGAAGATATTTGAAGATAAGTCATGTCTTTGTGGATATGATAATATGTGAGAAAATTACTTTCTCCATGATAAACAGGTTACGTGAAAACTCATTAACCTCGACAGGTTTTGAGGAGTTTTTCCCATTTAAATGCCTGTTGTGTTTTGACTTGCTGAGTCTTCTGAAGCCTCACTCTTTTGCATTTCTTTTTTTTTTAAAGAAGTAAAAAAAAATTTTAAAAAAATACTTTTGTATTTAATTCTTCTTTTCATATGTCCCTGGATATCTCACTAATATGTCATATCCCTAAACATTTGTAGGACTTATTTCTCAGCCTGGGATATGCATGGGTCTAACCAAGTCTGTTTGCTACCTCCTACTTTGAAGATCCAGTTAGTATGATGACATTATTATAATGGATCAGTGTGAGGTTTTATGGATAATTAGCAAAATCAGAGTCTCTCAAAACAATATACCAAAAGAGAATAGGAGAGCAAACCTAGCCTGGAGTTAAGACACCAAAGGTATATTGCTGCTCTTGTCACAGGCAAACTGCATAAAACCATTATCTTTGCTGATAAGATTTAGGTGGGGAAATGCTAGGGCAATAGCTAAATAGCAGGTGCCAGGGACTTCACTGATTTACTCCAGTTAAAATACTATATTCTGAGCAATGTCTCTATCTGATTAATTGTTCAGCAGTCCCTGATCACCCTCCAAGATCTTTATAATTTATTGCAGTAGTCATAAAGGAGAGTTACATAGACTATACTGGGAATCACAATACCTTTATTTTTCAAGAGCTTTATGGTGGCATTAATCTCTGAAATTTCCCCTGGAATGTGGTATTGCTTTGTTAATAACTTGGAGAGTGGGCATTCCAAAGTCTTTCCTACTAAAATCACATTCATTACACACCAGGAAGCTAATGTGAGAACTCTGCATGTTACTAAGCATAACTAGTCCCAATTACATTCTAGGATCAGAAACTTACCTCAAGGTGTGTGTACAAACCATAGGAGCCAGTATGAGTTGAATTCAAGTTAAGACTGTATTTCACTTCTATGAACTATGGCACACACTCTCAATGATAGGCCACACTGACTTTCTGGGGACCTAGAAATTAGCATGTGAATATTTTCCTTTCCAGTGCACAGTAACTCTGGCAGATAGCAACAAGCCCTTCTGGGGAAGGTATAGAGTTGCAGTGTGTATGTACAGCTGTCAGTCAGGGTCGTCCTTCAAAACAAACGAGCTTCTCCGTCAATCATAGAACTTCAGTTATGTGAACTGTCCTTAGGTTTAGGAACTGGGCAAAAAAAATCTAAAAATCCCTATAGAGCAACTCATGTCACGTTTCTGCCTAGTAGACTTAGAGTATTTCTACTTAGAAAGACTCTAATCAAAGATGCTTTAATTCTTAAGGAATTTATGATCAACTAACCACACCACAGGTATGTAGGTCAAAATAGTAATTGTTGAGAGAACACATATGTCCTACAACCCCCACCCACCATAACAAGTGTAGAATAAGAACCACAGTGGGGTATAACTCAGAGAGCAGCAAGAGGCAGACTCTTTGGGAAGCAGCACAAAGGGAAGACCCCAGTGCAGTGGTGAGACAAGCCAGGCATCTTTTGAATAAGCTGAATCTGAGCTTTCGCATGCACTGTGGGTAACCCCGGCAACAACAAACTCCAAACCCAGCCCAATCTATAAGGTCACTAATGCAAAACCCATTGTATACATGGGCCTAGGAGAAGAAGATGCAGAAAATGCATTTAGGGAAATCCAACACCCATTCATGCTTGTCTCAAAGCATGAAAACTATTTACTCAATATCTAATTTCTTTTTTTTTGAGACGGAGTCTCGCTCTGTCGCCCAGGCTGGAGTGCAGTGGCGCGATCTCGGCTCACTGCAAGCTCCGCCTCCCGGGTTCATGCCATTCTCCTGCCTCAGCCTAATATCTAATTTCTTACAAATATATCTGACTTTCAAAAGAAAAATTGTAGAACAAACAAAAAGGCAAGAAAAAGCATAGTTTGAAGAAGCAAAGCAATCAGAACCAAACCCAGGTATGACACAAATGTAGGCACTATCATACAGGGAAGTTAAAATAACCAAACACACCTAAGGATGTGAAGAATGCCATCCATAGGTTCTTCATTACACTCCACACAGCTGAACAAAGAATTGGGGCGCTTAGAAAGGTACAAAGTACAATAAAAATGGCCTAAACTAAAAGGCAAGAAGAAAAAAAAGAAGAAGAAAAAAAAAACCTCCACAAAGCAAAAGAGCTGTGTATTTATTAATATATAAGTAATCAGAAAATCCAGAAAGAAATAAAAGACATTAGAGAAGAAATAATTGAAGTAATAATGGTTGAAAATTTTCCAAAATCATGCAAACCAGAAAGAATGGAGTAACACAGGTAAAATGCTGAAAGATTTTAAAAAACCTGCCAACTCAGAAATATAAGTATATTCTGGTATTATCCTTTAAGAATGAAAAACTATGAAATGACTTAACAATAGAATTTAAGTTACATAAGGCTAAAAACTGGTAGATTTGAAAGCAGGAATAGACAAATCTATAATTATAGTTAGAGACTTCAATACTTCTTTTTCAGTAATTGCTATTACAGTACAAGCAGGCAAAAAATAGTAATGTTAGATGACCAAAAACATTCATAACCCACCTAACCGAACTGATGTGTAAAGCAACCCCAATAACAGCAGGAAAAACATGAAACGTTCACTAAGATACACCATGTTCCAGATCAGTACAAAAACAATTAAAAGCATATTTTTAAAAATTAAAAATAAATCTGAAAGAATAAAAATCATAAAAAGTCTGTGTACCATATAAAATAAAATAAAAAGCAATAACAGAAGATATCTGAAAAATTCTCAAATATTTGGAAACGTAAAAACTCTTATCAATAACTCATTGCTCAAAAGGAAATCTCAGGAGAAATTTTAAAATATTTTGAACTAGAAGAGAATGAACAGAAAAACCTTCAACAAAATATTAGTAAGTTGGACTTAACAACGTGTAAAACAAATTATATGTCATGACCAAGTGGTATTTATTCCAGGTATGCAATCCAAAATATCATATGATTGTATCAAGAGATGCAGAAAATGCATTTAGGGAAATCCAATACCCATTCATGACAAGAACAACAAAGTAGAAATATTGAGGAAATTTCTCAAATTGATAAAATACATCTAAAAAATTCTACAGTTAACATCACTCTTAATGGTAAGAATATATAGATGCTTTACTATTAAGACCAGAAAAAAAGAAAGAATGTCTCCTCTAATCACTCCTATTCAACATAGTACTGCAAGTCCTAGCTAATGCATTAAGACAAGAAAAGGAAATGGAAGGTAGGTATATGTAAAGGAAGAAATAAAACTTTGTTCACAGATAACATGATTGTCTACATAGAAAAATCTCACAAAATCAACAATAACAGAACCCCTGAAACTAAGTGATTAAAGCAAGATTGCAAGTTATAAGGTTAATATGCGAAGTCAATTGCTTTCTTATATACCAGCAATGAACAATTGAAATTTGAAATTAAAAATACATTATCACTTACATTGACATTAAGATGTAAGTATAAATCTAACAAAAAAGTACCAGATTTATCAAAATATGTGCAAAATCTATATAAGGAAAACTATAAAACTGTGATGAAACAAATCAAAGAAGATTTAAATATACAGAATGATATTCCATGTATACGGAATATTATCAAGATGTCAGTTTCTCCCAACTAAATATAGAGATTCAATGCAATCCCAGTAATATTTCCAGCAAGTTATTTTGTAGATATCAACATACTAATTCTAAAGTTTTGTATAAAAGCAAAAAACCGGAATAGCCAACACAATATTGAAAGAGAAAAACAGTCAGCAGACTGACACTACCTGATTTAAAGAGTAACTATAAAGCCACAGTAATCAAGACAAGGAAAGAATGGCTAGATTATGAAACATAACAGAGAGCCCAGAAAAGGCTCACATAAATATAGACAACTGATTTTTTTGACAAAGGAGCAAAAAAGCATTTCAATAGAGAAAGCATAGTCTTCTCAACAAATGGTGCTGGAAGAAATAGACATCCACAAACAACAGCAACAACAACATAATCTACACACAGACCTCACACTTTTCTCTAAAAGTAACTTAGATCAGGGATCTAAATGTAAAAAACAGAACAATGCAACCTGTAGAAGACAGAATAAGAGAAAATCTAGGTGACCTTAAATTTGGTGATGACTTTTTAGATACATTGCCAAGAGGGCAATCTATGAAAGCAAAATTTTATGGATTTTATTAAAATTAAAAAAGAGTTGGACTTTATTAGAATTAAAAACTGTTGCTCAGTAAAAGACACTGTCAAGAAAATAAAATGAGAAGCCACAGACTTGGAGAAAATATTTGCAGATCTGATAAAGGACTTGCATCCAGAATACACAAAGAACTGTTAAAACTCAACAATAAGAAAACAAAGCAATTTGAAAAAACAGGCAAAAGATATGAACAGCTCACCAAATAAGCATATGAAAAGATTCTTAACATCATATGTCATTCGAAAATTGTAAATTAAAGCAACAGTAAGCTATTCCTATACATCTATTAAAATGGTTAAAATCCAAAACACTGACAACATCAAATGCTGGCAAGGATAAGGGGCAGCAGGCATTCTCATTCATTGTTGGTAATACAAACGGTCACTTCCCACACAGCCAGTTGGGAAGAGAGTTTGGCAGTTTCTTACAAAATTAAACATATGCTTACCATATGATCCAGCTATTATAGCCCTTGGTATTTACCAAAATGAGTTGAAAACTTCTGTCCATACAAAAACCTGCACACAAATATTTTAGCAGTTTTATTCATAATTACCGAAAGTTGAAAGCAACCAAGATGTCCTTCAATAGGTGAATGGATAAAGGATAAACTGTGGTGCATCCATATACTGAATTATTATTCAGTGAAAAAAGTAAAAAAGTATTATTCAGTGATAAAAAGTTTGAGCCATCAAGCTGTAAAAATACATAAAGGAAACTTAAATGCATATTGCTAAGTAAAAGAAGCCAATTGGAAAAGACTTCATACTACATGATTCCAACTACCTGATATTCTGGAAAAGGCAAAACTACAGACACCGTGAATAGTTCAGTCATTGCCAGGGATTTGGGAGAAGGAAAGGACAGATAAACAGTTACAGCACAGAAATTTTTAGGGCAGTAAAATTCTTTTATAGGATACAGTAATGGTGAATACAAATCATGATAAGTTTGTCAAAACCCGTAGAATATACAATAAAAAGAATAAATCCTAATGTAAATTATGAACTTTAGTTAAAATAATGTATATATTGGCTTATCAACTGTAACAAAAGTACCACCCTAATCCAAGATGTTAATACTAGGGTAAACTGGCCGGGCGTGCTGGCTCACGCCTGTAATCCCAGCACTTTGGGAGGCCGAGGTGGGCGGATTACCTGAGGTCGGGAGTTCGAGAGCAGCCTGACCAACATGAAGAAATCCTGTCTCTACTAAAAATATAAAATTAGCCAAGCATGGTAGCAGATGCCTGTAATCTCAGCTACTTGGGAGGCTGAGGCAGGAGAATTGCTTGAACCCGGGAGGCAGAGGTTGCAGCGAGCCGAGATCACGCCATTGCACTGCTGCCTGGGCAAAAGAGCGAAACTCCATGTCAAACAAACAAACAAACAAACAAACAAAAAAGCTAGGGTAAACCGTGTGTGCGTGTGTTTGGGTGAATAATAGGTATAGATAGAACTCTCTGTGCTATATGCTTAATTTTTCTGTAAGCCCAAAGCTGCTCTTAAAAAGTGTATTAATTTAAAAAATGAAAAGAGAATGAAAATAAAACATATCAAAATTTGGGGGAATACAACTAAATGCGTGCTTAGAGGGAAATTTATAACATTAAAGCCTTATATTAGAAAGAAAGATTTAAATTTATTAACCTAATATTCTACTTAGGAAAACTAGAAACTAGAGAAAAGAATAAAATTAAAACTAAAACAAGCAGAAAGAATAAAATAGAATAAATTAGAGCAGGTTGATATAATTAATAACAGAAAACAGAAAAACAACAGAGGAAACAAATCTTGTTCTTAAAACAGGATCAATACAATTGCCATAGCTGTAGTGAGGATCATAAAGAAAACAAGAAAACCTAGATTATTAATATTATGACTCAAACAGGAAGCATCATTGCTGATCCCACAGACATTACAAAATAATAACAGAATCCACAAAGCATCATTATGCCCATAATTTTGGAAACTTATGTGATATAGACCAATTCCGTGGAAGATTAAAATTATCAAAACTCATTAAAAAAAGAAATAGATAACCAGTAGTCCTATATCTATTAAAGGCATTAAATTTGCAGGTAAAAACTTTTCAATGAAGAAAATTCTAAATAAATTTTGCTCAGTAAAAGAAGCAAGACCAAATGGCTATATAAATACATGTATATAACCTTACCAAAAAGGAAAAAGCGAAATCATTATATCAGAAAACAGACTGGTGGCTTCCAGGGGCTGGCACAGGTGGGGTTCACCTGCAGTTTCCTCAGAGCCACTCTGTGTACTCAGAGAAGAGGTGGTCAGGTAGGCAGGGGAGTCAAAAGCAAGTAGTGGCTAACTTTCTGGGGACCTCAACAAATTCTCTTTCAAGTGGGCTTTGACCTTGGATATGCTCCTTAACATCTCTGAACTGCAATTTTCTCATCCCTTCAATCTCCCACTCTAGAAGATGAAAGTCAAGGAAAGTGGCCGCAACAAAAGGTTGAAGAAAGTGCCCAGCCCGGGCTGGGCAGAGATGACAGGTGGTAGTGCCATGTCAGAGGGGAAGGCACCCCTCCAGGACAGAGGGCCTAGGGATGCTGCACAGAGAAGGAGGGCTTTGAACAAAATACAAATAAAACCTGGTTACTAGGAATTAATTGGCATCAGGAATCAGGAGCTGGGAACCCGGTTCTGCACAGCTAAGCTTCACTAGGCCACTTCCCCATTCTGGCTGTTGGTGCAAGTGTGTGGCCACATAGTCTCCAATTTCCCTCCAGTCCAGCACTTTATGTGTGTGTCTTAAACAAGCCCAGTTGGATGTACTGTGGGAGCCACACTTTTTTAGTTCCCCTTTCTGTCCAATAGCTTCTCCAGCATTGCCAACGACACAGACAACATGCTTCGCAGCAGAGAGGATGCTCTGCTTCTCACTGCTGTCACTTGTTTTCCATTGTGCCCTCATTTTTATCTTGCTTTATGTCCCATGGAGCTGAGTCAGTCACACCCATTCTCCTTTTACTCAGAATCATCAACCAGATAGAGGGTCAAAGAATGCAAGCTTTGACTCTGATCTGTTTTAAATCTTTAAAACAAAACAGTGAAGTGGCCTGTTAGATGCTGTAGTCAGTCCCAGCAGTAGAACATATTAATAGAAATAAGGTCTCTAGAGAGTTGCTGTTTTAATCTGAAATCAGTGCCGCTCACCCATCTACCACCTGAACCCTGTGATTCAAGCACGTGCTGAGTCAGTAGGACCACCTCTCAGTGCAGCTGGCTGGTCCAGATAGTAACGTCAACACTCTTAGAAATGCAGGAATCCCTTTTCTAGCTTCAGAATTTATTTCCTGACGTTCTAGGGCAGACATAAGATGATGTTTACCACTCAGTTATTTTGCTGTTACTAAGTGTGTAAGATTTTTTTAAAATCAAGTTTCATATTTTATTGGTATTTTTTCTTTTATTTTCAGTTGACACATAATAATTGCACATATTTATGGGATATGGAGTGACATTTCTATATGTATATAAAATAGATCAAATTGGGGTAATTAGCATATCTATTACATCAAATATTTATTATTTCTTTGTGTTAGGAACATTCAAAATCTTCTAGCTTTTAGAAAACATAAAGTATTCTTAACTATATTCACCCTCAGTGCTATAGAGAATTAGAACCTATTTTTACTATCTAACTATAATTTTGCTAAGTTAGTGAGATTTTGATATACATATATATATATATATATATATATATATATATATTGGAAGAATCAGTTTATCCAAAACAAAGTAAAATCTCAAAGGCTTACCTAAGAGGAGTCCTAGGATTCAGGAGTGCACAGTGCCCTCGGTTCTCACTTGATGGGCCGTCCACCTCCCTGAGACCCTCTCATGGCCTCAGGGGATTCTCCCGATGGCGGGGAGGGCTGCTGGGAAGCTGCTTCCCACCACGGCTGTGTTCCCATGGGGCTTACTCAGGCACGGTCAGGCCCACACTGTCATCAACACTTAGCTTTCTCTCTCACCCACATCAAGTGATTTTATGAGGCACGAGTTACCAGCATCTCCATGTTACAGATAAGAAAACAAGGGTCCTGGTGTTAAATGACTTTCCCAGATCACAAGTGGATGGGGGTGGCTCTGGGGCCCAGAAGCAGGCAGGGTCTGACTCCCTAGGCCAAAGCTGAGCCTGCAAGCCATCCACGTGCAGTCCCACGGGCCCCAGAACTCAATGCTCAGCCTGTTATCTCCCACACCTGTGACTCTGCCTTTTGATTCTTTTCTTCTCTGACAAGTGCCAGATGGTTCCACCTAAACCAGGCACTCAGGATCATTCTTCATTGCCTCCTCACCCTCACTCTTTTCCAATCTAGGAATGAGCCAGTTCTGCTGAGTTTACTTCCTTAATACTAACCCCTACACTAGTTGCCTTCTTCAGGTTGCGTTTAAATAGTGTTGATCACAGATTCTGGATTAAGCACATCTAGGTTTGATTCCTAGATAAGCTTCTGAATAGCTGTGTGACCTTGGGCTAGGTACTTAACTGCTCTGTGTTTCAATTTCCTCACCTTTAAAATGGAGTAATAATACCAGCTAACTGTATAAGATTGTGTGAAGATTAATTCATGGACATGTTTTGAGATGGAGTCTCGCTCTGTCACCAGGCTGGAGTGCAGTGGTGCTATCTCAGCTCACGGCAACCTCCACCTCCCAGGTTCAAGCGATTCTCCTTCCTCAGCCTCCCAAATAGCTGAGACTACAGGCACGTGCCACCACACCCAGCTAATTTTTGTATTTTTTAGTAAAGATGGGGTTTCACCATGTTGGCCAGGATGGTCTTGATCTCTGCCCATCTCAGCCTCCCAAAGTGTTGGGATTACAGGCGTGAGCCACCGAGGCCAGCCAATACATGCACATTTTTTTGAAGAGTACATGCAAAAAGTGAGTGCTTATGTTTGCTGCTGTTTACTGCATGGTGGTGCCTGACTTTTGGAGGGTGTACTTTGTTAAATGAGGGTGCCACATTTCCAAAGATGCTTATAGGCAGGCGGTTCAAGAACATGGGGACATGTTGGTCATAACCCTCGTGGATATGGCAGCAGGAGGCCGCATAGACATAGACCAAGTGGGAAAAGCAGACCAGGGAAGTACAAGAGCTGGAGGTAATTGCCTGGAAATAAAGGCTGGAGCCAGAGGAAGACCCAGCCCAGCAGATACATGTAGCCCTAGAAGAGAAGATGGATTCAACTCAGAGGCCCCTAGCCAGGAGTGCTCACCAGCCATTATATGCTTCAGCTTTTCCAATGAACAATGGGAAAGTTCCTTTAACTCTCAAAATAAGTGCTACCTTCTAGGCTCCAGAGTAAGCCGGGCACATTCCCTCCTCCCTGCAGTGCCCCTAAGAAGCAGCAGCGAGTTTCTAAAGGGACATCAGCTCCATGTTCTGAAGACTGGTTGTCTTTTTTGAGACGGGTAGCTGGCCCCAACTAAGGTATCAGGAGCCCGGGCAAGTACTTCCACATGGGGCCCTGACTCAGCAAGACACCAATGTTGAAGAACAGAACAGACAGGAAGGGGCTAGGGAAAAGTGTGTCACTTGGAAGGCAAGCAGGGGCTGGGATCATTATGCCCACCTCCATGATGCATCTTGACCTCGCCAGGATGAGCTCTGGAGTCGGGGTCTTCCCCTCTCCACACTCCCACCCCACCAGTGGCTCTCAGGCTGGCCATTCCACTTGTCCCACTCCACAGATAGCCATGGGCTCACAGCCTAGCATGGCCATGCCACCACAGAAGGACCCGCTCCCACCTAGGATTCATGCCATGTAAACAATGACCTTCCGTAATCTCATGTGTGTGACACTTTGGTGTAGTAAAGCCAAGTCTGCCCTTTATACAGAGGAGGGAAGTCAAAGGGAAGCTGAAGGGTAGGGCTGCCAAGGGGATACTCCACAGGCATCCACTTTGGCTGCCAGGGGCTCCTAGGGAAAGAGCTGGTTGATTGACATCCAGATTTGCTGAGCCCATGCTTAGAGTGAGAATTTTTTTTAAAAGATTGGAAAATAGAAGAGAAAATCTGGAAAGAGAAAGCACCATGAATTCCCTCTTTCTATCTTTATCAACAAATAGTAGAGAGAAGGGCAATTTTTTAAGCACCTATTAAAACTTTAAAAAGGATAATATTCACAAGATGTAAGCACCCTAACTTGGGGAACTTGGTTTCCTTCACTGTTGTTTACGACTATGATCTCCAGAATCCAGAACAGTATATTCAAAACATCTCTCTTCAAAGTGTTTGTGGAATGGACTTAAGACTCAGCAATTCTACTTCTCAGGATTTGGTTGCCATTTTCCGCCTTTGCTATGGTATTGAGGGACCCCACGATTCCAGTGTGTTACGGCAGTAACTGCCTCTTTCTCAGCCATTCCGTGCGGGGGCTGCAGGTCGGCTCTGGTCAGCCTTGGGTGTGTTCTTGCTCTGAGACCCAAGCTGGAGGAAGCAGCTCTAATCTCAGATATGAGATAGATATGATAAGGTAGATTTTTGTGGAATGAACAAATCCCCCCCAAATATCCTATTGGATGAAAAAACACATTGCCAAATAATATGTTTTGAAAAAGAAAAAGTACACAGCACTGCCTTTAGCAGGTGCATGTATGTCTATCCATGCCCCTATGAAGGATGGCAAAATATTACCAACCTGATGGCAGGTACTAGCCAGGAAGAGGAAAGCTCCAATAAATGCTGGGCTGGAGCTGCTATTCTTCCAATGTGAGATGGTTGGCTTAAACTGTTCTGCCCAAGAAGAGAAGGAAAATGAAAATCTGACATAGCTCCAACTTCTTGGACACTCTTTCTTCATCTGGTAAGGCAAAAAGGGCAATTTTTAAAATGCCAGATGGCTTTGCTTATCAAATGCAACTCATGTGCTAACAAGTTCCTTTTAAAAGTGAACCTGAAACCACGGGCTAAATTTGGTTTAATGACACATTAAGATTTCTGGCAATGGTTTGTTCTGTGTGGGAAGAAACTCCAGGGAGCCAGGCCTTGATTTGACCCTGAGAGGTTGTGCGGATGACATAAGTCACTCCATGTTGTTTCGTGGACCCTAGTGGGGTTTCTCAACCACGGAGCTCCCAGACAATGATCTGTTCTCATTCTGGTAATTTTGATTATAAGGAAAAAAGAGCACATAACTCTTTTGATCCTAAGTGAACTCTTGCTGAACCTGACAGATGTTCAAGCTTTTCATTTTCTCCTCAAGCAAGGCTTAATGGAGATTTTGTTACCAGGGTAATCACCATTACTCTGTTTGCTCTATTAATCTAGGCTCTCTAAATGTTGACTGTAGATATATAAATATGGCCTAAGTATCCATTTTTCCACGGACTTATCAGCTTGGGTTTTCATTTTGCAGTTTTACTCTAATATTAGTCCCTAATTAAACAACAACAACAAAACCTTCAACTGCCTTTGCTCTAAATCACAAACTGGAAAAAAGGAATTTCACTTGTTCTTTGGATTGCATCAACACCAGCACATTGCTCTATCTAGAAACGCCTCAAGATGTCTGGGCTTTGGAATCACACAGACCCCAGTCTCCGTTGGTTGTTCATCCACTTCCTAGCAGGGCAAAAAATCACTTGACTTTTGGGAGCCTACATTTCTCCCCCTGTGGAGTGGAGGCAATGACCCAGACAGGGTAGTCTGATTAAATAACTAAATAAGGTAGAGGATTAAATAAGATACTGGATGTGTGAAAAGTACTAGAGCTGCTATCTGGAATATAAGGCATGTTGTATGAATGTTTGTTTCTCAAATTCTGATTCCGATTGTTTATGGGAAGATGAGAAATGACCTGCTGTCATAGATTGAATTGCCGTGGGTGAAACTACTCTTTCTGAGATGCCTCAGAGTGGATGCAGGAGCACACCTCCAAGAGTGAGTACAGTAATAGTGCTCTATGTGGGAGGGGTCAGCCCCACACTATTCTACACACTGATGGCCTCACTTTGGCCACCGTGGACCTCAGAGCAGGCACTCACCCCTGCTACTGAGCTGTGAGTGTTGCCCAGGCCCTGGACTGCTGGCTGCGGTTGGGAAGGAATATTGGACATACTTCCACCCTCAACAAGGGGAATTCTATTTCCTGTTTTACACTTAACATCACGTGAACTTAGCTATCCATTTTACCTTTTGGGGTCTCAATTTTCTCATCTGAAAAATTATGGGAGTAAATTAGATCATCCCTGGGATTCCCTCCAGGACACACACAGACAAATCCTGACTCTGAAGTTCTAATCTGGTGATGATAGAAATAACACAGCTAGCTGGCAGGTACAGTGGACCTGGACAGCCGCTTGCCCACAGTGGACTCTCACACTTCCTGAGGCTGTTCTTTTCTGAGATCTCACTCTCAGGAAGTCATAGCTGCTTTACTGATCCCCACGCACCATCAACAGACACTTCTTTACTGCATTAAAAAAAATGTGATGAGTTACCCCATGCATGAGGTCTACCCTGTTAGGAATACCCTATGAGATGAACCTGCAAGGAATGGCAGATCCACTGTGCTTCACAGTTGAATGACCTACATGCTTGGCTAACTCTAGACAGAGCAGTGGTATTATATGACCTACTTGTCTAAGATCAAACAGAAAAGAGCACCGATATTTAAGCATCCACAATGAACCATGTGCCATATTGGAAGCTTCATAATCATGTTGATGTCAGTGTAGTTAAAAATAAATAAATAAAACCAAACGAACAGGGGTCTCATATATTTTGAAGTCAGTAGACTTACGTCCAAGGTTATTAACTGTCAGTTTGGATAAGCTATTCATTTTCCTGGGACTCCAGTTTCTCATCAGGAAAGGAAGAATAACTCTACCTGCCTGACAAAGGTTTGTGTGGATCAGAACTATCTGTAAATAAGGTAAAACTTATTTACATTTTTACAGCACACGACTGAATGCGACACAGAACACACAGGATGCCGTATCTTCACATCCCTGCACTCCACTCCTCATGTGATATTCAGCAAGAGGCTTAATCTCTCAAAGTCCATTCCTCATGTTTGAAAAAATTATCAGCAGCATATACGTCTCAGGGCTGATGTGAAGTGCTCTTGGCAGAGTCCTGGCAAAGCGTGCTCCTCGGTGTTACGCATTCACGTCTCCCCTACACATTCTATCAAGTGTGACAGTGTTACATCAGTGGGATCTATGTCAGCTAACTCATACTCTCCAGATAATTTTTGTTCAATTCAGTTTTTGAAATGGACCAAAAGCTGGAAGACATTCTGTGATTTTCTGAGGTGGTGCTAGGAGTTACAAATGCCCTCTCCTACTCTGCTGACATTTCTTGCTCAGTAGGAAAAATACTGCACATGTTTTTCTAGGCTGAAAAACAGCAAACTTAGATTTGCTGCTAATTCTACTAGGCAGTGTGCAGTAGGTCTCATTTGCCACACACGGGGCCAGGTTTCAGAGAGAACAATGAAAAGCAAGGTGTATGACACAATGAAATCTAAATAGAAAGTTGCATTTCAAAGTCGATTTTGAGATGGAAGGACTCTTTAAAGAACAGGTGGGATTTTTTTTTCATATTTCTATGAGTTTTTCCTCTGAGAGTAAAAGGCAGGCAGCTTCTAAGCGGCTTTTCTTTCCATGTTGAGTGCTATTTTTACCCTATTTTTCTAGTACTCAGTCCTGCCGTCTCTTCCCCCGTTTTCTTCACGCTTTTTGGGCTGCATATCATTTCACTTCTGCATTTGGAACGCGTCCTCAGGAGGCTCTGATTCTCACAGCTGCTTTTCAACCCAGGCTCTGCTTTTTCACCTTTGGCTGTCTGCTTCAGACTTAACTTTTCATCTGCATCTACTTGACTCTTTAATTGAATACATTTCAATGAAAATAGCTGGCTCTCTTTAATTGAATACATTTCATTTTGAAATGCTGTTTTCTACTTCTCTTCTGTGGATGAGAAAAGCCAAATGCTTGGGCTGTATTCCCCTAAGGTTAGAGTGAGAGTTAGGGTGAGGGTCTCACATCTTGGCTCCTGTGAGATGCTTCCTGTGGGGTCTACTTAAGAACAAGGTGGCTTAGAGATGGAAAGGAGAGGAGGACGGGCAGACACCTTACATGCTGGGCCTAATATCAAGATGTTTTGGTTAATCTTTCTTTACCAGCTTTTCTTTTGATGTTATCTCCTGTTGACGAGTAAACAGGAAAGAGTGATGTGTGAATTTGTGTTCCCTAAAATGCAAAGATGGCGGCAAAAGCTATGGATTACTATATAGAATGGGCCATCCCAAGACAGTGTGAGGTCAAACGAAGCAACACAGGTGAGGAGGGAGCTTGATCCAACCAGCCACCTGGTGTGATCAGTACTCGACCCCTCCACCTCGTGTGCCCATCTCCTGAGAGACTGTATGAACGTCCATGTCTCAGGATGGCCCAAACAGTGGAAGGAAGGAAGAAGAATGTGCCCACTGACCCCCATCTCCCATCGGTCACAGGATCTTCCAGTGACACTTTTTTGCTGCTGCCTTGCCAGGTTGCACAGAAATGGGCATAGAGCATGTCCTGTGGCAGCTTATGCTTCAGTGTTGACTGGAAAACCCACAACAGGGGATATAAAGAGACTAGTGTGGGCACAGGGCAGGGTGCCATTGGGTTACATGCACATGAAGTTGATCACCCCTGAGACAAGTGGGCTAGAGCAGTGGGGAGGAGAGCTGGAGGCAGAGGGGCCAAGAGGATGCACAGTAGCACAGCTGACTAGGTTGCAAGATCTGGGCAGTTTTTGAGGGAGAATATAAATCACAGAGAGGAATAGTCTCTTCAAACCAACAATCTGGCTATGATACAACCAAAGCCAAGACTCAGTATATTGGCAACCAAACATAAGCTGCACAGCAGTGCCTCCCTAATAAACAAAGTGCTCTTAAAAATCATAACCAGATGCCGTACATTGATTTGCATCATAGTTCCTGAAAACAGAGCAGGAGGTTGGGCTAATTGTGGATGTTCCACCTGATGACCTCATAGGCTTAGGATAATGAGACAGAACTATAAAACATAAGCCCTTGGACGGCAGGGACTTCTTGTTCTCCTCTGTGCATGACAGTTTCTCAGCCTGCTATACAGGAGGCACTTAATACATATTTTTTCAATGACTAAATAACTAAAATGAGCAAATAATGCATATTAATGCATGTAATAGAATACTGGCTCCTTCAGCCATTTCTGTGGAAAGACCCTGGACTTCTCTTGCTGGGTCAGAAGAAATGAAAACTTGCTGATCAGAAAGAAGCTAAACAGAGCACCAGGAGACCTGGAAACTGGCATACCCCACCTTGGCCAGCTTGGGAAGGACGACTCCTAAATTATAGGATGCAGGAGTAATGTCCTTAGGGGCCTGCGGAGCAGCAATTCTTCACGGTTATACAAACATTTTCAACCAACTGGACCTAACTAATATTTGTAGGATGCTCCACACACTGAGTGCAGAAAACCAAACCTCGAGAAAGCAAAAAGAATCGACATCATACAAAATACATCTCAGACCATAAGAAATCAATCTAGAAGAATATCTGAAAACTCCTCCTGAAATACTTAAATAACACACTTCTAAATACTCAAAGGTCAAAGAAGAAGTCTCAAGGGAAATTTTTTAAAAGAATGAAGTCAAGGGAAATGGAAAGACAACATTTCAACATTTGTGGGAGATACCTAAAGCATTGCTTAGGAGGAAATTTACAGTGTTAAGTGGATACAACAGAAAATAACAAAGTTCTGAAATCAGTTATCTAAATATCTATCTTAAGAAACTAGAAGGAAAAGAAAGCAAATGAAACCTAAAGCAAACAGAAGGAAGTAAATTATAAATGTGAGAACAGAAACCAGTGATGGAAAAAACAGAAAATGCAGAAAACTGATGAAAAGAAAAGTTGGTTCTTTGAAAAGATTTTTAAATATTGATAAACCTCTAGATAGACTGACAGAGAAAAAAAGAGAAAACACAGACTACCAATATCAGAAATGATAAAAAGGGGCATCAATACTGACCCTACAGACATTATTAAGGGACAATGAGTAATATTACTAACAACTCTATGGCCATAAATTCAAGAAAACAGCTGAAATGGACTAATTCCTTAAAAGACAAAAATCTATCAAAATTTACTAAAAAAGACTATATGAATAGTGTGCTATCTTTAGTTTCTTAAAATTGAATTTGCAGTTAAAAATGCTTCCCCCACCCCATAATAAAAAGAAAAAGAAAACTGCAGGTTTGTATTGTTTTGCTAGTAAATTCTTCCAAAATTTTCAGAAAGAAATGACATGAATTCCACACAATATTTTCCCAGAAAGTAGAAAACATTTCCCAACCTGTTCTAGAAGGCTAGTTTTATAGTAATACTGAGACCAGACAGGGAAAGTCACAAGCAGAAAAAACTAAAGACCAATATCCCTCACGAACATACATGCAAGAATTTTCAACAGAAAAGCAGCAAATCAAATACAGAAATATATAAAAATGATAATATGTCACCAGTAATTAGGGCTTATGCCAAAATGTAAGGCTGGTTCAATATTTTAAATTCAATCAATATAATTCACTATGTTAACCAAATAATTAGAAAAAAAGCATATGATCATCCTTAATTAATGGAGAAAAAGGATTCAAAAATTCAATATCCATTCATGATGAAACCTCTGAGCAAACAAAATTAAACAAAACTCACTTAACTTAATAAAGCTCATCCACCAGAATACCTTCATCTAACATCATGCTTAATAGTAAAAGACATGACATCATTCCCCACTCCTCAGAATCAGGAACAGTGTTGTCCTGAAAGTCCGAGCCAAGAAAGAAAAAGGAAGGAAGGCAGGAAGAAAAAGAAATAAAATAGCCATATTCACAGGCAGCATGATTGTACGTGGAGGATTCACAAGAATCTAAGCAAAATCTATTAGAACTAATAAGTTAGTTAGCAAGTTTACAGGATAGAAGGCGAATGTACAAGTCATTTATATTCCTACTTAGCAGTGAACAACTGAGACTTGAAATGATAAAAACAAAACCATTTCTAACCACACCACAACTACCGAACCAAAGAGAACCTGTGCAGGATCTGTAGGCTGGAAACTGCAGAACACTGTCGAAATAAATTTTTTTTTATGTTTTAAATGAACAGATATACCATATTTATGAATCACGAAACTCAGTGTTGTGAAGATGCTAATTCTTCGCTACTTGATTTATAGATTCATCACAGTCATAAAATCTCAGTAAGCTTTTTTCATATATTGACAATCGAATGTTAAAATGTATATGGAAAGTCAAAGAAATTAGAATAGCCCAAAAAATCTGAACAGGAGGAACAAAGTGGGAGGATTCAGATTACCCACAGGGTTTATGAAGAATGATAAACACAGATCAATGGAACATAGTCCAGAAACAGAACCACACAAATAGAGTCTGCTGATTTTTGACAAAGGTGCTAAGGCAATACTATGGAGAAAGGACTATCTTATCAATAAACGGTGCTGAAACAATTGCAGATTTGCATGCAAAAAAGGGAAATAGCACCTATCTCACAACTTAAACACTTTACATTATCAGTGTAAATTTTAAATTATTAAATTTTAAATATAAATATGATATAAATTTTAAATTATAAATGTAAAATATAACTTTCAATGTAAAATTAAATTTCACATTTAAAATAATATGTGACATTTTAAATGATACCATTTTAAATTATAAAACAGCTATAAGAATACATAGGAGAAAATCAGATACAATAACAAAAGTGTGATTTATAAAAGAAATAAACTGAAAAGTTGTCCTTTGTCAAGATTAGAATCTTGGCTGGGCGCGGTGGCTCATGCCTGTAATCCCAGCACTTTGGGAGGCCAAGGCAGGTGGATCACGAGGTCAGGAGATCGAGACCATCCTGGCTAATATGGTGAAACCCCGTCTCTACTAAAAATACAAAAAATTAGCCAGGTGTGGTGGCGGGTGCCTGTAGTTCCAGCTACTTGGGAGTCCGAGGCAGGAGAATGGTGTGAACCTGGGAGGTGGAGCTTGCAGTGAGCCGAGATCGCACCATTGCACTCCAGCCTGGGTGACAAGGCGAGACTCCATCTCAAAAAAACAAAACGAAACAAAACAAAAAACATTAGAATCTTACCTCTGAAAAAGAGATTGTCAAAAAAATGAAAAGACAAACTGAGAGAATATATTTTAAAAGTCACATATGTGGTAAAGGACTTGTGTCTAGAATACACAAAAACTCTTAACATTCAATAATAAGAGAGTATACAATTTTAAAAATTGGGCAAAATATTCAACCATACACTTCACCAAATAAAATATAAGGGCCACAGATAAGCATATGAAAGATGATTGTCTGACGGCATTGGCAATATTGGTCAAGACCACAGTGACTTACCACTACACAACTATTAAGATGGCAAAACCAACAAACAAGGACAATACCAAATCTTTGCCATGATGAAGAGCACCAGAAATCTCATTCATTACTGGTGGAAATGCAAAATTATACCACCACTTTGGAAAAACAGCTTGTTATATAATTAAACACACACTTACCATAATAACCAAGCAATCCTACTCCTAGGTATACACCAAAGTAAATTGAAAAGCTATACTCACACAAAACCTGTACATGAATGTTTATAGCAGCTTTTTCATAAGAGCCCCAAACTGTAAGTAAGCAAGATGCTCTTTAACCTGTAATGGATAAACAAACTCTGGCACATCCATACAACGGAATATTACTCAGCAGTTACCTAAGAGTGGACTGTTGTGCTCCAGCACATAGATGAATCTTACATGCATTTTGCTAAGTGAAAGAAGCCAGATTCCAACTCTCTCCCCGTACCCCACCATGGCCCATTCTCAATCAGCATCTCTGGGTTGGAGCATGGGGGTTCACAATTTTTAACAAGTTCTAAGATGATGCTGATGACACTGACTTGCAGACCACATGTCCTAGTGTGTATCCACCCCTGGCCTTATCAGTTGACAGTGTTGGTTGCCAGATCAATAAGGAAATGAACCAGATTGCGGAAAGACGGGAAAGCTCATGAGAATGGGAACAGGAGAAGTAACTGCAAACAGTTGAACATGCTAAACACTTCAATTACAATATGCTTTATCTTTTGGTGTGCTTATCTGTCTCTGAGCAGACAGCAGTGTGAGGAAAATGTTTTCTGCAGTTTCATATTCTCCTGGCTTAGTACAATCATAGTCAGACAGTAGGGGCTAAATATGCATGTTAGCACCTGTGAATGAAGTTACTAAATTGGAGATCTCTTTCTTCACAAGCTCTCTATATATAACCTTAGGAAATTTACCCAACTTCTCTTCAATTTATGTAACTATGAAAGGTAACAATAGTGAGCCACATGATGATGGTATTTTTATAAGGATAAAAGGAGTTAATACAGGTAAATTGCAAAGAATAGTGCCTGACCCATAGCAAATCATCGATAAATGTTCACTGTTGTTGGTATTATTTCATTTTGCAGATGATGTAAATTGTGGTTTTGTTCAGCATGTGCCTGATTGCCTCAGAAGGAAAAAATATGTGCTGCTTTCTTGCTAGGGAAATACAAGTTTCACTAACGGACTGATTGAATAAAACATTTTTAGCAATTTGGGGATTTGCATTCTTAACTTTCATGTTGCTAGAAGTAATTGTGATTGGATAATTTTTTTTCTCTTCCCCCAGCTTCTATTTTTGAAATATTCCAAAATTCACATTTTCTGAGAGTTTTTCCTTTTCTTTATTTTGGCAATCAAAACCTTCTCAAATAAATGTAAATGACACAATAGTGTTTCATTAACCTCATGTATAGAAATGACAGTGTCCTTATATCTCCATCAGAAGTTACACTAGCTTAAAATAAAACTTACAGCTATAATCTTTACTTATTCAAATATAGGCACAAAGTGAAAAGCATTTGATTAAAATGGCAAAAATTACCAAATCCTATTACATTCTTTCTTCGATTTGAAATAGCAGAGCATCCCAAATATACAGAACCTTGGCGAGATCATGGCTCACTGCAGCCTCAACCTCCTAGGCTCAAGTGATCCTCTGACGTCAGCCTCCTGAGTAGCTGAGATTATAGGTATGAGCCACCACGCCTGGCCTGAGGGTGATTCCTAAATGATTACATTCAATTTTGCAACTATTACCATAGATTTTATTGCCATAAACCAAGCCACAATGTGTACAATATGACAGCCACTAGCCACATGTGGCTGCTTAAATTCAAATCAATTAAAATGAAATTAAATTAAAAATCCAGATCCCCAGTTGTACGAGCCACATTTCAAGCGCTTAGTAGTCACATGTAGCTAGTAGCTGCCGTATTGGACACAGCAGATGCAGAATGTTTTCATCACCATGGAATGTTCTATTGCAGAAGTCAGTTGCACTTGCCAGTTGTCAGTAGGGAACAGTTGATTTTATCTTAATGCTCTTTTGAGGGGTGTTCTGAAGTGATTAGAGCTTTTTTCAATAATGCTTCCCATCTTTATAAATGACAAAGTCGGATGAGCTGGAAAGTGTCCTTGTGGGGTCCGTGAGTAGCTCCGAATGTGCAGAAAGCTGGCCACAATGGACAGCTGCTGCTGCTGGGAAGGTCCACGCAGCGGAACTCAAAAGTATCTTTGCACCTGTCCCTTGCTGAGCATAACTTAACGGACAGAAATGGGCTTCTGTACTGCTCTCAGCGTCCGCTCACTGCTCACCCAGACAGGCACTCTCTCCTCTCCACCCACCCCACACACCTGGTCAGCTCTTCCTAAAAAGGCACAAGAGACAAATTGTGCCATATTGTTGAAATGCCAAATCTGTGAATTACACAGGATGCCTCTTCAAGTTAGCCAGTGTCTTTGTCAAGAAATTACGAATACTAACTTGCTGAGTTTCGGCATATTTTCAGAAGTGAGCTACCCTGATCAGATGCCCAGGTGCTGCGGGTGTGTGGAAGAAGCAGGCCTGGACGGGGGCACAGACATTTTGCAATTGGAGGACAAGCCTGGATTGGAAGAGGTGGGGATTTTGAGCTGCCAGAGTGTGGCATAAGCATAAAAGACAGTGGAGGGGAGGGAGGAATGGCAACGTTGTTTCTCAAAGGCCATCTGAGGCCAGAGACGAACTTCCTACAGGGCCAGGGCAGCAGCAGATGTGGGCTCCTTGGGAAGCCTCCGCTTTGGGCGTTCCTCTATGGGGAGTAACTCAACAGGCTGGCGTGGATGGGGGAGGTGATGTTTGGTACAAGGCTGAAAACCATCAGGTTATAATGGTCCATCTCAGACAGGCAGGAAGCGCTGAGCTCTCCAGCTGCTCCTTTGCTCTGCTGAAGGACCCTGAGATCATTCCGTTTGGCTCTTGTCCTGCTGGGACCCTGACAGGCCACACGTTAATAAGGAGTATGTGGACAGCCACATGGAACCTCCCTCACTCTGCGCTCCACAACTCACTCTTTCTGGAGGAGTGGAAATCAACAGAGGCATTCTTTTTTTAAAAAATGTATAAAGAAACGAAATAAATTTGCATTGCTGAATAGGTGCTCACAGTGGTGCTGACCAGGAGATACCCTCATTTCCCCAGACCCAGCAACCCACGCCTGGCAGCGTCCTGAGTGGCCTGAGCTTACCCCTGCTCAGAAGACTGCCCATTTCATGATGTGCAGTAAAGTCATAGCTGCACTGTGGTCGGGACCGTCTTAGGCACAATCCCAGAGGAGGTGAAGTTGGAGGCTACCTGCTGAGTATGTGCTCAGAACAGGGCAAGTGTGTAAGGGAGCTCACATGTATAACAGCATCCAGATCTAGTAACACAGATGGCCTCTTTCTGTGATAGGGAGAATTTTTCTATGACTTACGGATGTGCCTTATAGGCATCTCGAATAATGCCCTCTTATGCAGACAGACCCTGTCCCTCTGTCTCCCGAAGGACACACTCATATTTCACCTCATTTACCTGACCTCTTCGCCATGGGAAAGACTCCCGGTCAGTAAGTCTGAAGAGAACTTCCCAGCCTACCACCCATCTGTGGACAGATCACTGCCTGCCTCCTGATCCTACTGGAGCCTTAAACCTATGCACCTGGAATGGACAAACATGTCCACTTTGGACAAACATGACATTTAAAAAAAATTAAACTTCTTTAAAATTAGCAGAATGCCTATTTAATGTGAGGACAATTAAGAACACTTATTTTCCCCAAATAGTGGAATTTTATTCCTGTCATCGTGCTTTGATAGCATATGACCTGGGAAACATAAGAAAGGTGAAGGCTGCCTGCACCTGCCCCTGACTCAGCCTGTGGCCGCCTCACTGGGCATCACTTAGCAGCCTTCGCATGTCATGTGGCGAGTGGTGGTGGTGTGCCTTTCTGCTTGCATATACGATGTAAAGACACAGCCTATTTTAATTGTGGCCATCTGACAGCAAATAGTCTACTACAATAAATAACGTGAACAAGCAAAAAAGACAGAGAGAGAGAGAGAGAAAGGATGAAACTAGGTAGATGCACTAAATGAGAAAAGAGCAGTCAATGCAAGGAAGTTGTTGAGAAAGCAGTAGCAAGTGCTCCCTTTGTCTTCTGAGCTAAGGCCCTTACAGCAAATCCACCTTCTCCCTACAAGCATCTCCCCTTGCTCTCCTGCCCCTCACCTTCACAAAGAATATGTTCTCATTCTCCTCAGTTTGCACAAACCCCTGGGGCAGGTGAGCAGGCTTTGGCTTATTCTGTCATTTGTCCTGTACACATGGAATTCCTTGTCTTTGACTTTCTCCTAAGTCACATACAGATATTTCTGCTAAAGGGGCTCTCTTTTCGCACAACCCAGTGTCTCTGGCAGACGTCCATGAGGTCTCACCCAGCAGTCTGGTCTGCTTGGATGTGAAGTGAGCTGGGAAGAGGGAGTCTTCCCCACCACCTGAGCCTTCTGAATGGGGCCTGCCCCTAAGGTCTGGGTTGCAAATCCAGGAGCTTCCAAGGGACATTGGGACAGCTTCTTTTCTGGATTTCTCTCTGTTTATTCCCAGAAGACACTTGTGTTTGGCAGAATAGCAGCCCCCAAAGATTTCCATGTCCTAATCCCTAAAACCCCTGAATAGGTTACCTTACATGGCAATTGGGACTTTGCATATGTGATCAAGTTAAGGATACTGAGATGAGGAGGTAACCCTGAATTATCTGGGTGGGCTCAGTCTTAATTCCAGAGGTCCTCATAAATTACAAAGGGTGGCAGGAGAGTCAGAGTCAGAGAGGAGACGTGATGAAGGCATCACACGACAGAAGTGTGGGGCCACATGCCCAGGAACGTGGCAGCCTCTAGAAACTAGAAAAGATAAGGATGGGCTTCTCCCCAGAGCTTCCAAAAGGAATGCAGCCCTGCCAGAACCTTCATTTTAGGTCTTCTGGCCTCCAGAAGATAATAGATTTGTGGTGTTTTAAAATTTTATGGGAATTTGTTGCAGCAGAAAGAAGAAACTAATACAAGATCAGAAATGTTTGATTTGGCTACATAGGAATATTAGGAATCACCACACCTTATATAAATGGCTTATTCTTTATGCCAATTTGCCACACAGTGGAATAATTACACACATCATTAAACATGTAGCATATAAAGCTTGTGAGAGTTTTGCTTTTTAAATTATAAGGCCAAAATTTGCATAGATCAGGCACAGGCTCCATGACACAGCAACATTGTCCCTCACGGTGAATTGAGAGCCAGAAGATTTGAGTTCCAGTCCAGTCTCTGTCAGTTAAGCATCACCCGAGTCTCTATTTTTTTCACCTGTAGGTGTCTAAGTTCTCTTTGAGCTTTAACAGTTCTCACATATAATAAAAGTTTAATCAAAGTCTGAGTAAAGAGTAAAGAAACTGGGTCTTTGACATGTGTGGTTCACACCAAGAGGTAAGCAAGTAGCAACTTAAAAAACACTAAATGATAATTTTGACCACTAAAGAAAATGAAGGGGCAAGATGGTATGCTGACCAATAGACCACTCATACTGAGGGGGCGATGTCCGGACCAGCATCTATGACAGAGGAGACCCAGAAGGGAGGATATCTGGTTGGAGGATATCTGGTTTTCAGATATCCTCAATTCTCATATGTGCTTGCAAAATCTCTGGCAAATAATTTAAAACATGTAATTTTTTTCCTACGTAAAACCATGGAAAGAGGAAGGAGGGAAAGATAGAAGGAAAGAAGGTGGAAAGGAGGGAAGGAAGTAATGGAAAGGAAGAAAAAAAGGAAAAGAAGGGAGAAAGGAAGGAAGGAGGGGAAAGAAGGAGAGAGGAAGAATGGAAGAGGGAAAGAAAAGAAAGGAAGGGAGAAAATGAAGGAAGAAGAAGGAAGGAAGGAAGGAAAGAAGGAAGGAAGGAGTGGAAGGAAGGGAAGAAAGGGAGGGAGGGAAGGAAGGAAGGGAAGGAAATAAGGACAAGAAAGAAAAAAAGGAAAGGGAAGGGAAAGAATAAAGGAATGGAAGGAAGGAAGGATAGAAAGGAAGAAAGGAAAGGGAAGGAAAGGAGGGAAAGAAGGAAAGAAGGTGGAAAGGAGGGAAGAAACGAAAGGAAGGGAAGAAAAGGGAAAAGAAGGGAGAAAGGAAGGAAGGAGGGGAATGAAGGAAAAAGGAAGGGAAGGAAAAACGAAGGAAGGAAGGAGGAAGGAAGGAAGGAAGGAAGAGGAATACTCATTTTTGAATCCCCTACATATTCCTCTCTAGAAGCACTAAGATTTGAGTCTTCCCCTCCTCTTCCACTACCCTAACTTCACCCTAAGGCAAAAGAATGGTGATCTGATTCGGTGTATTCCAGAAAATGACTGTGCACAGAGGTGATCGTGCCAGCCTAGCATACAGGGGTTGCTCCCTGTGTAGCCCCTGTCCACCACCCAAGTGCACACACCTCACACTGATTTTGACAGCAGACACTGAGCCATCACTGTCCTTCACATCCTTCACCACAATAATTCGTGCAGAGACTCAAGTCAGCTCCACTAAAAGTATCCCCTAGGGTTTTTAAGAGGAAGCCAGGAGACATCTATTTCCTTTTCGGCAGTGATGCGTGAGGAAGTGAGAATCCAGACGTGGAACGCCATGCTTCAGTCTCAGGAGATGAGAAGCCAATCCCATTACCACCAGCTAAAACACTATTCTTCCCCCATTCATGAGTCAATTAATCCTCTTTTCAGCATGGACTGAATTGTGTCCACGGACTACTTGTAGTCCAAAGAGTTGAGGCTTTTACTGAATAACAGCCCCATGGCAAGAGGGTGCATGTGTATCAAGGCTACACTGCATGCAGTGTGGTGTCCTCCTCACTTGGTTCTTCCTTTCATCGCCTGCAGTGGCGAGAACATTCTTCACAGTGCACCTGGCAGTCAGGCTCTGAGCTACTCGTGGCTTTGGACTGACTTTTACACTCATCAGAAGGTTCAGGTGTGAGCCTAGGACAACAATGACTTCTTGAGCCCACAAATATTAGGGCCCAAAAATGTTCTTATGAGCCAGCCTGGCTCCCAAAATTTCATTGGGTCAATATCCTACCTAGGAATACATGTTACTTGCCCAGCTCTGCTGGATTTATTTCCTTGTATTCACTTCACTGGAGACAAGGAAGCTACAAGTTATTGATCTGGAACAGGAATCAGGTATTGCCAACCTCATTGGAAAAAATGTTAGAGTAATCCATTAATATCATATCAAAAAGTAACACATTCGTTACACCCTTCATAGAAGATTGAGAATTTACCATTCCCTTATTACTTCTCCACATTCCCCACTTTTCCAGGTCTTTCTCAATAAAATAAGGTTAGAACTAGAGGTAGTGACTAATATTTAGCAGAGAGGCTTAGTTCTAAGTGTATAGAAAATCTCCAACCTAGAAGTGATCAAGAATTAGGTTAACCATAGAAGGCATATCATCTGAAAGTCTGTCACCTATCTTGGGCTATTTTAATGTCTTTCTATCTGAAACACGAAGATAGAACCCAAGGAGTTGAGTTGGTCTCTTCTGAGGAAAATGCTAGGACAAAAAACAAAAATACAAAGTTCACTGTCACCCAAACCCCTGAGCATCACAGAACAGGACTGAAGAGCCACCTGCCATGACTGAAACCAGCCTAATATTTCATAGAACTGATGTCTATGGGTTTTTTTCTTGAATAAACATGGAAATTGACCCTCCTGTTCTTGAAGCTTGAGAAACTTACATTTGTCTTATTTGAGTTTCTTACTCAGGAAACCAACCATCAGGCCTCCCATATAGTATTAGAGTTGAAACTCACTGCATCTAGCCAGGCAATAGACTCTTCATCCAACCATATAGGAGTTGGCCTCTTGGCCAACTCTTATATAAACCCCTAACTTTAGGGAGAGACTGATTTGAGACTGGCCTCCTGTCTCCTAGCTGATGTCACTCATTTTAAAGTCTTTCTTCCCTGGCAATACTTGTTGTCTTGGTGATTGGCTTTCTGTGCAGTGAGCAGCTGGATGTAGGCCGAATCCCTGGCACTTGGCAACATGACCAGTCATGACTCACCTTTCAGAATGCCTTGCTTCTCTACGTTTGGAAAATCCCCAGATCTACTTCTAGAATGAAGTAATGAATTAAACCACTTAAATAACTAGGACATGGGTGTTGGTTTAAGGGACATTTATGCTTGTACAGATTCAGAAGTAGTTCAGGCCACACTTTTGGACTTCTTCAGCATCCCCTGCCCTGATAACTTGTCCTGGCCCCAGGACCCTGTTACAGGCCAGCATTGTGCATCTCCTCTTCCCTGGAGACTGGCCATGCTGGGCTGTCAGAGTGCATGCTCAGGTAATCTTGTTGGAATGAGTGCTTCTGCTTCATGCTGTATCTTTTGAGTGAGATTCATCAGCCGAATTAAGCTGGACGAGCCTCAGCACACAACTTTGCTGAGTCTGCAAGAGAAGTACAACAAAAAGGGAAGGTGCATTATGTTCACTCCAACCAACGGTGTGACATCCCTGATGACAGACAGTGGGCCAGGGATGGGCAGGAGGAGCAGGCTAGAGACAGAAAACCAAGACCACTGTGGCAAGATGGTCCTTAAAGAATATGAGTCTTCCTGCTACCTAGCTTTTCATTTTAGGGACTGTTTTTAATTTGGAAGAAAAGATTCCAAAGGAGTGTTGCGATGTGGTGCAGCAAGAAGCAGATAAATACCACATCAGCCAGCGAGCCACAGGCCCCTGCAGCTGTGTCTCATCCTCTGAGCATGGTCTGAGCCTGTCCACAGAGCTTCCCTTGCAACTCATGATTTTTTTAAAAAAATCACATAACTTGAGAAAGTAGGAGCTTGAACCTGATCGAGTTCCAGGCCTACAACATGAGTATAGGCAGAAGCTTTGACCTTCCACTAACATCCTTCCCCCTCTCCCTCAACTGGGCTAGCCAGTACCCAAGCCTCTCAAACCACTATGCAGACAAAACACAGGTCACATTCAATTTAAGGTGACTTATTGGATCTTGGTAGATAATAATGATAGTTTTAGAAGTCAAGTTCTGTTGGATCCCAGAGATGCTCATTCATGACCCCATTTTGCTACTCACTGTGTGAATAGGAAGCATCACATCACCCAGCATCCTTCACTGCATTTGCAATGAGGCCTTGGTAACATTTCCCCACTTCATAAAGGTGTATGAGCAGCTGATAAAATATAAAATGCCTTTCAATTATTTATGTTCCTGGGAGCTGTAGGTAGCTTAAACTTAAAAATGAGGTAACGCATGTCTGGGCCAAATATTAGTAGGCAGTTGTGTTGACTTAATCTCCATCTAATGAAGGTAAAAAGACTAGCCCTCCTGCATAAGAACCACAGAGAATCAGCCTTCTGCTAAGGGCAAGAGTTTCAAGATAGTTGGCTGCATGAATACTGGGAAACAAAACCCAACATGGCAACACTAAAATGTTAAAACTTGGCCCAGTTGTGTGTTCCTGAACCATCTGTTGTTCCACAGTTTTCTCTCCAATAGGAGAAATAGTCCTTATGTTGGGGTGAGGCTTCCAAATACCCTGGAAGGCATCTGCACTACTCCGTTTGTGTTTGGACAAGAGCAGGGTATGAGGATACACTTGATATCCAGCCTGAAGAAATTGATAAACCAAAGGAGGAAAACACTGAGGACTGAGTTTATAAAGCTGGCTCCAGTAACCAATTGACTTTGTTTTTGTACATTTAGAAATAATATAGAAAACAGGCCTTGAAATGTGATTCATACCAAATGAATATTTAAAGGTTTAAAACCTGTGCTAACAAGTTGTTTATAGATTTAATCTGCCCCTTCTGTTAACAACATGAGGTAATTTTGCAACTTCTCTCAACCACTCCATCAAGTAGAAAGTAAAATGGATTAATAGTCCAGCTAGCTGACAATCACAGAAAAGTACACAATTCTCTAACACGTTAAGATATAATAAGCAAAGTCATTTATGTACTTGAAATTACTCTAAGACACAGGAATGATAATATAAATCCCAGCAGCCTAAATGAGAAAAATATTCAAGATCATTATGAAATTTGGGGAAAACATTATGTATTTCTTGATATCCCTATTCTATGTAACTCTTTCCATTCAAGTTGGTACCTAATTTAGTTTTTGAGCTGAAGGGAAAATAATTATATGGTATAATCTTAAAATAAATGGCCAGTGGGTTAGTCGTATGGTTTGACTGTGTTCTCACCCAAATCTCATCTTGAATTATAGCTCCCACAATTTCCATGTGCTGTGGGAGGGACCCAGTAGGAGGTCAATGAATCATGGGGGCAGGTCTTTCCCATGCTGTTCTCATGATAGTGAATAAGTCTCACAAGATCTGATGGTTTCTTAAAGGGGAATTCCCCTGCACACGCTCTCTTGCCTGCTGCCATGTAAGACGTGACTTTACTCTTCCTTTGCCTTCTGCGATGATTGTGAGGCCTTCCCAGCCATGTGGAACCATGTGAGTCCACTAAACCTTGTTTTTTTTTGTTTGTTTGTTTTTTTAAATAAATTAACCAGTCTCAGGTATGTCTTTATTAGCACCATGAAAATGGACTAATACAGTTAGTCATCCTATCAAAAGAACAATAAAAAAATACAAGACAAGTAAGTTCTAAAGATCTGCTGTACAAATAGCGTCTATGGGTAACAATATGATGTGCATTTAAACGTTTGCTTAGAGGGCAGATCTCATGTTAAGCATTTTGCATAACCCCCACCCCACCACACACACAAAGCAAAGGCATACAAGGAAACTTCTGGAGGTGATGAGTTTGTTTATTCTCTTGATTGTGGGGATGATACTACTACAGGTGTATGCATATGTCCAAACTCAGCAAATTGTATGCCTTGAATATGTCCAGGGGTCTTTTCTGTATACCAAATATACCTCAATAAAGCCTTTTTTAAAAAGAAAAGAATCTTTTATAATTTTTGCTATTTTTATTGGCACCTAATTAGATACATTCTGAACGAAGGAAGAGATTATGGAAACCAGTTTTTCTGTAGGCACGCTTTCTTCTTAGCCCTTTAGATTCAGGCTGTTTCGTGTGCTCCCATGTCACTTCACTGAAGATGACTAAGAGAATTAGGACTGGTGAGTGTTTTTGTACGTAGAGAGATATCACAAGCCTTGAAAATAGGCATACAATGAAAATTTTTTCTGCAAAAGCAGCCAATAAAAAGTGAGGAAAATTAAGTAAGAGATTCATTACACTTGGTAGAAAGATAACTGCATTCATACAAACTGTGTATGCATGTGTGTGCGTGTGTGTGTGTGTGTGTGTGGGGGGGGGTGTGTTTGCCATTGTCTGGTTGAGCATTAAGGACTTTACCAGACGTTATCATTTGACCAAAACATTAACTATTTTTTATATTTTAATAACAATAATACTTTGCTAACTAGTTCTCTAGTACCTTAATATTTTTTTAAATGCCCCCCACCTCCCTCTCTTTTTTTAAGGATATAGCCGTGAGAAACAGAGGTGGCACAGCAAAAAGGAACAGCAGAGGTCTCCGCAGCATGACCCAGAAAGCGTCTCCCTGCTGAGCTGTTGTCCAGCACCGGGTCCTCCCTTGGGGAGGGCTCTGTAGCCTTGAGCAGCCTCTAAGGACTGACACTTGGTAGATCAACAGTTCAGTGCTCCCTCTGCTCTGCTCACGAGCAGAGCCTGTAAAACGGCTGCTTAAGGTAAACAGGGATGATGCTGTGATTTTGTCTACATTAAAACATTTGCCACTGTCATTTTCAACCTCCCATCCTGTGCCCGCTCCCTTCATTGGAATGACCCCAATATTCAGTATCTTGCGCCGTCTAAGTCACTCAAGCTTGTTCTTTTACAGAAAGGGGAAGCATCTGATATTGGCTGTTTATATTTATTGCTTAATTACTTCATTAGAATTTAGATTAGATTCAATTAGATTAAACACAAATGTTCTGAAAAAGCATTTGAATTTGGGGCTTTTTCTCTCTCACTGTGGAATGATGGATTTTTGTCATCATTGGTGAAAAGAGTTTCAAGTATTTATAAGAAGGAGAAGAAATATCCTGGGAAACAAGAGAGTTTTTGCCTTCTTGCTCAAGTAGGACTAAAAATAAACCTTAAAAGATGACAGGGAGAAAATTCTGATTTTTGAAGTTCTTTCTCCAAAACTCCCTCTCTTCCCCTGAAAAAAGTGAGCAAAAGATAGGCTCTTCGATGTGCAGTTCTGGGAACTACATGTGGAAAAGTTTGGGAATCAGGAGTTTGAACCATGCAAGTCTATGTCAGTCCTTGCTTTACAGATCCAATTCTAACCTCCTTTTATTCCACGGTTTTTAAAGGCTGTGCTTTCTGATACATTTTAATGTTGTTTGTAATATATCTGGGTATTCATTCATTTGTTCAGTGGATGTTGAGTGTCCACCCCATGCCAGACAGTGTCCTAGGCATTTGAGAGACATCACTGAATAAAATAGACAAAAGCTATTTCTACCATCGTGGAGCTTATATTCTAGCATTAAAAAGTCAAATACCAAGCAGCAAGCATAATAACAAGCAAATCACAAGGTGTATTAGAAGGTGTCAGAGCTAAGGAAAAATGCCAGAGTAATGAGCTCAGGGTTCTCTGGCACGGGGATGGGGGCAACTTGATATGGGATGGTCCTTGATATGGGATGGTCCAGGACGGGCCTCATTGGAAGGGGACATTGGTGAAAGATGTGACAAAGTTGAGGGGCTTAGCCACTCAGACATCTGAGAGATGGGCGCCCAGGCTGCAGGAAGAATGGTCAAAGGCTCAGGGCACCACATGTCTGGTGTGCTCAAAGAACAGCAAGGCAGCGCATGTGGCTGGAGCTGAGAGACCTAGGCAAAAGCACACACAAGGGTTTGGGGAGGGCGGAGGGGCCGGGTGATGCAGGGCTTCCTCAGCCACTGTGAAGAGTCAGGCTTTCACTCTGAGTGGAACCAACAGCCACTGAGGGTTTTGAGCAGGGAGTCAATCACATGATCTAACTTTCTTTTAATAACCATCACCTGGCTACTATCCTGAGGCAAGAACAGTTAAGGGGCGAGGACATAAGCAGAGAGGCCAGTTAGAAGACATTACAGCAATCCAGGAGAAAGATGACGCTAGCTTTCATCAGTATCATTGCAATGAGGGTGGCAGGAAGTGGTTGGATTCTGGATATATTTTTATTTTATTTATTTATTTTAGAGATAGGGGCTTGCTTTGTCACCCAGGCTGGAGTGCAGTGGTGCAATCATAGTTCACTGCAACCTAGATAGAACCCCTGGACTCAAGTGATTCTCCCACCTCAGCCTCCTGAGTAGCTAGGTTTGCAGGTGTGTGCCACCACAACCAGCTAATTTTTTAAAAACAGTTGTAGAAATGGGGCCTCACTATG
Source organism: Homo sapiens (assembly GCF_000001405.40). Lineage (NCBI taxonomy): Eukaryota > Metazoa > Chordata > Mammalia > Primates > Hominidae > Homo > Homo sapiens. Next base: position 26,371,084 of record NC_000015.10, on the reverse strand, counting down.
TTGTCTTGAACTCCTGGCCTCAAACGATCCTTCCTCCTCAAGCCTCCCAAATTGCAGGGATTATAGGTATGAGTCACCATGCCTGGCCTGCATGTTATTTTTAATCCAGTAGGATTTCCTGATGGATTGGAAATAAGGTGTGAGAGGAGAGGAGTCAGGGATGACTTCAAGGTTTGTGTGCTGAACAACAAGAGGGATGAAGAGAGAGAGATAAATTTATTAAGAGAGGTTTGCTGGAAGAGATCAGGAGTTCATTGTTGGAACTGACAAACCTGAGATGTTAGACGTCCAGGTGGAAATGTAAAATAGACAGCTGGATAAATGGGCCTGGGGCTCAGGAGAGGCAGCAGAGCTGAAGATATGATTTCGAGTCACTAGCATATATATGACACTTAAAACCAGGACAGGGATGAGATCATGTCGAGTGAGACAGAGAAAAGAAGATGACCCAGGACTCAGACCTGGAACACGCTAATTTTAAAGGTTAGAATGATGAAGAGGAATTAACAAAAAAGCCTGAAAAGGTATAGCCTGTGAAGTAGGAGGTAAGACAGGCAAGTGTGATCTCCTGGAAGCCAAGTGAGTATCTCTCCTGTGGAGAGGAAACAAGACTCGATGTATGATTAAATTTCCATCTCAGCTGCTTGCTTGTTTCACACTGACACCATGAATGATGATGCTTTTTTGCAGTGCTTTAAAGTTTGCATAGCTCTTACATATACTCTCTAATTTTATACTCAAACAGTATGAGGTAGTTAGTCAGGCATTAGATTTACCATTTTATAGATGCAAAACCTAATGTGAAGAAAGATTAAGTGGCTGGGCGCAGTGGCTCACGCCTGTAATCCCAGCACTTTGGGAGGCCAAGGTGGGCAGATCATGAGGTCAGGAGATCGAGACCATCCTGGCTAACACGGTGAGACCCCGTCTCTACTGAAAATACAAAAAATTAGCCGGGCGTGGTGGCGGGCGCCTGTAGTCCCAGCTACTCCGGTGGCTGAGGCAGGAGAATGGCGTGAACCCGGGAGGCGGAGCTTGCAGTGAGCCAAGATCGCGCCACTGCACTGCAGCCTGGGTGACAAAGCGAGACTCCATCTCAAAAAAAAAAAAAAAAAAAAAATTAAGTGATTGGTTTTAGGATTTTGGATTTTCTCTGTCCCATAAGAGAAAGAACCAGAATTATAACAGTCTTTCAAGTCTAGATCCTTGTTCTTTCTTCCACGACGTGGAGCCAAAACATCTGACTTCATTGTTTTTAAATCCAGTTAGGACTGGCCTGTGGGTTTGGTGTGGCTGGAGGTGCACTGAAAGCTTCCTGATCCTCAGGGCACTTTGGCCTAAATTCAATCCACTAGTTTATAAATTCTGAGTGCCTCCGTTGCTCTTCTGCTGGCCTGAAGGGCCTCTACTCTCTGAATGTTCATAAAGTTTCTGTGGATGCACAAACAGGCTTGAAATATTAACCAAAATTTCCAGGAAGTGTCAATGAGCTGCTCCAGAGCAAGACTCATCTGAGCATAGCAGTGTAGGGGACCGGTTGAAAGCCCACGGGTCAGACTCTGGTTGTTCAAATCCTGGCTCCACTCAGTACTGTGTAATGTGGATTTGGGGAGAGTTATTTAAATCTCTCTGTACCAAAAAATTTTTCATCTGTAAAATGGAATGATGATAGAATAATAAATAGAAATTCACAGAGGTTTGAAATGTGAGAAATGAGACCATATATGTAGAGCATTTAGAATGGATCTAACACAAAACAGTCAGTAAATTCTAGATCTTGGTATTTCTCTTTCTCTAGTATTAGTTTCCTGCTCAAAGTTGGGTTTCAATCAGTGTCTCATAAGAGGACAAATAAGGGAAAAAATAAAGTCTGATCAGTAGGTATTGCAGCAATATTTTAAAGAAAATCAGAAAGTACTCTTAGTGTCATTTGAGTCCCAACCAATGCCCCCTTGAAGGAAAGAAATTTACCTAAGAAGAGCTTACTGTGGCTGGGTCAGAAGCAAGGATGCCAAGCCTTGAAGGGGAAGGTGAGACAGGAGGTGGAGCAGGTAGAGAGGGCATTTGAGCATCCACGGAGGCTGCGTATGTGCAGATCCCTCCACTTCTGCTAACACATATAAGAGACAGATTTTGGAGGCCGTAGAAACGTGGGACAGAAAGCATGTGGAAAATGAATCCCTGAATCCATAAATGTAAGTTAAATGATTTGATTCATCTTCCTTCCATACTTTCCTGGAAATAAAAAAAGATTTTTTTCTCCTCTATTCTGTACACGTAATAGGTGCAAGAGTAGGAAAATGGTTTAAAAAAAACATCAAAGTGGAATATTTACCAGTGAGCTGAGGGGAGAAAATGGAACTTAGTTATTACATAAATTGGATAATCACTTCTAAAAATTCTGAGAGAGGTCTGTTTCTTAGTAAACAGGAATGCCATTTTTGGTTCTGATAAAGACCCTTATTTTGCTCTGTAAATTTCTACACCTAAGGCATGGCTTTGGAGAAATAGGAACTTATATTTCAATTCAAGTTCTGTCATTTTTTGCTAGATAACTTTACTCTTTTAAAAATAAATCTCTCTGGCTACCACTTTCCTTATCTGTAATACGAAATACTAATCCTAATTAAGACAATTATTTTGATGCCCTAAATACAAAGTCTTATAAAAGAATCCAGTGATATACCTGCCCAATTTAACCTTAATGTTAAGACCTCTTTCACTTCCCACCATAGGTAACACTTTGAATATGTATTTTAAGTGCTAGTCAAAAAATTTAAAAAGTGAAGACATCCTAAACTTTTGTCAATGAATGCAGACTTACTCTCTGTGTGCTCAACACACTGGGCACTGTCCTCTTTTGTAGCAAGTATTGACTTGAATTATAATTATTTATGTATCTGCATATAAGTTAGGGTATATAAATTTAAGCTATAGAACCTAACTGTGGCTGATTCAGCAACAAAAGAGAAGGGTTTATTCACAGAATATTATTCCCTCTTGAAACGCTACTAAAAATAAGTAAAGACTTTTTAAAGGCATAAACTCATAATTCCAAAGGACCAAAAGATAAGAAATCAGCCATAAAATGATGGGAGCCAGAAAGCAGAACGAGTGGTAATTGACTAATAAGACCTAAGAAATGTAAATTATAAGCCAGCACAGAGGAATTATGTAAACCCCCAGAGCTGTTACCCTTCTGCATATATAAAACCTTACAGCTGGGCTTTGGATGAGATTAGAAGGCACTTCTTTGGGGAAGATAATAAACCCCAAAGTCAAGGGTGGAGGAGTGTATAAAATAAACCCTAAAGATACTGGCAGTTGGGATTACCCAATATAGTGCCCTAACCAGACCATCATTCAGTGAAATTTATAGTTAACAAGCTCTCACTGTGTGTGGAGAACTTTTAACCAGCTTTTAGTTACCCAGCCTTAAATATGGCAGTCAGGGATTATCATACATCTGAGGAAAGCCTCTAACATGAAAGGGATCCAAACAAACAGAAAGAAGCAACCTGGAGAAAACAGACTATGCATGGCAGAGACTGAAATTCCCAAAGTGAGTGAGTGGCCATGCCCTCAGAGGAATAAGAGCAGACTTCACACAAGAAAATAACGATGCCGTGCTCTACATAAAGGAGGAGATGGACATTCAGAGGAAAAAACAATGCTTTTAGAAATTGAAAATGTGTTGCAAATATTAAAAACTCAGCGGACGGATTGAAAGATAAAGTTGAGAAACTCTCCCAGAAATTAGACTCAAAAGGCTTTTAATGGAAAAGAAAAGACAAGAATATTAAAGATTAGTTTCAGAAAGTTTAATAGCCAAATAATAAAGGTTCCGAAAATAGAAATAAGAAATGTGAAGAAAATTATATCATTTAAGAAATATTTAAAGACTTCTTCCAGAAATTGAAGAATGTAAATTTGCAGACTGAAAGATCCCATAAGTGCTTGGCAAAATGGGACAAAAATAGACCCAAATCAAGGCACATTCTTATGAAATTTAGGAATGCTAGGGATAAACAGAATATTCTAAAAGAATTTAGAAGAAGACAAGGCAAAAACAGGGTATAGACAAAGGATTAAAAATCAAAATGGTGGCTGGGCGCAGTGGCTCATGGCTGTAATCCCAGCACTTTGGTAGGCTGAGGCGGGTGGATCACGAGGTCAAGAGATCGAGAACATCCTGGCCAACAGGGTGAAACCCCATCTCTACTAAAAATACAAAAATTAGCTGGGCGTGATGGCACGTGCCTGTAATCCCAGCTACTCGGGAGGCTGAGGTAGGAGAATCATTTGAACCCGGGAGGTGGAGGTTGCAGTGAGCCAAGGTCTCGCTATTGCACTGCAGACTGGGTAACAACAGTGAAACTCCATCTTAAAAAAAATAAAAATAAAAATAAACAAAAAGGCTTCAATCTTCTCAGCATCAACACCACAGTCTCAGCAATGCTTGTATACTACCCTTAAAATTCTGAAGGAGGACAAATCCCAAACTCAACTCTATACCTAACAGAGTATAGTTACAAATAAAAATAAACGACAATTTCAGGTATTCAAATTTTCAAAAAATTTACCTACCAGGAATCCTCTCTCAGAAAGCTACTGAAGAACGTGACTTCCCCAAACGAAAAAATTATTTAGGGAGATAACAATGCAATCTAAGGAACAGAAAATCCCAAGGATGATGGTGAGGGGCAACTCAATAAAACAGCTGAGGACCAGGCCTCTTTAGAAAGAACAAGCCTAGATGGAGAACTCAGAAGGCTTAGCAAAAGATGCCTCCCAAAAGATGAAACTGATAGAATATGTTGTTTTCAAGGATTCAAACAATGAAGGGAGAGGTTAGGATGTATTAGTGGTAATGAAAAGCTAAGCAAACAATAACAAAAATATGATTATCACATTAAAAATTCAGGAAAAAAGATTAATGTAGTATAGGTTAGTATACACTACAGGCTTCAGTTCTAAAAAATATTTAACATTGATCTAACAAAAAATTTGATTATGTTTTGGATCTACTTAACTATATCGGAATGTAGATGAATGAAATGTATACATATGTGTAAGGAGGTAGTGAGAGACATAAGTCAATAGGTAATTCATTTAAAAAATAAAGAAATGAGCTGGGCACGGTGGCTCACGCTTGTAGTCCCAGCACTTTGGGAGGCCAAGGTGGGCAGATTACCTGAGGACAGGAGTTTGAGACCAGCCTGACCAACATGACAAAATGCTGTTTCTACAAAAAATACAAAAATTAGCCCAGCGTGGTGGCACATGCCTGTAATCCCAGCTTCTCGAGAGGCTGAGGCAGGAGAATCGCTTGAAGCCGGGAGGCGAAGGTTACCATGAGCCAAGGTCATGTCCCTGCACTCCCGCCTGGGCAACAAGAGCGAAACCCCACCTCAAAATAAATAAATAAAATAATGATACTATAAGCATGATATATAGATTTATGAAAATAAATATCATCATCATCATGAAAGAGAAATATATTGAAAGTCTCTGGGCATCCAAAAATTGGGGATGGAGTGTGAACTGGTTATGGGAATGTGGGCTCTCAAATGCAGAATTATAGAACTATTTGATTCTAAAATATGTTCATATGTACGTGTGATCAAAATTAAAGCTAAACTTACAAAAGGAAGCTATTGTTAAATCATTTGGAGGGCTAGAGAATGAGGCTAGGAATTATCTGGAAGGACACAGCCAGGGCCAATGCCAAAAATCAAGCATAAAGGAGCATGCAACACTGCCCCCACATTTAGGCAGAAGACTACAGCCTGACCACTGACACTGCGGGGTTGCGGGGTAAGAGACCATCACCCTGTCCCTGGAGAAAGGCTTTGTCATTCATGGAAGATCTATATGCAGAGAGAAGCAAGAGGGCAATCGCCAGCCACAAGCCAGAGGACAGTCACTGACTTTGCTAGATATGCAGTTTATGTATTTAAGGGGAAAAAAGAGAAAGTGCTAAAGCACAATGAATTAAATGTCTAGGTATGCAAATTTATACAAATGGAAAGTAGATTCATGGTTACCTACACCTGGGAATATGGAGGGGTTTGGAGAGTGAAAGCCAGTGGGTGTGAAGCTTCACTGCGGGGAGATGAAAATACTCTAAAGTTAAGATTACAGTGATGGCTGCATGAATATGATGGTACAACTCTGTAAAATCATTAAATTTTATAGCTTAAATCAGTGAATTTTATGGCACATAAATTATATCTCAATAAAACTGTTAAACATGGATTTTCTTTGGTTGCAGTGCAAGATGAGGTAGGCCCATCTGGATAGAAATTATGACAGTGCTAAATATTTTCTAGGGGATGTATGATTACATTCCAAGATGATACCCTCAAAAGGTGATTTGCAAGGGGAACTTTTATCATGTACTTTGAAAAAAAATCACAAAAAAATTGACCAGTAAAACATTAAATATATATGTATACATATATAATGCATATATACACAAAGTTCTTAGTATTTTTCTAGGGAAGTATAATGTTAATCATCTCCTTGTTTGTTGAGCCATTAAGCTTTTAATATTCTTCACATGAATTGTAGTTTTGTATTGTAGCTGCTTCACTTCTTCAACAATGACAGCACAGGATGGTATCTGCCATCCTACTATTTCCATGATCACTAGTGCCCTGGAGATTTGATCTTCTTGTGACTCCTGCCATCATGGCCAGAGACAAGGTACTTCACCCACGCTGAGGCTCCAGGTTCCAGCAGTGCACTTGCCGGTCATGAGCAAGTAGATGCACAGATTCCATGTTTGGTTATCTGACGTACACCTTCATCAGCACTCTCAATACGCTCAACGCCATGCTATCCCTAGCATCCTGCCCCACACCACACAAGTCTAGTTCTTTTTTTTTTTTTTTTTTTGTTTTGTTTTTTTTGAGACGGAGTCTCGCTCTGTGGCCCAGGCTGGAGTGCAGTGGCGCGATCTCGGCTCACTGCAAGCTCCGCCTCCCGGGTTCACGCCATTCTCCTGCCTCAGCCTCCTGAGCAGCTGGGACTACAGGCGCCCGCCACCACGCCCGGCTAATTTTTTGTATTTTTAGTAGAGACAGGGTTTCACCAGGTTAGCCAGGATGGTCTCGATCTCCTGACCTCGTGATCCGCCCACCTCGGCCTCCCAAAGTGCTGGGATTACAGGTGTGAGCCACTGTGCCTGGCCAAGTCCAGTTCTTACCTATTATTTCTGCCTGCCTTCGCTCACTGCTACAGCCAGAGTGTTCTGGAGAATGAATTCATGGTGTCTAGCCTGAGCTGCTGTCTCTGTTTCTTGTTCTCGTTGAGATCCCCAACCCCACTCTCTCCTCAGCTATATAAAACCCTCACTGTGCTCTGCAATCCCCGACTTAATTGCCATCTCACCATACCCAAATCTTAGCAGAGGACAAGGTCTTCTAATTCCAAATAAACTAAATAAAAAAAAAAAATAGATAGATGTTAATTCCCTCAACTGGCCTCATTCTAACTTCCCACCAGTTGCAAACTTCTCTACATCCACATTCATCCTCATCAGCCAGTCTCCAGCTTCCCAGAGAGGTGTTCTCCTGTTCAAAGGCAAGCCCCTCCACCTCCCATCCCGCCACCTCCCATCCTTCCACCTCCCATCCCACCACCTCCAATCCCTCCACCTCCAATTCCGCCACCTTCAATCCCGCCACCTCCAATCCCGCCACCTCCAATCTCTCCATCTCCAATCCCTCCATCTCCAATCCCACCACCTCCAAACCCTCCATCTCCAATCCTGCCACCTCTGCTCCTGTAGGACCTTGCTTCAGCATTTCTTTCTTCTGATCTAAAATTAGCCATATGGGGGCCCAACATCACAAGGAAGTGGCATGAACTGGATCCGGGATTGGTAACTCTGTTTCTAATGGTTCCTCTCCTGGGTATTCTTATTGGGCTGCAGTCTTTCACATCTTTAAAAGAATTTCCACAACTCCGCATCCTTCTTTTGAGCTCTGTCTCCACCTTGTCTCAGAGCCACACTTCTCAACGGCAGTGTAAACCCAAGTCTCACCTATTTGATGTCTTATCATCTTTCAACTCACCCCACATTAGCTCTGCCCTCCCCACTCAACTGATGCCACTTTTGCTGGGGTTAGCAATGAATGCCCATGTGCCACCATGCCAGCATGTAGATTTGAGGTTCTGTGTTATCAGCCTTCTGTGTTCCATTCAGTGCAATCAATCTTGTTCTTTTTAAAACAACATTTTAAAAATATTTTTAAACTCACATATAATTGTGCATATTCATGGATACATAATGAGGTTGCAATGCATATAATGTATGGTGATCACATCAGGATAATTGGCATATCCACCATCTAAAACATTTATTATTTCTTTGGGTTGGAATAATTCAATATCCTCCTTCTTGCTGTTTGAAACTATATAATATACTATTGTTGGCTATAGCCATCTTACGGTGCTGTAGAATACTAGAATTTACTCCTCCCATCTATCTATAATTTTGTATTCTTTCACAAATCTCCCCCATCTCCCCTCCCAGCTTCTAGTATCTTCTATTTTACTTTTTTTTAACTTCTATGAGATCAAAGTTTTTAGCTTCAACATATGAGTGAGAACATGCCAGCCTTGTTCTTTACTCTCCCTCTCCCCTTAGTTTTTATGGCACCCCTAAATTTCCCCATCAATTTCTGCTTATTGTTCCCTCGTTGTTCATCTCTACCTAAAATAATCTCTTTCATCACAATTTTAGGGCCTTTCTCTTCTATTTCTATTCCTGTTTATTAATAATCTCATGTACTTTTATGTCAACTATCAACTAAAAGCCGACAACTCTAAAATTTAAAATTTGCAATTAAGACTCTACACCCAATTTAGCCTCACATTGTTGTTCATTGCCTCATGGACACCTCTACACGGGCACACCAGTAACCTTAAGTACAACATGTTCACAGTGGAGCCCTGCCCATGTCTGGTCTTCCACCTCCGGATTTTATCTTCAGCGACACCATCACGTCGCCCAGTCTAAATACTGTGTGCCATCTTTTGTCCCTCCCTCTCTCTCAATCCCCATATCTATCCTTTAAGCCTCTAAATTTTATTGATATCCTAATAAGTTTTCCAATCTGTCTCCTTCTTTCTATCCTCATCGACATTCTCTTATTTGGAGACTTGGTTATTATTCACCTGGATGCGTGAACTGGCTGCCTGACTGTGCCCCGGCACCCTTCTCTCCACTCAACACAATGGCGAGTTTTAATGTATATTAAAACTTTGGTCATGTCTATTAATTAGTTGTGAAAGATAATTTTACGGATAAGATAATGTTTAAACTCCATCTCCAAGCATACAGAATGTTACGTAATTTGAAACCTTGCTAGCTTTTGACCCTCACTCTCGTGCTTCCTATGTTTCTACACACACCATTGTTTCTTGCCTCTGTCATTTGGCTTCTATTGTTTTTTTCACCCTGGACTTTACCCCGTTCATATGGTCATACTCTTGGCACATAAATAGTTTCAACCAATATTTATTGGAAAAGAAAGAGAAATAAAGGGGAAAAAGTAGGATGGAAGAACACCTTTCCCCTTTCTAACTTCTTTTTGTTTCTTTTCAAACCTGGGTAACTCGTGCCTCTCCATACTCAGCTCTAAAATCATCACTTCCTGGAAGCCTTCTTTGATTCCTTCCCCAAGGCCAATAAAATGGCTTCTTTTCTAGTAAAAATTAGTGTCTACAACTCTACATTGCATTTAGCATGTCATACAGTATTGGAATTACACCAGATTGATTGTTTAAAGGCAGGGCAACCATACATTTTCCATCTTTTTTTTCTTTTTTTTTTTTTTTTTTTTGAGACGGAGTCTTGCTCTGTTGCCCAGGCTGGAGTGCAGTGGTGCTATCTCGGCTCACTGCAAGCTCCGCCTCCAGGGTTCATGCCATTCTCCTGCCTCAGTTTCCCAAGTAGCTGAGACTACAGGTGCCCGGCACCACGCCTGGCTAATTTTTTGTATTTTTAGTAGAGACGGGGTTTCACCGTGTTAGCCAGGATGGTGTCGATCTCATGACCTCGTGATCCGCCTGCCTTGGCCTCCCAAAGTGCTGGGATTACAGGCGTGAGCCACCACGCCCAGCCACATTTTCCATCTTAATATCACAAATAGGCTTTACATGTACAGAAACTTGGTGAATGTTTTGAGAATCAATCAATTCTTAAATTTTACAGATAGTACCAAGACAAATGACAAGTGAAAAAGCTGAATAGTAACTTCAGAAACCTGAGATGCTTCCCCAGAGCAGTAGGTTGTTGGGGAGCTTTGCCATCTGACCTCAGGCCATTCCACACTAAAGGACCACAGAAGATAAGAAGATTCTCATCAGATAAGCAAGCATCATTTATACATCTATAAAACCTGTGTTAATTTAAAGATCTTTAAAATTCCAGATGAAGTCTTTTTGAAAATCAAAACAATTGAAGCAGCATAATTTTGAGAACTTAATAGATTCAGGAAATACAATCTGTGACCGTGTTTATTAGTCATGACAGGTTATAGAGATAATAGAATAATACATGCTTCAAAAGGACAAATAGATGCAATATCTTCAGGGCTCAGCATAAGTCATTTAAGATAACATTATAATCATTGATTTTATTTTTATTGCATTTCCATCATCAAAGGAAATTCTTGTGCTTGCCGGATACACAAATTCAATACTTTCTAAGCAATTTCACTCCAAGTTAGCATTAAATAATGTACAGAAAAAAACATTAAAATTGCAGTTGTTTTAAATTATTTACTCCAAGATTTGTGGCATGGTTATTACGCTTTCCCCAATGAGTTAGTATACGAAAAACAGTGTATAAGGCAATAGAATAAAGTATTAGTAAGGGAAATTTCCAACATTCTATTATTTCAGCCATCAGACTAGACAGAACAGAACTGAACTTTGCCATCTTTTAAACATAGTCAGAACTACATGCAAGCAATCTGAACACACCGTGCTTAAAACAGTCAATGCATGTTCTATTAATAGATGATGCTCCCTACTTCAGTGGTGGCTGAATGGCTGTTTTTAGCCTGGTCAATGTTTCTGATGGTACTCTCCTTCCCCAGCCTTGATTCTTTCCTAGCTGTTTTCTGCCTCTCTGTTCTCCACGTGATAGCTATCTACTCAGCTGTCTAGCTTGGGAATTCAATGCCAACGATGCCACCATAGCAAGATAGAAGGAATGAATCGATGTTAAATAAATGCCAACCTTTGAAGCAAGAAAATTTGCTTTGGCAGTTTGCTGAGAATAGCTTGCTCAGAATATGCATTGTCATTTGCTTAGTGTGTAAAAGGGAATTCTCGACCTCATTACATTCTTCTATTTAATTGGTCTTTTAAAGAATATTTTATAGGACAATACAGATCAGGCAGCCATGGGATGTATCTAAATGACAAATCAGTCCACCCTTATGCCAGGCTCTGAGATGAGTCTGTCTCAGAGGCAAAGTCTCATCATCCAGTCCACCTTCTCATCAGGTCTTTCATCTATTATGTCATTGAATGTGCTTTAAACCCCTGACAATTTTAAGAAGGAATTTAACATGCATAAAGGTAAGGCGCAAAGCTTGAAAGACAAAAGACACAGAGTGATAAGCAGGGTCTCTTAAGCAATGTTAAGGAATTAAGACTTTATCCTAAATGTCTAAGACGAATTATCTTCATTTTATGTGACCCAAGAGAAGTTGTTTAAAATGGAATAAAAAACACAGCTAGAGCTTGTTAAAGGGAACCAGTGCTTGTTACTGTTGAACAGTTTAAACTTGAGTACCTACAGCTGGAACTATCAAAAATGTATTTGTTCATTTAAAAAGCATATACACTTATTGTAGGTCTACCATAAGTCACTTATTGCACTAACAGCTAGGACTGCAGCAGTGAACAGCACTGACAGGATCTCCATTCTCATGATTAAATTCAATACACAATCCCAATATATCAATGAATACAATATGAAAAGGAAAGTAAACAGTGTATGACAGCACTTAAAAAGGGAACTTAACCCAACCACGGAGGGAGGAGTGGTCAGAGTGGACTTCCTAGAAAAGGAAGAATAACTGTGTTCACATGTTAGTTTAATCTGCTGAGGGAAAGTCAGGAAGTCCAGCATGCACACAGGATGTGTACCAGGGAAAGGGTGGGTCATTTTAGGAAGGAGTTCAGCACAGATAAAGGGTAGAGTGCAAAAGTTGAAAGACCAAAGACGCAGAGGGGACCACAGGGTCTTGAGCAATTGTAGATGGTCACTATTTTATGTGACCCGAGAGAGGGTGTTTAAAATGGAACATCAAAGAGGTAAGACCTTATCTTAAAAGCAATGAAAAGTGACACAAGGGTTTTGTGGAAGAAAATCCTGTGACATAGTCATGATTTATTAAGATGTCTCCAGATATATGTGGAATATAATTTGAAAAAGAAATGAAATTGTTATTGTAATACAGTTAAGAGAAAGAAGGGCGTGGACTTGAGTAATATTTGTGGAGGCAGAAATAAATAGATGTAATACAGAATGTTTGGGAGGTAACCCTGGCAAGATTTGGTGAAAGATTTGGCATAAGGTAGAAGAATACTGTCCAAGGTTTTGGCTTGAGCATATGACTTAGAGACAGTATTATCATCTTAGATATAGAAGCTAGGTAGTTGAGCAGGAAGAGGAGCTTTTGAGTTGGAGATTGGAGTATCTGCGGGACATACACATGGTAAAATCCCGTAGATAGTGCAAGCTTATGAGAATAATTTGGGTTGAGAAATAAGGGTTTGGAGTCAGTATAGAGATTGCAAGTATACCTGTGGAGTAAGCATAAATGTGTGCAGTGTTGGAAAAAGTTGGTGGGGACACAAAAATAGGGGCAAAGCAGAGGAAGAGATATGTACACAGGAGGTTGGGCAGGTATGGCCAGAAAAGTAAATGAAAGGGGTGATTACTTTTTTCTTTCTCAAGAAGAGAATAGTCAACAGTGTCAAATACAATTAAAAAATCAGGAAAGATGAGTAGAAAGGTGCAGTTAGTAATACCATTATATACTTGTAGTTATTTAGCCAGGTTTTTTCACTTCCTTAGCACATCAATTGTCTTCAGTTTTTCTCTTTATATCCCACCTCTCATCAAAATGATCTACTTTATAAAAATAATAGCGTCTCGATCTTGTCTTCAGACCCAAAGCTACATTCTCTATCCATAACATGTCAATCAATGTCAAACACATTTGCCAGAAACATTCTTCCCTGCTCATAGCCTTGAATTTTTCTAGTTTTAAAAACCGTTTTTCTAGTTTCTGTCTTAGGAAAAAAAATATGAGCTTAGACTAGTGGAAAATATATTTCATTTGAGTTTAAACATAGTTGCCAGTTCAAATGATTTTTAGAATAATTATTTGCACCTATCTTAACAATTTCTCAAGTGGTCAATCAGAACATCAGTGCTATGAAGCAGATAGCCCAAAATAGGGAAAACATTTTTTTAAGGTGTTCATATGTTATCGCTTTGACACAACCCTAAGCAATACAAGTACATGTATTAATGAGAAGGGTCTCTTCTCTGATATTTCACTCTTCTGAAATGTATAAAACATGCATTTTTGTTATCCGTAATGGTCTTTTTAATTATTTTTAACATATAGCCAAGTTTAATCTTTCTATATTTTATAAAATCCCCTAATAAATTGAGAGGAAAAATAAAAATTACAATATTTCAATAGTTCTATCTTGGCTCTAATGAATAATGATGAGGAGTCTTTGGCAAAGACATGAGTTATGAAAATATTTGTATATGAGCAAGAAATGCAGACCATAATACTATATTTCTTTTAGGGAGACAGAATTCCAAATATAAGGCAAGACCATAAATATGTGAATACATTGCAGACTAATGTAAAAATTCTGAACTGTACTTATTCATGGAACAAAACGTTCTCATGAGTTTTTCTTATTAATGTCCCTAGCTGTATCTGCATGTCTAGCTACATGCCTCACATTTGTTATTCAATGATAGGAGATGATGCATGTAACACATACTGCACACAAAGTTTTCCTTTGGTGGCAAAAACCACTTGCCAATTGTGTGATTAATTTTCATTGTGGACATCAATTAGATGCAACAACAAAATGTCTGTTACTGCAACTAAGAAAAGAAAATGTCCCAATGGATCTACTGTCAAAGTAAATTAAATCCTGTTTAAATCTCTACTGTGATTGAATTTTTTGTAAACTTTGTTTCCAAAACTGACAGGAGTAGGGCTGGAGATATAGAAGAACACAGGGGAAATCTGCTTTTCCCTTAAAGGAAGGGGCAATGTCATCTCAGGAGGTTGGGGCAGCACCTCCATGAAGATGGCTTATTTGAGAGAGTGAGGACTAGATCAAAGCGGGATGAAATGTTTGGGTCATTCTAGAGTGTTCTCATTATTCCTTTTAGGCACAAAGAGATGATAAGATGTGATGCAGCCATTTCTGTAACACCAAAATTAGATGATTAATTTAATTAGCATAATATGGTACTGAAAACAAGCTGCTTGACACCCCTCAGTCACTTTTCTGTCTGTCTGTCTCATCCTTCCTGCCTTTTTTTCTTATATATGTGTGCAGAGTGTTTTGCCATAGCAGGATACTTACTTATGTAGCAGGAATATGAAGAAACCTTAGTGAATATGGATGAAGACAATTCAATTATGTGTCTTTATGAAACTATTATATTACAACTTGATATTTATTAAACATGTTTAACATTTTCTACTGAATTTTGCTATGGGTGAGAGATGTTATAAATTTACCAACACCATCTTACTGTATTTTTCTTTCAGGAAAATCCATCAGAGATTTAAAAAATCATAGCCAAGCAAAATGTTCCCTCCCTCCCTTCTTTCCTTCCTTCTTCCTCTCTCTCTCCCTCCTCTCTTTCCTCCCTCCCTCCCTTCTGTTTTGCCTTGTTTTAAATAATAGCATGAGTTAGATATAGATCAAATGTGGCATGGAAGTAGTACTGGTTGGCATAAAATAAATGTTTCAATTGGTTTAATATTCAATTATTCATCATATGATCTCTTGAAAAACAGGAGTGAGTGGGGTGATGTTTCGTATTACCCATATGCTAAGTACCCTGCTCTAGGTACAGTTGTCATGGATACAGCTTGCTGAGCTCCCGCAGACCTTGACTCTCCAGTGTTGACAGGGAGTTGATAGTCTGAAGCCAAATATTAGACAACAGCATGTTGTGCTTGCTGAAAGCCGGGCAAGGTGGGCGCGATGGAACTCCATGTGCCCTTCTGGGTGTGCTCTGATAAGATTAGAAAAAGCCATCGTTGATCCAGTTACTCTTCACTGCCTTTTTGGGGGACAGGAGGAGATGGAAAAAGGGAGGTTAGTGCAGAGAGTGAGCAGATAAAGCCAGTCCAGAAACCTAAATAAGCTGCTGAGTAGAAGCCGAAGTAGGAAGATTATAATCAGGGTAATTTAAGAAAGTAAACACAGTTTATGAAAATCTCAGCTCTGTCAGCCTTAACCATCATAGTTTATATAGACGATAAGCTCCTTGAATTCAGAGACCAGGTTTCATTCATTTCAAAGCATCCCAAATAACCTAGTAACACACTGCACACCCAGTAGGTGATGTGTAATCACTTGCTGAATTAAATGCATACTTTTCTGCCAGTTTCTTTCCATTTCCTTAATCAGAAAATAAATATTCACTGTGCCAAGTGCCTATCGGGAAGAGTGATTTTCAAAGTAGCTGACCCGCAGGGCTCTGACCTCAACCCTCAGGGTGGGCTTTGAGAATGGCAACAGGTCAGAAGCAGGTCCTGGAAGCCTCCTTCTCTCAGAGACTGACCATCACCTAGGGCTGCTGGGGAGGACCCAGGTGAGGGGCCAGGGACCAAGGGAGCTGGTACACAGGGAGTGGAGCACCAGCCTCTTGCCAGTGGGTGCGGACGTGTTGGGGTATTTTCACAGCCGCCCTGCCTGCAGGTCACTGCCTGGAACCTCCCCAGGGCGCATTCACACCATGAACACTCATGCCTTCAGCAAGAAACACCAGCCAGATTCTACCATATTCATACATTTGTCTCCTTGAAAATCTTAAATATCTGGCAAAAGAGGCATGCGGTGAGCAGGATTTTCACTTTCTCAGTTACCTGCATGATCAGTGAGCAGAGCCCTACCCCAGGGCCCAGCATGCAATGAGAAGACTGTGCCATCTCCAGAGGCTGAGTGGTCCCTGGGACTGACAGGGTGAAGTTGTGGAGTCTGGTGGTTGTTATGTTGGACGTGGGACAGTGACTCTATCTCAGAGTCAACCCATCCGCTTCAACTCTTGAGTCCCCTTTTTTTTTTGAAATGGAGTCTTGGTCTCGCACTGTCACCCAGGCTGGAATGCAATGGCAGGATCTTGGCTCACTGCATCCTCTGCCTCCCGGGTTCAAGCGATTCTCCTGCCTCAGCCTCTCGAGTAGCTGGGATTACAGGTGCCCGCCACCACACCCAGCTAATTTTTTGTATTTTTAGTAGAGATGGGGTTTCACTGTGTTGGCCAGGATGGTCTCAAACTCCTGACCTTGTGATCCACCCGCCTTGGCCTCCCCAAGTTTTGGGATTACAGGCATGAGCCACCGCGCCCGGCCCTGAGTCTCCTTAGAAGAAGGGAATGAATTGACACATGGCTTTAGAGAAACCATTCAACATTTCCTTGAAGTAAAGCAATGTCTAGACATTTGTCCTGAGCCTGGGTAATTGTACGGGCTTGGCAAAGACCCTCTCTGTGTGTTGGTGCATGTTTATCAGCACATAAACTTGGTCCTGATAACTGGGTGGAGGGTCATTAGAACTGCATACTACCTCCCTTCCTCCAGAAGAACATTTTGGGAGATTTTCTCTATTGCTGCCTATGGGGAACAGGCTGTAGAAAGCATTTTGGAATTCATGGTATTTCCTTACCTTGTAAATCTTCTTTATATTTTTCAATCACCTCCCTGGTGTTACAGGCTGAATTGTGTCTCCCGAAATTCACATGTTGAAGGATGTCAAATATGACTATATTGGAGATAGGGCCTTTAAGGGGGTAATTAAAATAAGATGGGGTCTTTAGGGTGGGGCCCTAATCCAATCTGATGGGTGTCCTTATAAGAAGTGGAGGTGAGGACCCCCACACACAGAGGACACAGAAAGAAGACAGCTGTCCACACACAAGGACAGAAGTCTCCAGAGAAACACCAGTACCTGGGACTTCCAGGCTTCAGAACAGTGGCAGAATACACTCCTGTGGTCCAAGCCCGCTGGTCTGTGGTACTTCCTTATGACAGCCCCAGCTGACTAATGTACTCTTAAGTTACCAAGCTTAGTCCCATAAAAGTGCACCAAACTGAGTAAAAGGGCCAAATTGTCTAAACCCCACTTTCTTAACATTGGCCTCTGTGCAAATTTCACTTCTGATCCACACCTTTGGTTGTTTCTGCCATTGTCTCTGTGGCTGTGGCCTCTGGTCCCCCACCCCTGCGGTCCTAGCCTTGCCTGCATTGGTGACGCCTCAGCTTTAGGATCTGGCTGGCAGTCTCCCTTTCTCCGGCCCTCCACAGCCTGTTCCACCTGTCCATCAGCCCCTGACCTCTCCCAAGCGGGTCTCAGGCACCTCCTTCTTAAGTCTCGTTGATACTCTACAGCTTGAGTATCTCTTAGCCAAAATGTGTGGGACTGGAAGTGTGTATGATTTTGGATTTTTTTTGGATTGTGGGACAGCTGCATATACAGAAGGAGATACTTTAGGGATGGGACTCAAATCTAAATACCAAATTCATTTGTTTCATATACACCTTATCCACATAGCCTGAAGGCAATTTTATACAATATTTTTAATAATTTTGTGCCTGAAACAAGCTTTGTGGACCTGGAGCCATCATAAAAACACATCACAACTGGCGGTTCATTTTCCCCTTGGGGGCGCTAGATAAACTCTGTTGTGCAACCCGTCACCTGAGGTCAGGGGTGCAATTCTCCACCTGTGATGTCATGTTCACACTCAGAAAGTCTGGGATTTTTGCAGGACTTTGGATTTCAGATTTGGGGTTTAGGGATGCTCAACCTGCACCTCCTTCCTCTTGAACTCTTCTCGCTCCAGGTTCTCCTCTTAGAAACATGGACCACAAGTTCTTAGCCCACACCTTGTAGGAGTGGGAAGGCTGGAGAAGAGCTGTTGACCTCCTTGTTTCTGGAGATTAACAGCAAGAAGCTATGTGTGTGGGGATTGGGGAGGAATTTTACTTTCCACTTCATTTTCTATCTTCCTTGCTTAAAAAATAATATTCTTGATAGTAAAACTAGAAAGTTTGCCAATGTAAAAATGTGTAGAGACAAGTGCGTGACTTGTGAAGCTTTGATCAAATGTCTTACAGAAACTGGCAGATCTCTGCAGAGCACGCTGACGATGCTGAATGTGAGGATGATGGGAGTTTCATTTTATTCTCAGTGCCTCTTGTCAGGTGATGAGGGAGGAGAATAAGGTTGGGAGGAAAAGACCTGGAGATTGGGAAGTGAGACCCATTCTGCCACTAGCATTACCTCATTGCAAGAGGTTCTTTTAAAAATCACTGTTTTTAAAGACACAGACATAATTTAGAAGCCTAAATAAACATCGGAGGTGCAGAGATTGACATGCTTGGGAAATTCAGGTGAGGGCAGTTTGTCACAGTGCAAACCCGTCAGTGCCTTGCCAGGCAGAGCAGGTGCTAACTTCCTTTAACGAGGCACTATTTATAAGCCTGCACTTGGAAGGAAAGCCCGACCTGGATGAGAGGAAACAGGGAAACAGACAAATGCTGTTCTGTCAAAAATCAAGTACTAACCTATTTTGAACAGGACAGCCACAGAAGAGATCTGGAGTTAAATGACTATCTGCTCAGATTATGGAATTAGTTAAAACTCCCAACCAAGCTAGAAAAAAACTAAATCAAAATGTTTTCCACATTTTGTAGAGCTGCAAGTTGAACGAGGAAGAATGAAGGCAGGTGCTAAAAAGATTGACAGGTGGAGAGCATTTGCTCGGTGGAGGTAGGAAATGGATTTATTTACCTGACCCTTCAAACCAATAGTTCCTAACTGCTGGTGTCGTTAAAAGAGGGAAAGGGAAAGCAGTCAGAAAGGCAAGAATCAAAGAAGTGGAAAAGTAAAGACAAAATAAATTAAAAATCGTGTGTACTTTTCTGTTCACTGGAGATAAAAATCCTGTTAAAGTTAGAAATAGTAATCTTGTGACAAATATATGTGAAAAGCTCTCAATATTAACCACTTGTTATATCACACTTGATTGTTTTTTTAGTTAGAATAGATGCTATTCCCATGTTTTGAAAAAAAATTAAAAATTTGCCACCACATTTCTCTTACTCAAAAGATGAAAAAAGCAGATGAAGCCAGGAAGTAAAGATAAAAAATTGATATGAAAAGCACCTTCATTTAAAAAATTCCATTTAGAGCTTTCTTTCCCTCAGAGATGTTATATTTTAATCTTCATGGGAATGAGCATTAAAAAGCTGGGTGTTTCCCTTTATGATTTGGTTGCCTGGGAGCTCAGAGCCAAACTTAACGATTCTATTAGAACAACTGTCATTTATTTATTCCTGATTGTACATTCATGTTTTATAGGCTTTAAACACTTTTGCTGGTCCAGGGTTTTCCTTTTTTATAATGTTTTTTTATTATGCAAGACATACACACGCTGTTGTTGCAGAACACAGTAGAAATCAACAAATACTAATCACCCATAAATCTGTATGTCCTACCAACCAAAGGCAACCATCAAAAATGCACTGGCTTTCATGTCCTCTGGATGTGTATGTGTGCATGTATGTACGCGTCCAGGAACACATAAATGAGATAATGCTGGATGTACCAATGTGTATTCTTCGTTTCATTTTATTGTAAACATTAATTGATGTTAATAAATAATCATGTATGGAACTTTAATGGCTCTTTTAGCATTCTGTTATATGGAAATACTGTGTTTTATTTAACATGTTTTTGGCATTTTATATGTTATAAACAATGCTTAAACATATCCTTTGAAAAAATTTCAATAGCTTTAGGGCTACAAGTGGTTTTGGGTTACGTGGATGAATTGTATAGTGATGAAATCTGAGATTTTAATGTACCCATCACCTGATAGTGTACATTGTACCCAACCACTTCTGAGGCTCAAATATCCATGATACTACCCTGTATGACTTTGCATACCCATAGCTTAGCTCCCACTTACAAGCGAGAACATGTGGTATTTGGTTTTCCATTCCTGAGTTGTTTCACTTAGAATAGTGGCTTCCAGTTCCATACAAGTTGCTGCAAAAGACATTATTACATTTTTGTATGGATGAGTAGTATTCCATAGTAGAAATATATCCCATACTTTCTTTATTCACTCATCAGTTGAGGGGCACTTAGGTTGGTTCCATATCTTTTTAGTTGTGAATTGTGTGCCATAAATATATATGTGCAGGTGTCTTTTTAATGTAATGACTTATTTTCCTTTGGGTAGATACCCAGTAGGGGATTGCTCGACCAAATGTTAGATCTACTTTTAGTTCTCTGAGACATCTCCATGCTGTTTATCATAGTGGTTGTACTAATTTACATTCCTTCCAGCAGTGTATAAGTGTTCCCTTTTCACCACATCCATGCCAGCATCTATTGTTTTTCGACTTTTTAATAATGGCAATTCTGGCTAGGGTAAGGTGGCATCTCATTGTGGTTTTAATTTGCATTTCTCTGATGAATACTAGTGTTAAGCATGTCTATGCATGTGATTTGTCCACTTTTTGATGAGATTATTTGTTTTTCCTTGCTGATTTGTTTGAGTTCCTTGTCGATTCTGGATATTAGTTATTTGTGGGATGCATAGTTTGCAAATATTTTCTCTCATTCTGTGGGTTGTCTGTTTACTCTGATGATTATTTCTTTTACTGTGCAGAAGCTTTTTAGTTTAACTAGGTCCCACTTATTTCTTTTTGTTGCATTTGCTTTTGGGGTCTTAGTCATGAATTATTTGCCTAGGCCAATGTCCAGAAGAGTTTGTCCTAGGTTTTCTTCTATAATTTTTATGGTTTTGGTTTTAGATTTAAGTCTTCAATCCATCTTGAGTTGGTTTTCTTAATATGGTAAGAGATAAGAACTCAGTTTCATTCTTCTACAGTGGCTATCCAGGTTTCCTGGCACCATTTATTGAATATGGTGCCCTTTCCCCAGTTTATGCTTTTGTATGCTTTGTCAAAGATCTGTTGGTTGTGTTTGGATTTATTTCTGGGTCGTCTATTCTGTTCCAAAAGTCTATGTATCTATTTTCATACCAGTACCATGCTGTTTAGGTTATTATAGCCTTGTCATATAATTTGAAGTAGGGTAATGTGATGCTTCCGGATTCGTTCTTTTGCTTAGGATTGCTTTGGATATTTGGGCTCTATTTTGGTTCCATATGAATTTTAACATTGTTTTTTCTAATTCTGTGAAAAAATGATGTTGGTATTTAGATAAGAATTGCATTGAATCTGTAGATTGCTTTGGGCAGTATAGTCCCAATACTGATATTTTCATGATATTGATTCTTCCAATCCATGAGCATGGGATGTATTTCCATTAGTTTGTGTCATGTATATTTCTTTCAGCAGTGTTTTATAGTTTTTCTTATAGAGATCTTTCATCCCCTTGATTAAATATATTCCTAGGTATTTTATTTTATTTTTACAGCTATTGTAAAAGGAACTGAGTTCTTAATTTGATTTTCAACTTGGCCGTTGTTGGTGTATAGCAGTGCTGCTAATGTGTGTACATTGATTTTGTAACCTGAGACTTTACTGAATTTTTAAATTAAATCTAGGAGTCTTTTGGAGGAGTCTTTAGGGTTTTCTAGGTATAAGATTATATCATTAACAAACAGAGATAGTTTGACTTCCTCTTTTCCAATTTGAATGCCCTTGATTTACTTCTCTATCTTGATTGCTTTGACTAGGACTTCCTCTTCTTGTTAAATCTTTGCAGCTGTTTTTGTTTGTGTGTTTGTTTTGTTTTTTGAGACAGAGTCTTGCTCTGTTGCCAGGTTGGAGTACAGTGGCAAAATCTTGGCTCAATGCCACCTCTGCCTCCTGGGTTCAAGCAATTCTCCTGCCTCAGCCTCCCGAGTAGCTGGGGCTACAGGCACACGGCATGATGCCCAGCTAATTTTTGCATTTTTAGTAGAGACGGGGTTTCACCTTGTTGGCCAGGATGGTCTCGATCTCTTGACCTCATGATCCACCTGCCTTGGCCTCCCAAACTGCTGGGATTACAGGCGTGAGCCACCGTGCCCGGCTTGCAGCTATTCTTATAAATACATTTCTCAGAGATGGGGTCTTGCTCTATCACCCAGGCTGGAGTGTAATGGTGTAATTGTAGCTCACTGCAGCCTTGAACTCCTGGCCTCAAGCAATCCTTCAGCCTCAGCCTCCCAAGTAACTGGCACTGCAAGTGCTCACCACCATGCCCAGTCAATTATTGTGTCTTTTGTAGAGCATCTTGCTGTGCTTCCCAGCCTGGTCTCAAACTCCTGGCTTCAAGAGATCCTCCCTCCTCAGCAGCTCCCAAAGTCCTGAGATTACAGGCATGAGCTGCTGTGCCCGGCCAGTTTACAATAAATTTCTGAGAATGAAACTGCTGGGTCAAAGCACAAGCAATTTTTTTGTTCTTTCAAAACTGAATGGCCAATGTTTATCTGTTATTCAGGCTGCTGGCATCAGTTTATAGTCTCATACCAGGCAAATATATTTTTTTAAAAGTTCGCTTATCTTTACTTCCCAAAAATATTATCTTTTTTACCAATTTGAAAGCTCAAAAATCATATTCTTTCCAATGTCTGCCATGACTATTCTATTAACGCATTTTCAGGCTGCTCATAAAGACATACCTGAGACTGGGAAGAAAAGATGTTTAATGGACTTACAGTTCCACATGGCTGGGGATACCTCACAATCATGATGGCAGGCAAGGAGGAGCACATCACATCTTACATGGATGGCGGCAGGCAAAAAGAAGAGAGTTTGTGTAGAGGAATTACTCTTGTTAAAGCCATCAGATCTTGTGAAACTTATTCACTATTGTGAGAACAGCATGAGAAAGACCCACCCCCATGATTCAATTACCTCCCACTTGGTCCCTCCCATGACACATGGGAATTGTGGGAGTTACAATTCAAGATGAGATTTGGGTGAGGACACAGCCAAACCATATCATTCCACCCCGGCCACTCCCAAATCTCATGTCTTCACATTTCAAAACCAATCATCCCTTTCCCAACCGTCCCCCAAAGTCTTAACTCATTTAAGCATTAAATTTAAAGTCCACAGTCCAAAGACTCATCCAAGACAAGGCAAGTCCCTTCCACCTATCAGCCTGTAAAATCAAAAGCAGGTTAGTTACTTCCTAGATACAGTGTGGGTACAGGCATTGGGTAAATACAGCCACTCCAAATGGGAGAAATTGTCCAAAACAAAGGGTCTACAGGCCCCATGCAAGTCTGAAATCCAGCAGGGCATTCAAATCTTAAAGCTCCAAAATGATCTCCTTCGACTCCATGTCTCACATTCAGGTCATGCTGATGCAAAAGGTGGGTTCTTATGGTCTTGGGCAGCTCTGCCCCATCCAGGTGCACAGAGCAAGAAGTCAGTGGATCTACCATCCTATGGTCTGGAGGACAGTGGCTCTCTTCTCACAGGTCCACTAGGCAGTGCCCCAGTAGGGACTCTGTGTGAGGGCTCTGACCCCACATTTCCCTTCCACACAGTCCTAGCAGAGGTTCTCCATGAGGGCCCTGCCCCTTCAGCAAACTTTTCCTGGGCATCCAGGCATTTCCACACATCTTCTGAAATTGAGGCAGAGGTTTCCAAACCTCAATTCTTGACTTCTGTGCACCTGCAGGCTCAACACCACATGGAAGCTGCCAAGGCTTGGGGCTTCCACCCTCTGAAGCAACAGCCCAAGCTGTATGTTGGCCCCTTTTAGTCATGGATGGAGGAGCTGGGATGCAAGGCACCAAGTCCCTAGACTGCACACAGCAAAGGGACCCTAGGCCAGGCCCACGAAACCATTTTGTCCTCCTAAACCTCTGGGCTTGTGATGGTAGAGGCTACCACAAAGGTCTCTGACATGCCCTGGAGACATCTTCCTCATTGTCTTGTTGATTAACATTCAGCTCCTCATCACTTATGCAAATTTATGCTTGAATTTCTTTTCAGAAAATGAGGTTTTCTATTCTATCACACTGTCAGGCTGCAAATTTTCCAAACTTTTATTCTCTCTTTCACTTTTAAAACTGAATGCCTTTAACAGCACCCAAGTCACCTCTTGAATGCTTTTCTGCTTAGATATTTCTTCCACCAGATACCCTAAACCATCTCTCTCAAGTTTAAAGTTATACAAATCTCTAGGGCAGGGTCAAAATGCTGTCAGTCTCTTTGCTAAAACATAACAAGAGTCACCTTTGCTCTAGTTCCCAATAAGTTCCTCATCTCCATCTGAGACCACCTCAGCCTGGATTTCATTGTCCATATCATTATTAGCATTTTGGTCAAAGTCATTCAAACAAGTCTCTAGGGAGTTCCAAACTTTCCCACATTTTTCTATCTTCTTCTGAGTCCTCCAAACTGTTCCAACCTCTGCCTTTTACCCAGTTCCAAAGTCGCTTCCAGATTTTTAGGTGTCTTTTTAGCAACACCCCATGCCCTGTACCAATTTACTGTATTAGTCTGTTTTCATGCTGCTCATAAACTCATCCCCAAGACTGGGAAGAAAAAGAGGTTTAATGGACTTATGGTTCTACATGGCTGGGGACACCTCACAATCATGGTAGCAGGCAAGGAAGAACAAGTCATATCTCACATGGATGGCAGCAGGCGAAAAAAAGGAGAGTTTGTGCAGAGGAGCTCCCCTTTTTAAAACCATAATAAGTCTCACATGATTTATTTACTACTGTGAGAACAGCATGAAAAAGACCCATCTCCATGATTCAATTACCTCCCACTGGATCCCTCCCATGACACATGGGAATTGTGGGAGTCACAATTCAAAATGAGATTTGCATGGGGACACAGCCAAACCATATCAGCATTGAAGGTGGAAAGCCAGGAGATAGTTTTCTGACCTCACCATCCCCTATTAGAATGCAAGGCCTTGAGGGCACGTCCTGCATCTGGCCTTTCATTCACAACCCTTCCCCAGCCAGTGTCTCCTGATGATGCCCTGTCTAAAACTCTGTAGCACTGTGAGCTGTGTTTACTTCTGAGACCTTGAACTTCACCATGCCTCACCTGAGGCATTGAGTTTTCAGTACATAAAAATTATTCAGCAGCTCATTTCAGCCCCATTTCCTTTAGCCACTGAACCCATCCCACATCCCTCTTCAGTCACTCTCTTACCATTGGGTCGCCTTTAGGTGTAATAACATGATTCTAATTCACAGTCCGCCAGACTTGAAAGCAAGCTAAACATTCTGGGATAATAAGGCACTACTTGCAATTCTAAGCAGAGAAAGGTCTCAACAAGAATGTGTAACTGTTTTTGTCTTTTTCTTTTGGCTTATAGAATTGAATGACAGAAAGACCTTCTCTGCTTTAAAGTTGCAATATATTTTGGTACGTTTTCCATCAACTGTTTTATGGTGTAACTTTCTTTAGGTCCTTGGATTAATTTGAAATGTATCCTGAGGTATGATATCTTCCTTTTGGCTGCCTGATTATCCTGATTATAGACATGGATATAGAGAGGCTCTTAGTTAGGATTGGGACAGAATTCCCTACCAACTCAAGTGGGTTGGGATGAGTCAGTTCTTGGAATTAGAAAAGAACAAAGCATATTGTTTGTTGCACCTGAAAGTCACAGGGCAAATTTATTTCCTCTATAGGTACTCTCATTCTGCACCCCTCCCATTAATTTTGCTTGTATTTAGACTAGTAATTCTCCAGTTTGGCCTGCATATTGGATTCATATGGGAAACTTGGAAAAATTACTGATATCTGGGTCTCACTTTCTCTGACCAACTCCCCCACCATTCCACCCACATCCTGATTCATTCCTCTAGAGTGTGACTTGAACATTTGAAGTTTTAAAATATTCCGGGTGAATATAATGTGCAGCCAAAGTGGAGAAACAGATTTGCAGCAATGTTTCAAGTGCATTAATGCTCTCATGAATTGCAAGGAGCTTCTTTTAAAATCCAGATCTTGATTCACAAGGTCTGAGTCTGAGAGTCTACATCTTGAGTGAGCTCTGAGGTAGTATCAATGTTGGTCTTTTTTTTTTCTGACACTTTCCGTAGATCCAAGACCTCTTTCAACTCCATTGCCAATCTGAAATTGACCCCAAAACTCATATCGATGGATGACAAGTTTGTTTTTTAGTATTATTTATTTAAATATTGTTCTTATTCCATATTTTCTATTTTTGTTTTGTTTTGTTTTGTTTTGTTTTTATACAGACGGGGTTTCACTATGATACCCAGACTGGTCTTGAACTCCTCTACTCAAGCAATCCTCCCGCCTCAGCCAACCAAAGTGCTGGGATTGAAGGTGTGAGCCACTGCCCTCAGCCTCTTGCCTTTTTCTTGAGTGCACCTATTTTCGTACTCACTTAGCCCTGTGTCATTTATTGGCACCACATTAAAAATAAGATGCCATCAACTTCGCACTGTGCAAGATTTAATCCTGAAGCACTTGGCCTGATTTTGACTACCGAAGATTCTTTCAGCAGTTCATGATCCCAATATTTATTCTCCCATTTTTAAACCTGCTTTATTTCAGTTTTCAAACTCATGGCACAGTTCTCCCTGTCTCCTGTCTGCCATCTATAACCACCTCTATTTTTTAACCGCATGTTCCTAGGTCTTTTCTGTCACAGGTCTCATTGGGCACTGTTCTGGTAAGGCTAATCTGGGTCCCCCAGCAGGACCTGAACAATGAGGAGGCAAAGATGAACCCCACATGGAGCTGTCACTTAAGGATCCTAAAGGTAATGGTGAACATAACACTGTTGACCAAGAGTGTGTTCTATTGTTAAACATCAATCATCTGTTCTCTGCATTACTGGTGATTCCTACAGACCACAGTCACTAAGGAATTCTTTCTCCCTGGTCTCAGGAATGGTGCTGATCTTCAGCATACTAAAGACACAGTCTGAGTTGATTGTCACCCAAAAACTTGATGTAAGAGTTTCCTGGAAAGCATGCTTGAACTTCACGAGAAGAAGGCATCCATTCTTCTGGCCACAAGCAAGTAAAGGAAGTTAAGACAAAGGATCCATCTCTTGAGAACTTTTAAGATTTAGTAAACCTGCACATTATCCTCCTATTAGCAAATTTTATTCTAATCTGATCCTTTAATGTTATATTCATTATAAAATTGACAAGAATCTAATGATTTGTGTACTGGTTTGAGGGGCCACAGAGAGAGAAAAAAGTGGAGAAACATCCTTCCTAATAAATTTCATGGTACTTTCCTACTCCAGCTCATGATTGAGGACCAGAAAAACAGTCAGAGCAGGGAGGAAAGGTACTGTACTTTTCAGTTTCTTTCATTTGATTAATGGGCCTGAAATAAACACAACAGGTAAGGAAAACGTACAGTACATCAAATGATGAAGCAAAATACGAAGATAAACACATCAGGAAAGGGAAATAGGAAATGTCTGCAAGAGATAAGGTTTAAGTAAGAAAGTTCAAGAAGACCTCCCTGAAAAGATATAATCTGAACAAAGACAAAAATTGGCAGACAACCAGCCATGTAAATACTAGGGTATTAAACAAGAAGAAGCCCCAAAGCAGAAGATGCCCATCACACCATGATGAGACAAGGTTTAGGTCCATCATAGCACACACAGACAAGACAGATGCCCATTACACCACTCCAAGACAGGGCAGATACCCGTCACACCACACCCACACTTCACAGATGCCCATCACACAACATCCAGAAAAGCAGATGCCCCATCACACCACACTCAGACAAGGTAGATGCTCATCACACCACACCCAGACAGGGCAGATGCCCATCACACCACACCCAGATAAGGCAAATGCCCATCACACCACACTGAGACAGGGAGACCCCAACTGTCACCAATGCAATGGTTTCTTGGCTTCGTTTCAGTGTTCTCCTGTAAAAGCTCACTGCCCCAGCTGTGCTCATGCCATTGGGTGGAGTGCTTGGTGCCTCTTCTTGTCTGAGTGCTGCTTGACTCATGAATTGTTTCTTGCTGTGTTAAATGTAGTTTGTCTGAAGTTCTTCTTTTACTTGGGGATGATATTTCTAGGCACCAGGAGCAGCAGGTGCAATGGTCCTGAGGTGAAGGTGCCTTTGTATTCTGGTCATGTTTGGAAGACAATGTGACTTGGACTGTGAGAGTGGGTAGGGAAGACAGGAGGTGAGATAAGGGAGGTAAAGAGAGGATCAGTCCTGCAGGTCCTTAGAAGCCCTGTATGGAATGTTGACCCAGAGTCAGACAGGAAGCAATTGGAGGGTTTTGAACAGTAAAATGACATAATTGGCCTTATTTGTTAACAGGATCATGCTGGCTTCATGTTGAGAATCACTTGTAGGGAGCCATGGAAAACCACAAGACGACCTGGTAGGAGAATGCAACATAATCAGGGTGGGAGACAGGGGTCCTTAGGGGTGGCAGTGGATGTGGTGCAGTGATCAGATGCTGATATATTTGTAGGGTATCCAAGAAGATTTTCTCATGAACTGGAGGTGGGTGTGATACAAAGTAACAAATTAAGAATGCATCTCAGGTTGTTTCCCTAAGCAACTTCCTCTAACTGAGAAGTTTGGTTGGAGTGAGTTTTTGGAAGAAGAGCATGTTGACATGTGTATTTAGCATCCATGTGTAGATGTTGCATTGACTGCTGTATCTGCAAGACTGAAATTCAGGGGAGAGGTCTCAGCTGAAGGTGAGGGTGAGGGGTGATCAACAGGGAATAGGTGCAAGCTAAAGCCGTGAAACCAGATGAGAGCATCAAAAGAGACCCAGAAGATAAGAGATCCATGTACTAAGCCTGGAAGCATTTCAACTTTAAGAGAATGGGTTGATGAGTAGGAACCAGCAAAGGAGAAAAACGAGGCATGTGTGTTATCCTCAAAGCCAAGTTGAAAGAAATGCATCTCTATGAGGAAACAGCCATCATTAGGATCGATAGACCTTACTGATAGGCTGAGTAAGACGGGGACTCAAATTCGATCTTGGATTTGGCAATATAGAAGGCAAATTGATCTTTGGGACAGTAGCCAAGATTGAGAAGTCTAATGTCCAAAGACGGGTGTGGATGCTTCTTAGAGAGATGTAAACTGTGAAGTTTGGGCTTAAAGGGTTGTGATGGTTAATACTGAGTGTCAACTTGACTGGATTGAAGGATGCAAAATAATGTTCCTAGATGTGTCTGTGAGGGTGTTGCCAAAGGAGAGTAACATTTGAGTCAGTGGGCTGGGAAAGGCAGACCCAGCCTCAATCTGGGTGGGCAAAATCTAATCAACTGCCAGTGTGGCCAGAAAAAAAACAGGCAGAAGAACGTGGAAAGACTAGACTGGTTTAGTTTTCTGGCCTACGTGTTTCTCCCATGCTGGATGCTTCCTGCCCTGAAACATCGGACTCCAAGTTCTTCAGCTTTGCGACTTGGACTGGCTTCCTTGCTCCTTGGCTTGCAGACAGCCTATTGTAGAACCTCACCTATTGTAGAACCTCATTGCGTGAGTCGATACTCCTTAATAAACTCCCCTTTATGTATACATCTATCCTATTAGTTCTGTCCCTCTAGAGAACCCTGACTAATACAAGGGTTCTTTATGATGCTGTAAAACCTCGCTTCTCAAAGTGTGGTCCACAGACGAGCAGCACTGGCATCACCTGGGAGCCTATTGAAAATGCAGAATCCCAGACCCCAGCCCAGGCCTAGCACATGAGAGTCTGCAATCATCACAAGACCCCTGGCTGACTCACATGCATGTTCCACTATGAGACACACTGCGCTGCTTTCAAACACCTGGACCCGGGCTCCTAACACTCGTCATGCACGCCTGCCAGTGGCACCTGAACCTTGTGCCAGCCCTCCTGCCACTGTGCTTCTCCTGCCACGGCCTCTGCTATGACCACCATTGAGTACACAGGGAGCAGAAAGCCAGGGCTGGGTGCCCGAGTCAGGAGGGACTGAAGTTCAACTGCCATGCTTGGGAGTAAGCAATTGTCATGCTTGGCAGTGAGCATTCTTAGGTTTTTAGCAAAGAAGATGAAATGTGTCTTTTTTGTTTTCTATTATGTTTATGATCTCTCCAGACCTGAGCATCAGTGGGTCTGTCTCAGCTTACGGTGTTCGCTACAGCTTTCCTACTTTTGTGGAACTCCGACTAGCAGTCAATCCCTCTTCACCAGGGAAAGAGGCCCACATGCACTCACCCTGCACTACCGGATTCCTGACTTCTCTTACCCGCATTGAGGTATGTCGTCTGCCTGGTTCTTCCCTCTTGGAAGATACCTGTGCGCTTGTAGGGTGTTCATCTGATTTATTCTATGGAATGTTAGTCATGCACAGTCCTTTAAAGGGTTCTGTAATAAAATGCATTTGAGAAACTCTTAAGGAGTTTTTTGCCTCCCCCCCTTTTTCTTTTTTTTTTTTTTTTGAGATGGAGTCTCGCTCTGTCGCCCAGCCTGGAGTGCAGTGGTGCAATCTCGGCTCACTGCAAGCTCTGACTCCTGAGTTCACGCCATTCTCCTGCCTCAGCCTCCCGAATAGCTGGGACTACAGGCGCCCACCACCACGCCCGGATAATTTTTTGTATTTTTAGTAGAGACGCAGTTTCACTGTATTAGCCAGGATGGTCTCGATCTCTTGACCTCTTGATCTGCCCGCCTCAGCCTCCCAAAGTTCTGGGATTACAGGTGTAAGCCACCGCACCCTGCCACCTCCTCTTAAAAAGTCAATAACACACATTGAAAGGCCCTAAGATGATCTCTACTTAGAAAGAATGTAATGACACACAGAATCCTCCTCCTGCCTCTTGCGGTGCCTCGTGCTGATCAGAGCCTTCAGATCCTGTGTGATTGAATGTTCTGTGGACACTCCTTGGGAACTAATGAACTAGTAAGAAATCCACCCTTCGCAGAATTCCTGCCTCGACCTTATTATTGTTTGTATGATGAAGCAAGGCAAGGAAGAGCAGCCAAGTAACTCAAAATGAGAACTGTATGTCTGTATCTTACAACTCATGACATTAACTGTTTCACAGTTGAGGTGAAGACCCATTCTTTTATTAGAGCTATTAGCACTTAAAAGGTTTTTCTGAATTTGCTACTTTACTGTGGGTAGAAAATACATGTGGTGTGAAAATCAAAGCAGACATTCTAAATTGAAACTAATTTAGACCTGTTTTTAAAATTTAAATAAAACTTTACAGTGCTATGTGTAGGAAAGCCCTTTTTTGCTATAGTAATGATGTATGTGTATACTTTAATAAAGTTTTGAGAATATTATATGACAATTAAAATTTTTGAATGTAAATATATATTTGCATGAAATAGAATGATAATATATGTTAAAGTGAAGAACAGGGATATCTATTTTACTAAAAGATGATGTTTATTACATTCAAAATATCATCCAAAAGGCCTTCATTTTTACTTATACATAAATCTGGAATTTAAAGATTAAAAAAACAGCAACAATGAAATCTGTAATAAGATACATTTTTCTTTTTTATTTCTCTTTTCCCATCATACCCTTTGGTCTAGATTAATCTTTCCATTACTTTTAATTTGAATTGTTCCCACTTCTTTACCTAAGTAGAATTTAAAAACCTGTTTCCTATAGAATATTTCACAAGTCCAATATTGTTTTCTCTCTGTCACATCTTTGTGAATGGAAATATTCAGGATTTCCATTCAAATTTGGGGGAGCTTGATAGAGCCAGATTTTTGAGATTGAATGGCTTAGCTCTATTTAGCAATTACGTATATTTGAAATAATTCAGAAGACAATATCTTATAGTAAATATTCTTTTCCTTAAGTTTCTCTGTTAGTATCTGGTGGTTTTTTTTTTTTTTTGTGTGTGTGTGTGTGTGTGTGATAGAGTCTCACACTTGTCACCCAGGCTGGAGTGGAATGGTGTGATCTCAGCTCACTGTAACCTCTGCCTCCTGGGTTCAATGCTTTTCTTGCCTCAGCCTCCCAAGTAGCTGGGATTACAGATTTTGGTATATTTAGTAGAGACAGGGTTTCACTATATTGGCCAGGCTAATCTCAAACTCCTGACCTCAGGTGATCTGCCTGCCTCAGCCTCCCAAAGTGCTGGGATTACAGGCGTGAGCCACCGCACGTGGCCTGTTAGTATCTTTTAGTTAATATCACGCTCTAAATTATTTTAGCTTTCAAAGGATTGTCAGGAAAATGAAAATGCTGCCAAAATCACACTGCAAACAAGTTCACCTGTTCAATGGTAATATTTTATGCCAGAACACAGAGACATATAGTAAGATTTTCTAGTAAGAAAATGTGACCTCATAGCAATTTGTAGCCTGTACACTTGAAAGTCTTGTCAACTGACTCTCAGGCGTACAGGCTACAAATTTCCATGAACATGTGAGAGCTCAGAAAATATTGTCCCAGGAGCCCTTCCTGCAGAATCTATTAGAGAATGAGTTTAGAGACAACTACAATTACTGCAGAGACATTTATTGAAACGAACCAGTAACTGGTATCCTCAGCATGGAGACAGAGGAGAAATATATTGATAGAAGAAGTTATCTAAAAACCCTCTAGTCACAAATTTGATTTGGGAATGTCAGTTGAAACTCATGGTGTCTTTGATCATTTAAAAAAGAATAGATTTCCTAGCCCTGTCCGCAAAAACAAAACAAAACAAAAATACCAAGAAACGATGGTTCCTTAGTGGTTATGTGAACTCCTGGTGTCCAGGTGTTGTTCTTCCCCATACTCTACCACAGGTCCCAGAAAGTTAAAGGATTGTGTGTGTGTGTGTGCTTTTTTGTTTCTTTGTTTGTTGTTGTTTTTTGAGATGTAGTCTCACTCTGTCGCCAGGGTGGAGTGCAGTGGCGTGATCTCGGCTCACTGCAACCTCTGCCTCCCAGGTTCAAGAGATTCTCCTGCCTCAGCCTCCTGAGTAGCTGGGATTACAGGTGTGTGCCACGACACTCAGCTAATTTTTGTATTTTTAGTAGAGATGGGGTTTCACCATGTTGGCCAGGATGGTCTCAATCTCTTGACCTGGTGATCCGCCTGCCTTGGCCTCCCAAAACGCTGGGATTACAGGCATGAGCCACCGCACTCAGCCAGGATTGTGTTCTTTAACAACCACTTCCTGGTAAAAAGAACCAGAACTGTGAAGAAATGTCAGATTTTAGGAACTGTACAAGATGGGCCCAGAACAGTCTTGTTATTCCAACAAAAGAGAGTCATCATTTTTTTAAAAAAATCAAGAGCCTATTTAAAGAAGCTTTCACTGGCTAAAAATGCGACTATCTGAGAATCAACAAGAATAATAACTGTAATGGATTGAAACACATCAGATATGTTTAGATCCCTGAGTTCACAATGATGCTAACATAAGAAATGTTTGATCAGTAAATATTATAGGATGCTATTGAAAACTGGTAAATCAAGAGGAAGATCAGCACCTATCAAGACTTCCTGTACAAACTGCTACAAAAAGCAAACATATTTCAGAGAACTGTTTCTTTACAGTAATATATTGGTTAATAAAGGAAGAAGGAATTACATAACTAGAATATCACCACTTTGCAACTCTGAAAGAACTAGTTAATCTAGGCATTAATCACCAATGGCTACCAAAAATCACAATAAGGACAACAACTAGACATTACGTACTTCCTGATGGAAGAACATAACACCACCCAATAAATTGTCTTATCAACAAAATCAGGTCTGAATTAAATCAAGGCACCAAATCCATCTAACAATTTTGAGGAAAATCAGCAGATAGAGGAACAAGGTAAATGACACTTAGGAAATGTACTCTACAAAATCCAAACTGTGGAAAACTTTACAAGACAAATGACTTGTTTTCTTCAAAACATAAATTGTAAAAAAAAAAAAAAAGAACATACAGGAGGAACGTTGATGAAAAGAGACAAGAGATATATCAAGAAATGCAACATGTGTATCTCATTAAGATCTCTATTCAGAAATCTGGAAAATATGATCAATCAGATAACTGAAAATTTAAACAGTAACTGGATATTACATGATATTAAGAAATTATTTTAAGTTTTTAGATGTGATCATGGTATTTTGGCTGTTTTTTAAAGTCTTGTCTTTCAGAGTTACACACTGAAATATTTATGAATAAAATGACACAATGCCAGAGATTTGCTTCATAATAATGAGAGGGGAGAATTAGTTGTGAGTAGAGATGAAACCAGACTAACTGGGAGCTAATAATTATTGAAGTTGTGTGATGAGCACATGGGGATTCATGCTACTATTCTGTCTTTTAAAAATGTTTGCAATGTTCCATAGTAAAAAGTTTGAAACTATATTATGACATATACAGGTGCATCAATTATCAATCATTTAAAATGTAGAACAATAAAATGCGATTTTGAACAAGAGTGTAGACCATCTAATTTTTAAAAGACTGTTAATAAAAGCACTTATTGGAAAAAAAATACCAGAAAAATGGTATTTGGACACAGATATGACTAAAAATTTTATAAAGTTTATAGCCAGTCGCAGTGGCTCATGCCTGTAATCCTGCACCTTGGGAGGCAAAGGCAGGTGGATCACTTGAGTCCAGGAGTTCAAGACCAGCCTGGGCAACATGGCAAAAACCCATTTCAAAAAAAAAAAAAAAATACAGAAGTTAGCTGGGCATGGTGGCATGCATGTGTAGTCCCAGCTACTCAGGAGGCTGAAGAAGGAGGATCACCTGAGCCTGGGAAGTTGAGGCTACAGTGAGCCGACATCATGCCACTGCATTCCAGCCTGGGTGACAGACTTAAATATAAGTCTACTCATAGAATAAACCTGATTTATCAACCAATATATAAATATATCCTAATATTTATAATTTAGTCATTTTAAGCACTACTTTTCACCCTCGAATTGTCCCCAAATGGACAATCAGTTCTTCCCACCTTCAGTGTAGTTTTCTCATGTTTTATGTTTCTTGCACCTACTAAGCAAGAATAAACAGTTAAATAACAAACTGCGTATCCTGTATCTGCACTCCACAACCTGTAACATTCATTAATTATTTCAGTTTAAATGAAGACCTATTCTTTCATTAGACCAATTATCCCTTAACAAATATCATTGAATCTGCTCTTTTGGTGTGAGTATAAAATGCCTGTGTGCGAGATGAGCTACATCTCCAAGCCAACCATTCCCCTGCAGAGCTCCCCACCAGGGATGATAAGGGATTAGGACCTTCAGGGAGCAGACGCTTCTCCTCCTGGGACCTCTCACAGGCTGATAAGCTTCACACTCCCTTGCCCTTGCAGCGATCATCTTACAGTGGGGAAAACAACTAGACCCCAACAACAGTAACACATGGGTGCCCTTTCCTGTACTCACCAATAAGTTATATTGGTTAAACACAACACAAAATAAACAAAGCAAACCAGCAAAGCACACCATCTGTCTCCACAAAGTCGCAGACATTTTCTGCCTTGTCCACTACTGTATCCTTCCATAATGACCGGAGCATGGTAAAAACTCAAGAAACACCTTCTCCTTCCATGATCGCCCTCACCCTGGCAGGAGGTGGAGTGCACAGAGAATGCCAGCCTTGCCTTTCCGTCACTTCCACTGGATAGTCCTCAAACTGCTGGTTGGGGGTAAACAGCAACCATTGCAGGTAGTATCAGTTTTTTTTCTGGTTAATTTAAGGCCCACTTTACGTATCATATTTATATGTCAGATGTTCAAAAGGAAATATAGGAAAATATATCATTGGTGACTGCTCTATGTTTCAATGGAATTCTGTTTGATAATCTCATTGTTTCTTGCACATATATTTTGAAGCCACCAATAATGAGGCTTCCTTCCCATTTTCTAGTCCAGAGGGGTGTCTGCATAAGACAGAGTGTGTGTGTATTTAACGATTTTTGTTTAGTTGATAGGACACATATTAACATTATGTTGCAAACGTAGTCACAAATAACACCGTGTAAAACAGACCATGTAAATGGGGCTATGAGGCCAGAATATTGAAAGTGTATCTCATTGTAATCCTTCAAACACCACTATTTCTACTCCTTTAGATTTCTGGCCAATACAAGGTTTAGAGCCCCTGTTCCTATCCTGTATTTACGATGCATAAATCTCATCGCCAGGTGCTCAACACTTGCAAGTACCTGAGAAAAAGACACTACCTTGCTCTGAAAGAAACTCATAATCTAACATACAAAGTTAAATTAAAAAGATCAACCTGAACATAAAGACAAAGAGATGATAAAAAAAAAATGAATGCTTTAAAGCGCAAATGTGGAAAACCATGCTGCCCTCTATATGCTGTCAGGCATCTTTGATTGATCCAAGTATCTTCATCCCAGGGAGTCTCTTTTCCTATTTCTTCAGTTGACTTACCTACTTAAAAAATGCTAATGAAAAACAGTCTCTTAAAAGGAGATCTTTAAAAGATGCCATGGGATGCATTTTATTTGGGTGTGGCAGACAGTGTCAGATGTGCTGTATGTGCTGCCACCCCACCCCATCCTGTCCCTGGCTGGCACAGTAACAGGTCGTAGCCCTGATTCCTGCAGAGCAATCCATGCAGCCACCTCCGAGTGGTCAGAGTATTTATATGAAATGAGATGCATTTACCATCCCTGATTTGAATTTAGTTAGCACCTTTTTAGTGATAAGTATGTAAATGCAATGTTAGCGTTTAATGTTAAACCCAAAACCATGGTGAGCAACTAACTAAGCTAACGGAACTTTGGTGAACAGCCTTTTCTCCAGCCTAATTCCAACTAAGATGTTCACTGAACACAGGGTTATGTGGCGGCATCTGTCTCTGCCATCTGCAACTGTTGACCAAATGCCTTGTTCGTGTACCAACATTTGAATCATCACGACTTCGAAGTGGATACACAACTGTCTCAGTGACCATATTCAGGCCTTGATTTCTTCTGTGGCGTGGATACACTGCTGGGACTTAGCCCCATCTCCCTCCACCCAAATCTCTTGCACACGGCAGTTCCACTGTTCCATCTTGAAGCCTTCCCGCCATAAATCGGAGTGTGGGGAAGGAAGGCTGGAGCCTGCTCTCTTCTGCTGCACCTGCATCCTGGGGCTTGGTTCTGCCCCTATAGGGCCTTACCTACTGCAGAAGGGAATCCCCTTACGGTATACCTGGTGATCACCAACTCTACAATCCTTTGCCGTCCTTTTCCTCAGAAATACGTGGCCTTGGTTTTAACCTTGTTGTAAACTATGTACTGCTATAAAAGTTCTATAACCACCATAAAGGGAAAATTTAATTTTAAAAAATTGAAAATTCGCATAAATTACAGGTGTAATTTTGTGAAGTCTGGGCTTTTAAGATATCTGTTACTCAAATAATATACATCGTACCCATTAAGTAACCTCTTATCATCCATGTCCCTCCCTCCCCCATCCTTTAGAGTCTCCAGTGTTTATCATTCCACACTCTATGTCCATGTGTACACACTGTTTAGCTTCCACCTATAAATGGGAGTATGTGGTATCTGTCTGTGTCTGACTTGTCTCACTTAAGATAACAGCCTCCAGTTCCATCCATGTTGCTACAAAAGACATGATTTCTTTTCGTAATGCCTGAGTAGTATTCCATTGGGTTTATACCCCACATTTTATTTATTTATTCATTTATTTATTTAGAGATAGAGTTTCAGTCTTGTCGCCCAGGCTGGAGTGCAATGGTGCAATCTTGGCTCATCGTAACCTCCGCCTCCCAAGTTCAAGCAATTCTCCTGCCTCAGCCTCTCGAGTAGCTGAGATTACAGGCATTCGCCACCATGCCTGGCTAATTTTCTATTTTTAGTAGAGATGGGTTTTCTCTTTGTTGGTCAGGCTGGTCTCAAACTCCCAACCTCAGGTGATCTGCCCGCCTCAGCCTCCCAAAGTGCTGGGATTACAGGCATGAGCCACCGCGCCCAGCCAATACTACACATTTTCTTTATCCAGTCATTGCTTGAGGGTCACTTGGGTTGTTTCCATATCTTTGCTATTGTGGACAGTGCTGTGACAAACCTAAGAGTACCAGTATCTTTCTAATATAATACTTAATTTCCCTTTGGGTAGATACCCAGTAGTGGGATTGCTGGATCAAATGGTAGGTCTATTTTTATTTCTTTGAGAAATCTCCATACTGTTTTCCATAGAGGTTGTACCAATTTACATATTCCCACCAACAGTGCATACGAGTACCCTGTTCTCCACATCCTCACCAACATCTGTTATTTGTTGTCTTTTTAATAATAGCCATTCTAACTGGTGTAAGATGGTATCTCACTGTGATTTTAATTCGGGGCAACTGTTTGAATACAAACAGCTGGGTAGCTGCCATGTTACCTCCTTATTTTCTAGTCAGTTCTAAGGTGCTGAGCCACTCTAAGGTGGCTGCATGGATTGTTCAGTAGGAATCCGGGCTTTGACACATTGTGCTGGCCAGAGGCATGACAGGGTCGGGGAGCAGCACATATGCCACGTCTGACACTGTGTGCCACACCCAAATAAAATGCATCCCTTGCCATTTTTAAAAGATCTCCTTTTAAGAGACTTTTTTTTATTAGCATTAAAAAAAATAGTTACATTAACTGAAGAAATAGGAACAGAGAAGCCCTAGGATGAAGATACTTTGATCAATCAAAGGTGCCTGACAGCGTACAGAGGGCAGCATGGTTTTTCACACTTAAGCTTTAAAGTGTTCATTTTTCCATCATTTCTTCTCTTTGTCTTTTTGCATTTGTGTTCAGTCAATCTTTGTGAAGTTTTCGGATTAGGATTATTTTGTCTTCATAAAAGAAGTTGGGAAGTATTCCCTACTCCTCTTTTTTTACTGAAGATTTTATATAAGATTGACATTGGCCAGGCGCGGTGGCTCACGCCTATAATCCCAGCACTTTGGGAGGCCGAGGCGGGCAGATCACGAGGTCAGGAGATCGAGACCATCCTGGCTAACATGGTGAAACCCCGTCTCTACTAAAAATTAAAAAAAAAAAAAAAAAAAATTGACATCAACCCTGTCTTAAATGATTCGTAGAATTCAACAGTAAAATCATTTAGGCCCCAAGTTTTCTTTGTAGAAAATTTTTATTATAAATTTGATGTCTTCAGTAGATATAAACTGATTCGGTTTTATATGTTTTTCTGGTGCCTGTTTAGGTAAGCTGTGTCTTTCAAGGAATTTACCCATTTTTGTTAACTTGCCACATTTACTGGCAGGACATTGTTCAAAACAAATTATTTGTACATACCAAGTTATTACTCTAGGATCTGTATTGATAGATTCTCTTTTTTCCCGATATTTTAAATGTCATTTATCCCATTTTTATTTCTTTCTTAACCCAGGATCAAGGAGGTTTACTCTTGTTTTCTTCTAGAAATTGCATAGTTTAATATTTTCCACTAAAGTCTATCCAGTTTGAGTTTCATACAAGTTTATTTCATTTTACTTGTTTTGCATATGCATTTACATTTGTCTTGGCACGATATGATTAATGTAACTTTACAGGAAGCCATAAAACTGGTTCTTGTGAGCTCCAATTTTGGTCTTTCATTATTGCTTTGTCTATTCAAGATCCTTTGCCTTTCCAAATAAATTTTGAAATTATCTTGTGATTTCTATTAAAAAAAGCTGACTGGGATTTTGATTGAGGTTGCATTGAATCTATCGATCACTATGGGAGAAAACTGACCTCAACAATTTTGAGTCTTTTGAACCATGCACAAAATATCTCTCTTTAAATACCTTGTATTTGATTTCTTTCCTCAGAGTTTTTTAGGTTTTGACATTCAAACTATGACCATATTTTGTTAGATTTATTTCTAAGTACTTATGTTTTTGTGCTGTTGTAAATGGTATTTTTTTTAAATTTCAGATTCTAATTGGTATATTGGTATATAGTAATGTGAGTTTTATACATTGTTATTGTTCTCTGCAATTTTGCTAAACTCTCTTATTAGTTTTAAAAGATTTTTGTGTTTTTTTTTTCGAGGTTTCCTAAATAGACATTCATGTTGGATATAAGCAGAGACAGTTTAATTTATTCCTTCCAAATTGTATGTATTTTATTTATTTTCTTATTGCACTGATTTGGATTCCAAAAACAATGTTCAATAGGAATGGTGAGGGAGGAGGCGCTTGTCTTGTTTTCAATCTTAGGGGGAAAGTATTGAGCTTCTTATTATTATAAATGACGTTGGCTGTAGGTTTGTTGTAGATGCTGTTTGTTACAAGATCTCTTTTTTTATAGATTGCTGAATGTTTTTATCATGACTCTATGCTGAGTTTTGTCAAATGATTTTTTTCTGCATCCATTAAGATGATCCTGTTTTTCCTCAGTCTGTTAATATGGCAAATTACATTGATTAATGTTTGAACATTAAACAAGCCTTGCATTCCTGGGATAAACCCCACTTGGCCTGTGTGATGGTTAATTTCATGTGGCAATTTGGCCATGTCATGTGCTGACCAGATTAAACATTATTTCTGAGTGTGTCTGTGAGAGTGTCTCTGGATATGAGATTAGCATTTGAGTTGGTGGTCTTGGTACCATAGATTGTCCTCCCCAGTGTGGACAGGCATCATGCAATAATCCATTGAGGACCAGAGTGGAGCAAACAGAGGAGGAAAGAGGAAGTCACTCCCTTCTTTTCTGCCTTATTGCTTGTGTTGGGACATCTCATCTCTCCTGCCTTCAGACTGAGACTTACACCATCCGCTCCCCTGGTTCTCAGGCTGTCTGATTTGGACTGAATTACACCACCTGTTTCCATAGGTCTCCAGCTTGTATATAGCAGATTGTAAAACTTCACAGCCTCCAGAATTGCATGAGCCAGTTTCTCATAATAACTCTCTCTATATATACATATGTATTTATGTATATGCATATCTATGGACACATATACTCATATATGTGTATGTGTATAATTTTTTTGGATTTTGGAGTATGTTCATTATACTTACCAGTTGAGCATTTCTGTATAAGTACTGTGCTGCTGGTGCTCCTCCGTTGAGAATTTCTAATCCAAAATGTGCCCACAAGCATTTCCTTTGAGCAACATGTCGGCACACAAAAAGTTTTGGATTTTGGATTTCTGGATTAGGTTGCCCAACCTGTGCGTGTGTGCTTGTGTGTGTGTGTGTGTGTGTGTGTGTGTGTGTGTATGTTCTGCTTCTCTGGAGAGCCCTGACTAATATAGTCTAGATCCTTTTTATATATCAATGACTTTGATTGGTTAATATTTTGTGTAACGGTATCTAAGTCCGTGAGGAACATGGGTATTTACATATGGTATAAGGTCAGTTGTCTTTCTTGTAACGTTTTTGGATTTGGTATTAGAGTAATGCTAGCCTAATAAAATCAGTTAGAGAATATTCCCTTCTCTCCTATTTCTCGAAAGTGACTGTGAAGAATTGGTATAATTTTTTTCCCTAAATGTTTGGCGGATTTTACCAGTGAGACCATCTGAGCCTGAAGATTTATTTGAGGTAAGAATTTTAACTAAAGATTCAATTTTTAAAAATGGATATAAGATTATTATGCTTACCTACTTCTTTTTGACAAATTTTTGATGTAAAATTTATATACTGTGCAATTTATTTTTAATGTGTAATACATTTTAGAAAATTTGCAGCTTTGCAACCATCAGCACAATCCAGTTTTAGAAAATGTCCATCACTCCAAGAAGATCCCCTGATCTGATTTGTAGGAATTCTGCCTTCTCATCGCCACCCCAGCCAGCCAATAATCTACTTTCTGTCTTTGCTGGTTTGTCTTTTCTGGACATTGTGTACATGTGGAATCATAAAATATGTGGGCTTCTTGTTAGTGAGTGGCAAAATTATTTGTCTACTCTAGATGCAAGTTCTTTAGTAGATATATGATTGGAAAATATTTTCTCCCAGTCTGTTTCTTGCTTATTCACTTTTTTGATGGTGACTTTTAATATGCACAATATACAAAATGTTGATGAATTAAACTTATCACTTTTTAATGGATTTTTTAGGCAAAAATTTCTTGATAGTTTTCTTAATCTCTCTTAATCTTTGCTTAGCTCAAGATCATGACTTTTTTCCTATGTCTTCTTCTAAAATTTTTATACATTTAGTACTTATATTTAAGTCTTTGACCTAGTCTGAGTTAATTTTTATGTATGGTATAAGGTCAGAATCTA
Source organism: Homo sapiens (assembly GCF_000001405.40). Lineage (NCBI taxonomy): Eukaryota > Metazoa > Chordata > Mammalia > Primates > Hominidae > Homo > Homo sapiens. The sequence continues at coordinate 26,328,639 of NC_000015.10, read as the reverse complement.
AGTTCAAATCTTCGAATGTGTCTATTCACTTGTTCCAATACCATTCTTTGAAGACTACCCTTTTCTCCGTTAAATTGGCACCACTGTCATAAATTAATTTTTCATCAATGAAAAGTTTTATTTCTGGACACTGAGTTCTGCACCATTAATTTATCATCTATTCATGTGCCAGCATCCCATTGTCTTGATTAGTGTAGCTTTATGGTAAACTTTGAAATCAGGGAGGAAAGCTTCTTCAACTTTGTTTCTTTTCCAAGATTGTTTGACAATTCTGGGACCTTTGCTTTTTTACATTAATTTTTGAATCATTGTACCATTTTATGCATAAACACAATGTCTACTTAACTTTTAATTGGGTTACATTTAATCTTTAGATAAATTTAGGGAGACTCATTAACTTAGTAACATCCAGTCTCACAATCCATGAACATGGAACATTTCTTAATTTATTCAGATTGCATTTAATTTCTTTCAGCAAAACTGTACTTTTGTTAAATTTATTCCTAAGCATTTTGTCATTTTGAGGCTTTTGTAATTAGAATTTTATTGTTGATTTTATTTCCATATTGTTTATTTTTATGTATAGAAATGCAATTAATCTTTGTATCTGCATCCTGCAACCTTGTTGAATTTATTAGTTTGTGTGTGTGTGTAATTTTTAGGATTATTGGATAATGTCATTTTTTAATAAAGACAGTTGTATTTCTTTTTTTTTTTTTGCATTTGGGGTGGCATTTTAAATATATTTTTGCTAGGTTGCACTGGATAGAATGTTCACTGCAATTTGAACAGAAGTAGCATGAGTAAACACCTCTACCGTGTTCTGATATTACTGGAAAAACCTTCAGGCTTTTTTCATTAAGTATAATGTTAGCTACAGGTTCTTCCTAGATGTCCATTATCAGATTAAGGAGGTTTTCTTCTATCCTAATTTATTGAGAGCCTTTATCATTAATGGGTATTGGATTTCGTCAAATGCTTTTACTGCATCTATTGAGATGATTTTGTGGATTTTGTCTTTTATTATATTAATATTTTGTATGATGTTAATTATTTTTGCATGTTAAACCAATCTTGCATTCCTGGGATAAATACCACTTTGTCATATTTATAATCCTTTTTATTTGTTGCTGGAATTGGTTTGCTAATATTTTGTTGATTTTTGCGTCTAGGTTCATGAAGGTATCAGTCTGCAGTTTTCTTTGTCTGGCTTTAGTATCAACATAATGCTGCCCTAATAAAATAAGCTGGGAAGTGCTCATCCTTTATTTTTCTGGATGATTTTGGGAAAGTTTGGTATTATTTTTTCTTTATGTGTTCGCTGCAGTTTACTAATTAGACCATCAGGACCTGCCCTATTCTTTGTGGGAAGACTGTTTAATTATTTATTGAATTTCTTCACTTGTCATAGATCTATTCAGATATTCTACTTCTTCCTGGTCAGTCTTGTGTCTTTCTAGGACACAAGTTGTCCTGTCTAAGTTGTCTAATATAGTGGCATAAATTTGTTCATAGTGTTCCCTTACAATATTTTAAAATTCTGCAGGGTCAGTAGTGATGACCTCTAATTCATATTTAATTTTGGTAATTTGAGTCTTTATTCCTAATTTTTTTTTTGTCAGAATAGCTAAAGATTTCTTAATGTTGTTTATCTTCTCAATATATCAGCTTTTGGATTTATTGACTTCATTAATTTTCTGGGTTTCTTTTTCATTTCTCCTTTAATATTTAGTATTTTTCCTTTTTTAATTTTTATTTTGAGATATAGTATCGCTCTGTCACCCAGGCTGGAGTTCAGTGGTGCAATCTTGGCTCACTGCAGCCTCTTCCTCCTAGGTTCAAGCGATTCTCCTGCCTCAGCCTCCTGAGTAGCTGGGATTACTGGCATCCACCACCACATCTGTTCTTTTGTTTGTTTGGTTGGTTGGTTGGTTGGTTTTTTGTGTTTTTTTTTGTACTTTTAGTAGAGATGGGATTTCGTCATGTTGGCCAGGCTGGTCTTGAATTTCTGGCCTCAAGTGATCCATACACCTTGGCCTCCCAAAGTGAGTATTTCCTTTCTTTCACTTGATATGGACTTAGTTTGCTTTTCTCCTCAATTCTTTTTTTTTTTTTTTTGAGACAGAGTCCCACTCTGTCATCCAGGCTGGAGTGCAGTGGTGTGCTTTTGGCTCACTGCAAGCTCCGCCTCCCAGGTTCATGCCATTCTCCTACCTCAGCCTCCTGAGTAGCTGGGACTACAGGCACCCGCCACCACGTCCAGCTAATTTTTTTTTTTTTTGTATTTTTAGTAGAGATGGGGTTTCACCGTGTTAGCCAGGATGGTCTTGATCTCCTGACCTCGTGATCTGCCTGCCTTGGCCTCCCAAAGTGCTGGGATTACAGGCGTGAGCCACTGTGCCCAGCTTTCTCCTCAATTCTTAAGGTGAAAGTTTAGATTATCAAGTTGAGAGAATTCATCATTTCTAATATAGTCTTTTCAACTATAAATTTTTTTCTAAGCTCTTTCTTCACTGCATCCAATAAATTGTGATAAGTTGTATTTTTCTTTCTATTCAGCTCAAAATAGTTTCTAAGTCCCCTTGTGATTTTCTCTTTGAACTATGCGTGATTTAGAGTATGTTATTTAATCTCCAAATATTTGTAGATTTCTTAATTATTTCTGTTGCTGATTGCTAATTTAATTGCATTATGACTGAAGATAAAATAATTCAAAATATTTTACTCCAAAATATAATTCCTTGACATATTTTGAAATGACTGCCTCAGGATTAGCAGACTCAAGTGGGAGAAATTTGCAACTGTAGAGAATCTCCATTAATGCAGCCTGCCTCCCCTTTCTATGCCTTTCTAATCCAGGAGAGGATGGAATTTGATATCCTTAAAAGTCTGAAAGGAAACAGTTACTATCTATTCTCTCTGAGGGAGGCTTCATCTACATAACAAGGACACCCCTTGCTAGCCACACCTCTTCCTTTCTCTCTCCTGTCATCTGTCTTGCCACTAAACTTGAGTTACCAGCATAACCTGATTTTGGACACATTGAGTCTGTGTTTTTTCTGTGGCCTCAGGATGGTATATAAGCTTCTGTATCTTATTGTTGGGTTGGATCTTCATTCTGAAGGCTCCCATGTATACACATTAAATAAATTTGTATGCTTTGTCAATGAAAAGAGTCAAACTCTTCAAAATATTTGAAGAGATTTATTCTGAGCCAAATATGAATGACCAATGGCATGTGACACAGCCCCAGGATATCCTGAGAACATGTGCCCAAGGTGGTCAGGATGGAACACTGATTCAGTCCAGAAAGATGGGACAACTGAAAGCAGGGGCTTCCAGGTCATGGATGGATTTGAAGATTTTCTGATTGGCAATTGGTTGAAAGAGTTATTTCAATCCCTTATCTTAACCCAGACTCTCTTCTATTAATTTCAGGTCTTAAGTGGGAGACCTGAAATTAATAGAAGAGAGCATCTGGGTTAAGATAAGGGATTGTGGAAACTAAGTTTCTTATTGTACAGATGAAGCCTCCAGGTAGCAGGCTTCAGAGAGAATCAATTTTAACTATTTCTTATCACACAAAGAGTGTGTTCTATCAGTTTTAAGGTCTCTGTTTTGATGTTAATGCTGGTCAGCTGTGCCTGAATTCCAAAGGGAGCAGGGTATGATGAGGCATGTCTGACCCCTTGCTCCCATTATGGCCTGAACTCATTTTTCAGGTTAACTTTGGAATGCCCTTGGCCAAGAAGAAGGTCCATCAGTCAGTCATGGGAGCTTAGAATTTTATTTTTGTTTTACAGCTTTTTTCCTATTAATCAATCTGCCTCATGTCAGTGACTTTTCACAGCCTATAGCCCCCACAAAGAATACGTACTGTATCTTTTAAAATTGACCGAGGGAGGTCTGTTTTATGGCAGGCACACGGCCTGTCCTCATGTGTGCTAGAGAAGAATGTCTATTCTGTTGATGTGTGGAGTGTTATTGTTGTCACATATGTCAGGTTGTTTGATAATGTTAATCAAATCTATATCCTTGCTTATGTCCAGTTGTTGTATCCATTAAGAAAAGCAGCTAGTGAACTTCTCCAGCTATAACTGAACTCCCTCTTTCCCCCCGATTCCATCAGTTTTTGCCTCATGTGTTTTGTGGCTTCACTTTCTTCAATCCTTTTCTCATGTTTCCTTCTGGGATTCCAATATAGGTTATGTTTGACCATTTGATGTTTTGCTTCAATTCTTAGATACCTTGTTCTGTTTTTGCTTTTTGTTATTTGTTAACAAAAATCTAATGTTTGTTATTTTGCTCTTTGTTATTTTCTTCTCTTTGCATTTCAGTGTGACCTATTTTCAAGTTCATTGAGATTTTCCTCAATTGTGTTAAATCTGATAATGAGTCCATTGGAGGCACTCTTCATTTTGTTACTGTTTTAGTTGTTATCCCTAGCATTTTTGTGTTTATTATAGTTTCAGTCTCTCTGCTAAAATTACCTGTCTGATTTTGCATGTTCCATTACAATTTGGATTACATTTGGACTTCCATTACAATTTCCATTCCATTACAACATTCATTAGCATATTAATCATAGTGATTTTTGAAATCCCTGCCTAATAGTTCCAATACATGTGTCATATCTAAGTCTGGTTATTCTCATTGTTTTGTCTCTTCAGACCGTGTTTGTTCTTTCCTTTTTGTACACTGTGTAATTTTTTTTTGTTGGAAGCCTGACGTTTTATAGGATGGTAATACTGGGCATGTACATGTTATGCTCAGAAATGAGCATAATTTTCCTTCTGCTAGATCTTTGGTGTGGACTTTTGTGTCAGTCTCTTTAGGAATTAGGATGGATTTGAAGTTTGTTGTTGCCATGGTTACCATCAATACACCCAGAACGCTTCAAATTCCTGCAGTGTTACCTTCTGCTTGTCTCCCCACTTGGCGTTGGGCTGTTTCTTTACACTTCTCCACAGATAGAGTCTGTCTCTTGCAGATCCCCCAGATGTTTTTTACCGACATTTTTTCCTCACTGCTTGTTAGCCTGGTGGTGAGTGGCAGAAGGGAGCTTCCTCTGCTGTCCTGGTTAATCCTTAGTCCCAGGCAGGCACTGGGAACCTGACCTTGAAAGGGTGGTCTTCGTAAGTGTTCCTGCCCTTCCTCCATATGTAACCCTGTCTTAGCACATATTCTTGCCCCTTCTGTGGGGGTACGACTTCTCTTTTCTCCTCTGTCCTCTCCTGCAGTCTCAGGGTGTGTCCGTCTGTGCCCATAGGCTATATTTTGATGCCCTTCCCATGCAGATTAAGATTTTTGTTCCTTAGGGAAGACAAGTCTTGGCAGAGTCTATAATCCCACCTGTGATGAGATTCCCCTGGGTCCCTTGGCTGGCTACAATTTCTCCCTCCTACCACCCACTCACCAGCCAGTACCACCTCTGAGCTTTCTCAAGATTCCCCTGATGCCAGCTGTGGGCACTTGGTGGATTCCTGGAGGAAAGGCCTCCAAGAGGTAACAACACCTTTCACCCGGGTCTGCAGCCCATAGAAGCTTCACATGTTCTCATGAGCCCTCACTTGGCCTTTAGTGATTTGTTAAAGATGCTTACTTCAATCTTTTTACCAGATTCTGTGGTGTTCAGTGGTATCTATACCGGGTAAGCAAGTATTCAGGTTCTATTTCTCTGAGGGTACCTGTCTCTCTTTAGATTTTGTGCCCATTGTATACTCTGTGACCAAATCTTTCTAATGAATTTTCAAAAGTCATTTATTTGAAGTTTGTACAGCTTTTTAAATTTTTTTAATTTAATATTTTAATATTTTTTTTTTGAGATGAAGTCTTGCTTTGTCACCCAGGCTGGAGTGCAGTGGTGCAATCTCAGCTCACTGCAACCTCCGCCTCCAGGATTCAAGCAATTCTCCTGCCTCAGCCTCCCAGGTAGCTGGAATTACAGGTGCCCGCCAACACGCCTGGCAAATTTATTTCTGTATTTATTTATTTATTATTTTGTTTTAGTAGAGACAGGGTTTCACCACATTGGCCAGGTTGGTCTCGAACTCCTGACCTCAAGCGATCTGCCCACCTTGGCCTCCCAAAGTGCTGGATTGCAGGTGTGAGCTACTGCACCTGGCCTTGTACAGCTTTTTTATTATATGGTGGGAATTATATTCTTTCCAGTGCTCTACATCTCCAAATTGTAAACAGAAGTCTCTATTTCCTCTTAAACCTCGGGCCTCCAATTGAAGTAGTACTGGACATGACATGTTAACTGCAACAATTCTTTATATTGTCTGCTCTTAGTAGACAAAGTATTTATTTGGTAAAGGGCATCTTCATTTCCCCCATTGATCTCATGCCAAATATTAAATTAAGAAAAGATATCCACTTAATTACTAAAAAATATAGTCTATTTAGTGTAATCAGAAATATTGCTGGTCACCAATCAAAGTTGCATTTAGTTACATTTTCCAAATATATTTTACCATTACTTACAAACTCTAAATGCATCATCCTCGTGTGATTTAATAAATGCTAACCTTCAGGTACTCTTGTTTCCCCTAGTCCTGTAGTATACGTTGAGTTAACAGAAAAGCATGTTACTGTGACTGTTTAAGAATTATGTTTTTAATTAGGAGGAAGCAAACTGCAAAGGACTATTAAGTCCAGCCGCCTGTAGGTTTATCAAATTTAATCAAAACTTTCAAACTGTACTGGGTCTTATTACACAATTAGACTGAAATTCTCCTGAGCAAATGTATTTCTTGCAAGGTTGCAAATACCATTTGTGTTTCCTTTACTCTGCAGACCAATCCAGAAATAGCAGACAATCCAATACTTCTTTATTTTGTAAAGTTTTATAAGGCCATTCTCCAGACCTGGTCTTCTTGGCTCACCCTGGTTATGGGCAGTCTTTGACAGATGTGTACACACACACAAACATAACCACACACAGGGTTAGATGCACATGGCCTACTTATGGCCAGTTAAGTCAACTAGGAGCAAGGGATCCCAAAGCCCTATGGTAAATCTCCAGACTAGTGAGATTGGTTCTGATGTTAGTTCTAACCTTCCTTCCTTTGAGGCCTAAATCTTGGCTTTTTTTTTTTTTTTTTTTTTTTTTTTGCCCCAAGGGATCCCAACTTGGGTCCCTTGCTCCAAGTCAGGCAGAGCTCATTGTGTGCCATTCCCAACTACCATAGCACTAGGGCAGGTCTCTGTATCATAAACATACTATGTGACATGTGGATGTTTCATTAGGTAAAAGGAGAGATCATTGTGTCCTGGAAAATCTACTGCTTTAATGGCATGTGTCTCTGGGTTGCACCTGAACTTGGATTTATGTTTTTCAGGTATAAGCAGTACTCATAACTGCCCCCCCCATATGAAAGGAAACTCCCTCAGTGCAGGGGCTACCCTCTGACTCTGGATGTCTTGCTGGTATGTTTCCAGATTTCCCTGCATGACTGCTGCCTCATCCCCCAGTTAATCGAACTCTGAGCTGCTGGCACACACTGAAGACTTCGCCCACGAGAGGGGATGGTCTGTGTCACTGAAGCGGAGTCTTTATTTCAACTTGAACTTGACCATCATTTCTGTGTTGTGGCTGACCTTTGCACGGCAGCCTAGTGCCATTTTTAATCTTTATCTTCAGTGGGAATAATGATAATTATTTTTAATGTTGAAATACATTTCTTTATTGTAGGACTTCCAGGAAGATTTAACATGTTAATGTATATTGTGAGCTTCTAAGAGAAGTGAAGGTAGGCAGTGTTTTCCCAATGTCTTTAACCACAGAATCAATTTTTGTAGAGAAACCTATTCTGGCAAACTCCATACTGGAGTGTTTCCTTAATTTCAATAAGGGATTAATCTTACCTTATTTTCAGCAATAACTATTAGCCTGCCTGCATCCCTCAGTGGAATTTCCACTCAGCAGCCTGAGTACTTTATTTACTTAGTAAATAGTCTGGTCATAGATAATTATATGCACATCTTTCCAATCTTTCTTCCACCCCTTCCTAGTGGTGTGACCTTTAGCAAATTACTCAGCTTCTCTGTGGCTTTATTCTCTCTATAAAAAGGCGCTACAAGTGGCTGGGCACAGTGGCTCATGCCTGTAATCCCAGCACTTTGGGAGGCCAAGGCAGGTGGATCACTTGAGGTCAGGAGTTCGAGACCAACCTGAACAACATGGTGAAATCCTGTCTGTACTAAAAATACAAAAAATTAGCCGGGTGTGGTCGCACTTGCCTGTAGTCTCAGCTACTTGGGAGGCTGAGGCAGGAGAATTGCTTGAACCTGGGAGGCGGAGGTTGCAGTGAGTTGAGATGACGCCATTGCACTCCAGCCTGGGCAGCAAGAGCAAAACTCTGTCTCAAAAAACAAAAAACAAACAAACAAAAAAACAAAAACAAAAAAGAAAAAAAGAAAAAATGAGGGGGGCTAAGAGTTTCTGCACATAGGATTATTGTGAGAGTTACAAGCAAAACACTTAGAGTAGGGCTGGGCACATTGCAAGCTCACAATAAATAACAGCTGTAGTGGCTGCTGCTACTCTGAAGACCTCTATTACCATTGCTGTTACTCAGTTCAAAGCCCCTCAACAATTTCCTCTTGTGCTTAAACCCAAACTCCAGGCTAAGGATGTGAGGCATGGCTGGATCTGTCTTGCCTCTTCTCTGATCTCAAGTCTCCTCTCATTCTGGCCACGGATCCTTCCTCTGTGACCACTTCACTAGTCAGTGAACAGTTGTCCATTGGCTCCAGACCTACCCTTGAATGCTCCCCTCTCCAATGTGGACCTGGGATGGCCATGAATCTTCGTGTGCAGTAGTGGACCAACCTCTTGCTTGTTGTTTGGTGCTTCCAGCACCAACCTCATGGCACCTGGTCAGAGACCCCAGCACCAGAATCACTGGCAGCGCCATCCTTGGAGGTCTGGCCTCAGCTCTGCAGGCTCTGGGTTTGGGTCACCTCACCCATTCCTGTCTTTCTCCCTCCCTCTTGCCTCTCTGCATCCCCTCAGCATACCTGGCTCACTTTTTCCACTCTGCAAAACTCATGGAAACTATTCCTGAGCTTGTATTCCCTCTGGTTTGTTTTCCAGGTGGGCCTTGCTGCAGCTGTCCTCTTGACTTGGAGTGTTTTCCTGTCTCTTCCCTCCACTCTACTTACCTAGCTGATGCTATGTCTTGGCCTGAATCTCCTCCCTGTCCTCCCCATCGGAAAGGCTCTCACTTCTTGCAATTTAGTGCATCGTTCAGTTCCACTCCCAGCATTTCTCCCAGTCTGTAATTGCTATTCATGTTTAGCCTAAGCCTTCTGAGGTCAGCAGTTGTGTTTCGTCTTCATATTGGTGTTCCCATGACTTGCACTGCACCTGGGCCACAGTGAGCCCTCCCTAGGTGTGCCTCCATGGAGGGAGCACATTCCTGCCCTCTGCAGCCCTTTGAGCAATGGAACTTTCTTCTAGGAACTTGCACAGCTTATGCCTGTTTCTCTTTCTGGTAAGCAAAGAACAGAGTATATTGCCTTTGTTGTGAATACACGACTTCCCCTGGTAATAGAAGCACAAATTTTTTTTGCTCACCACATATTAAGAACGGACCTTGCAAAATTACACAGCATCATTAAAATGGTCCTTTTAGGGAATCCAGGGAGGTATTTTTTTTTCCTTCTGCTCTTTTTAAAGTGGGATTAATGTCAGTAAAGCACTTAACCTCCTACATTATATCAATCAATTTTGACAAGCATAGACCCCAGGGTCCAGAAGAATCTGCATTGCACTGAATCTTGTTTCCTATCTTGGTTCAACTGTGCCCTCAGTGTCTCTCTAAGCAGCATGAAGTCAGAGTGGGATATTTTAATCAATTACCTCCCATGCAAATGCATGCATCAGTGCTTTTCAACATTTATTGTTTTAAAATCCAGAATGTTTCCCTTTGTAATATTTACCTTCATTATGAAGGCCTCACAGACCACAATTCTGATTTTTGTCTCGTAATATTATTTATCTTCTGTTAGGCTATTTTATGCTGCCTACCTCTGAGAGACAACTATATGTGAAATATTATGTAATCAATGAAATGTGTAGAATAGGCCACCCTAAGAGCACATTTTAATAAGAATGTAATTTCACAACCAGAGGAGATGCCGTGACCAGCCCGCAGCACCTGTGTTGCCCTTGCATTTGTATGATAAGATGAAGGAAGACAGCCTGTGCTGTCCATAAGAGGCTGGATACCTACCTCTTACTTTATTGATGATTTTTTTCTCCTCAAATCTTTCCACTTCTGCTTTTTTGATCTAGACACTTTCATCCTAAGATATCTTAACAAATCTCATGTGTACAATGCTTCGAATGTCCCCCAAATGTGAGTTACTGCCAAACATAGACCTGTAATCCTATAATGTGTGTCTTCCTCTCAGGCTATTCCCTTACCTAGCACTACTAGTGCCTCTTGACAGTTTTCCCACCCAAAGCCTCCCCCGAGATACCTGTCCTCATGGTGCTTGGCCATCTCCCCACAGGGACTTCACAGCTCTGCTCCAACCCCACACTGCTACATGGGCCTTCTCACATGTCACTCATTCCACTCTTCTCTGTGTGTGAAGGGTCATCAAACATTTCCAAGGCACATAACTAGGGTTGCTCTTCCGTAGCCCCTTAGAGGTTGGGAGGGCCAATGCAAGACTCGATTTCTCCTTGGGACCCTCTAGGACTCTGCCTGTGTGTAGTGATGAGTTGCATTATATAGAGACGGTGGCTGCCCTGTCTACCAGATGGCTTGAGTGACCAAAAATCTGAACTCCCTGCCAACAAGTGATGGATGGGTAGCATTCCCCAGAAACAAATACTGGTTGTTTTGAGCAACTATATTTACAGATCGTTTATTACTTCAACACACAAAAGTTTATCCTGGATGATTCTCAGTTACTTAAATAATCATTACTGCTTTTAAAATATACCTAATTTAAGAGCAATAACAGCATCCTTTACATTTTTAAACCACACACATAGTCTTTTTATCTAGTAGTTGCTCAAAAACATTGTTCTCTGAATTGAGACGTATTCAATAAAACCACAAATAAAAGTAAATAAAGGTGTATGTGTTTATAGGGAGGTGGAAAGTTTTCCTTTGTAAAATCTCCTTGTAAAATATAGAACATGGTAGGGATACACTACTGTTTTTTGGGCAATGTTCAAGATGGAATTAAATAGATATACTATTGGGTACATTTTCAAAAATGAAAAATAAATTGTGCTGATTTTCCATAAAAAAAGCTTTTGTTTTCCTGACACAGCTATTTCTCAGAACAATATAAAAATGTTTGCCTTACCACACTGTTAAATGATTGTTTGGCCTTTAAAAAAGGACACATCATTTACTAAAACCTCTTATAAGTGCAGCATTAAATTAGCAGAGTCAAGTTTTGAAAATGATGGTATCTATGAAGTGTTTTTACCCAAGGACATAAAGAGTTTCTGTTCAGGATGAGTGAATGTTACTGGTATATTACCTTCTGCTGTGGTTTAAATGTGTCCCCCCAAAAGCTCACATGTTGAAAATATACTTCACAATGCAAAAGTGTTGGCAGGTGGGGCCTAATAAGAGGTGACCGGGTCATGAGGGCAGAACACTCATAAATGGACTAATGTCAATTATCTCGGAAGTGGAATAGTTATCTCAACAGTGGATTGTTATAAACCAAGTCCAGTCCCAGGTGTCTGTCTCCCAAGGGCTCTCTTCCACTTTCCACCCTTCCATCATATTATGAAGCAGCAAGAGGGCCCTCACCAGATGCTGGTGCCATGCTCTTGGACTTCCCAGTTTCCAGAACTGTGAGCCAAATAAATTTATTTTGTCTATAAGTTACCCAGTCTATGGTATTCTGTTATAGCAGCAGAAATTGGATGAAAACACCTCCCATCTGGGAGGGATGTGAAAGTTCAACCTTATCCTCTTGAATCAGGAGTGACACAAATCCTAGGTAGGGTAAGGTGTGGCTCATACCCAGGCTGGGAGGGCAACAGAGAAGGGATTTCTTGCACATGAGCATCCCTTGAATAAGAGGTCCAAAGAGAACTTCTGTTAGGGTAAGATGTCTATTTTTTGCATACACACTCTATTCTGTGGAAACCCAATGTCATGGGGGTGCATCATTATACTGAGGCATAGAGTGAGAATCAGGAATTAAACAGGAGGCCGAGTGTTTAAAACTGGGCAGAAAGCAAGCTTCCCTGATTTGTTTGCTCTTGTATTTTCTCTTGTCTCCTGATAGCCTGGAAGTACATGTCCTAGGCAGTACCTGTCCTAGGCAGCTTAGAAAAGAAAAAAAGAATAATTTATTATACAACTCTTTAAGAACATGAAAACTAAGATTCTTATTTAAAATATCACAGTGTACTTTCACAAAAGCAAAACAGTTTGAAAGAGAGAGACACAGCTCTAACAAATTAAGCAAAGAATCGTAAAAGCTGAGCTCTTCTGACATCACAAAACCTCAGATTTTCTTCTGATTTAGGAAGTGTAAGTGACCATTTTCCAGAAATAGCATTTCTTTTTGAGATAAACAGAAGCAGTATCCCAGGAGTAATGCAAGCATTAATGCTAATTTAATTTTGAGATCTTCTTTCACAGTTGTTGTTATCACCTTTGGAAATCAATGACTGTGTTTTACTCAGCTATTCAGACTTCTCTCGTGGTTTACTGATCTCCAGTTGCACTGCAGATGGCTGATAGGGAGGGATTTCAATGCCTGCTCAGATGATGTCTCTATCAGCTCTTCTGACAAATTCCGGGACAACAAGAGACTAAATTTGTTGATATTTTTCCTCAGCCACTGCAATTTTGTTTTCAGATTGAATGACTATATTTTTGTTTTTTTCAAAAACTCTTCCAGGGGGAAGAAGACATTACAAACAAAATATAAGCAGAAAATACTATGGATTTTATTGACATTACATTTCAAAATAGCTTTATAATATTTAATCACCTTGGTTTACAATTCCTTATTTTACACCTCGAGCAATAGAGGCAAGATGTCCTCTTAACTGTTAAAATTATGACCACTATCATGTTAAGAAACAAAAATCTAGATTATGAGATATTTGCCTGATTTAGTCATTATAAGTTGCCAATTGATACAATACTTTGCTTTAAAAAGTATGTGCCTTTGTGGATTTATGTGGGTTTATGCACTTTATAGTAGTTCATCTTTATCTGACATTTTGCTTTCTGAGATTTCAGTTAGCTGAAGTCAATTGCAGTTCAAAAATAAGCGGTACACCACATAAAGGTATGTTAAGAGGGAGAGAGAGAGACCACATTCGTATAACTTATGTTATAGTACATTGTTATATTATGTTGTTGTTAATTATTGTTGGTAGTCTCTTACTGTGCTTAATTTTAAATCAAACTTTATCATAACTATGTATGTATGTGAAAATGGTGTTTATATAAGGATTGGTACCATCTGTGGTTTCAGCCATCTACTGGGAGTCTTGGAACATACCCCCCATGGATATGGGGGAACTACTGAAGTCAAACAGGTTTGTTTATGATATAGCCTGAAAAATGGCCATGAAAATGCTTAGACCGTAGATAGTGTGAAACAATTCAGGGTGAGAAGAAGATTGAGATGCATATATATTCTTATCTTCCTAACTAAAGGAAAGCTCTTGGACACCATTATGTTGTTATTGTTAAAATAAAAACTTCAGTCAAATTAAATTTAAAGGAGTTTAATTGAGCAATGAAAAAATGAGCAATGAATCGGGCAGCCCCCAGGATTACAGCAGATACGGAGAGATTCCAGGGGTGCCTCATGCTCAGAACAAATTTATAGACAAAAAAGGGGAAGTGACGTACAGAAATCAGCAGTGTGTTACAGAAACAGCTGGATTGGTTACAGGTCAGCATTTGCCTTCTTTGAACACAGTTTGAACACTTAGCAGACCGTGAGTGGTTGAAGTATGGCTTCTAGGATTGGCCAAGACTCAGCAATTGTTACAGGTGGATACTCCTAAGTTAGGTTTTCAGTCTTGTCTACCTACTAAGTTAGGTTGCAGTTCCTCCACAAGGACTCAAATATAGATGTATGGAGTCCTTCTTAGGCCATATTTAGTTTGCTTTAACATTATTCACCAGATGTTCGATTTTCTATGTTCCAAGTTACTTACTTTTATTCTCCCACCACACATTTGCTCTATTTAATGGGGCTGCATCTTCATTTTTCAGTGGAGGGCTCAAGAAAGAAGGGGAGTACTCAGGGCAGGGCTTTGGTTGCAAACTTTGTCTGTCTTTGGCGAGGTCTCCATTGCACCCTCTCAGACTTTTGCTGAGGTCACAGTCAGTGCTTCTGCATCTCATCACCAGAGTTACTATTTTTTTCCCCAACAAATGAGTACATACATGTTTCCCTATATGTCACAATGAACTTTTTGAAGACAGTAGCCATGGTGTCGTCATCCTTTCATCCGTCGTTTCTAGTATTGCATGTAGAGCTGACTAAGTGCTTGTATGTGTGTGCTAAGTGGCAAGAAAAGCTTTAAAAACTGAAAAAAAAAAATCAGGTCTTATGACAATGATAGTGATAATATCAGTGGTTACAAACTTCTAAAATACATAACAAATTAAATATCTGTGGAATATGGGATTAGAATCGGACTGCCAATTTTTTACTTTGACAAGTAAAGGTGTTAAACCATTCCATGTACTGCCAGTATAATATTGACAAACACACACACGAAATAGTTTCAGAATTTTAGAAAGTCTATATTTTCCTTGTTGTTTCCTGTTTACTATTGGTTCTTGAACACTATGACTGTGAAAACTTCTGTATTCATGTCCTGTTATTGCCATAAGAAATTACCACAAACCTAGTGACTTATAACAACAAAAGTTTATTTCTCTCTCTTTTGTTTTTTCCTTCTGAGTTAAAGGACTTACATCTCCAGGGCACAGTGGTGGATAAAAAGCACAGAATCTTAACTACTAGACTACCAGCTGGAGTGGGCTTAAAAGAGCACAAATTTGTTATCTATGTATTATTTATTACAGTTCCATATGTCAGAAGTTGACCATGGTCTCACTGGGCTGAAATCAAGGTCTCGGTTAACGTCAAGGCAAGGACTCCACTTATTTGCCTTTTCCAGATCCCTGAGGTCCTCATTCCTTGGCTGGGGCCTCTTGCTTTTCTCTACAAAGCCATCAGTGTCTCCTCTTTCTGACCCTTCTTCCATTGTCACATCTCTCTGACCAGCCAGAAAAAAGTCCTTTGCTTTTTGGAACTCATTCGGTTAGACTGGGACTCCCAGGGTAATCTCCTCATCTCAAAATTCTTAATCATGTCTGTAATGTCCCTTTTGCCAGGTAAGGTAGCATAGTCTCAGGTTCCAGGCTTGGGGTTTGGGCCTCTGTGGCAGGGAGTATTATTCTGCTGACCACAGTCCCTACACAGAGGCCTTCTGTTTGAAATGTCTGGATTAGGCTGGGTGTGGTGGCTCACGCTTGTAATCCCAGCACTTTAGGAGGCCGAGGTGGGTGGATCACGAGGTCAGGAGATCGAAACCATCCTGGCTAACACGGTGAAACCCCATCTCTACTAAAAATACAAAAAAGTAGCCGGGCGTGGTGGCGGGCGCCTGTAGTCCCAGCTACTCGGGAGGCTAAGGCAGGAGAATGGCATGAACCCAGGAGGCAGAGCTTGCAGTGAGCCGAGATTGTGCCACTGCACTCCAGCCTGGGCAACAGAGTGAGACTGTTTCAAAAAAAAGAAATGCCTGGATTAAACTTCCCCGAGAAAAGAAGGGAACGATGGGTGTGGTCTGAAGAACAGGGGCAGGAAAAGCTGAAGAAACAGAAAATCCTAATGGCTGATTTACTCTGAAAATGTCGTCTACTGATCTGACTCATGGGAAAATTGGGTTAATTTATGGAGTTGATTCATTACACAAGTCTAGAATGTGCACCAAGCTCCCTTGAGATCAGTTTTTTACCACCAGGTCTACAATGACACTGTATTTGTGACAATGTAAGTAAGGTTTAAACAAGTATCTCTCCTTGTGGGTGGGTGTGTGGAGAGTCTCATCCAGGACAAACAGGCATGAAGGGGGCATGTTCACAGCTTTGCAAGACTTGCCATCCCTTAAGCAGCTATGCCCACCCTAAGCATATGAGCATTAACAGCCTTCATGCTGGAGGGTCCCCAAGTCTTCAATTCAAGCTTTGTACTGGTTCTTCCTTGATTTAAAACTCTTATTTCCCTTTTTGGTACATTTTCTTTCCTTTCATTGTGATTATCCAATGGACAGAGAAAATTTACTTAATTTCCTTAATTCTAAAATAATGCTTTCAAGATTTTAATAACTTTGAAAGAGTAGGTGTCATGTAAAAAATGTGTCACTGATATGTACATTCCACTGAAACATAATTAAGTTCTTTTTGAGACACATGGTTCTATGTGAACCATCACATTGCATAATTTTGTTTTTCCTCTTAAATTGTATTATTCCATTTATAATAAAAAGGTACTGAATGTACTGTGTAAGACTTTGAGTGTTTTTTTAATTGCAGCTTTGCAAAGATTTAGTTGCATATTCATAACCGCTGGTAGCGTGATGCCAAGTGCTGAAACAATTATTCAGTAAATTCTTTGCCTGACACTTCAGGGGAAAGAATGAAAGTGCTGAAACCGAGTTCTATTTTAAGATACTTGGCTGATGATGGCTACAACTACATGGGGGAGCAATGTGCCTCTAGAGAAAGGTAAGAGGAGGACAAACAAACTGTATGTGATTGGTTATGAACAAACAAATAAAAAATAATGTAGAGCATGGAACACACTGTATTCAGTAAACAATAACTGGATAATTGGAATCACTCTACTTCTAGAATAAACGCATTAATTTATTTTTACAACATTAGTATTTATACCTACTTCTTGATAGTTAATAACGTAACTCCCAAAAGTTTATGTTAAGTAATAAGAGAAAAACCAAGGTCTATCATTCTTTACTCTTTATAAAACATGTTGAACTGTTATGCCATTTGATCAGAAATGATAAGCAGAATAAGAATTACACCCTTTTTGCAAAAGAAGAAACCGAGGCAAATGGATTTAAATGGCTTATTCAAGTTCTTATAGATGGTAGTGCTAAACAGATATTTAGTCTTCTCATTTCCTTGTCTGCAGTCTTTCTAGTATGCTATGCTACAGTTCACAGAAATATACTCTTCATCAACCAATAAGTCCTGTTGCAACATGACTTAAATTAATCACAGTGAAATCTGTAACAAATAAAAATTCAGTAACCAGTTGTCTAACCAGTGTCTCTTTTACATATCTGTTGGAACAATATCTAAGTGAAGAGTAGAAATCACTATATTTGGAAAATATTTGTTTAAGGTGAAGTTATCCTTTGAATTAGGGCCAATATCTTCTAGCAAGCTGAGAAAAAGACCTCAGCAGATTGCTTTTCTGCAAAATCTCATGGTTCCTGTCTCCAGAAGGGGAATGTACAAAGGGAAAATCAGCTCATAATGGCTTAAAAATAATTTTTGAGGTACAAATAACATACAAGAAATTGCACATATTTAAAGCATACTATTTGGGAAATTCTGACATATACAAATATACCTGGAGAACTGTCATATAAATCAAGGTAGTGAATGTATTCCTCAGAACTAAAAGTTTTTCATGCTCTTTCTGTAATTTTTCCCTCCCATGACTCCCCACCTGCTGCCTCACTCCAAATCCTCAGTCCGCAGGCAAACACTGCTTCCTGTTATATAGGTGAGTTTGCATTTTCTACAGTCTTATGTATATGGAATAATGCAGTATATAATCTTTCTTCTTTCACTCAGAATGTTACCAAAACACTAGGGGTTTGGTCCAGGTCCTGCTGCTCACAGCACAGAAAGCCAATCACTGAGACAATGAGTATTGCCAAGGAAGAAGGTTTTAATCAGGTGCTGCAGCTGAGGAGATGGGAGCTCACCCTTAAATATATCTCCCTGACCAACTAAAACTGAGAGTTTAAATAGCAGGGAAGAAATTTAAGAAGACAAGAACTAGGGAGGGGCAAGGAGGCATCTTGTGTGGTGATCTGATGAGTTTCAGTTCTTTGAGAGGCCTGAAGGTCTATATTAAAAAACAATCATGAAACTGCCAATGCATTTCTTTACAATATTTTTAATTTTACTTTAGTCAGGACTAAAAGTTTTAAATACAAAAATGTTAATTAGCCACATTTTTCCAATTCTCTGTTGGGTTTTAAAGAATATTTTAATATCTAAACTTTTCCAACTTTCTATTTTCTCTGTATATGCATGAAGATAGACACACAGAGAAACAGAAAAAAAAAAGGCATCTCACTTACACAGACCATCCATGACATGCCTGGGCTTTCTGTTCAGTCCCAGATTTTTTTCTCCTTCTTTAAAGAACCAGCCATTTTATTCTAGGTGAAAAAATTTACTATATATGATCCTTTCTCATACAAACTTATTATCTTTTCTTCCTTACCAAAGTCATATACATAACTTTCTTCATGTCTCTCACTCCTACTTACTGGTTCCTTACTACTTTGTTTCATAAATAACCTTTTCAAATCTGTAATTTGAACTGACTTTTAGATAACTTCTGAATTAGACAAAACTATTTTTTCTCACTAATAACACATCTTTTGGCACAATTTATATACAGAATTATATATTAACTATAATTCTTATCCTTTGTAACCTTCAATTTTAGTGAAACCCTAAAAAGCAAGAAATCTTGAGCTATCAGATATGAGCATTTTATAGATAAGAATGATTCCACAATTTTTAGAAATATATTTCCCCATATCATAACCCTTTGTTGATTGGAAATGGCCCAGATATTGAATGAGCATCAAAAATAATTTTAATACTTTAAATTACACAAAAAGTTTACCTAAAATATTTCTCTCATTTACATGTACTCCATTTTTAACAGTTTATCTTGATTACTTCTGAAAACTGAGATATTAGACACCATCACTTAAAGTTAGTTATTTTCTGCTGGGTGTGTTGGCTCACACCTGTAATTTCAGCACTTTGGAAGGCCAACGTGGGTGGATCATTTAACACCAGGAGTTTGAGACCAGCCTGGCCAACATGGCGAAACTCTGTCTCTACTAAAAATACAAAAATTAGCCAGACATGGTGGCACATGTCTGTAGTCCCAGCTACTTGGGTGGCTGAGACACGAGAATCACTTGAACCCAGGAGGCAGAGGTTGCAGTGAGCCAAGATCATGCCACTGCATTCCAGCCTAGGTGACAGACCAAGACACTGTCTAAAAATAAAATAAAATAAAATAAAATAATAAAGCTAAGTTACTTCCTTGTTAATCATTTTTGAATAGCCAGTGAACATCAGGTGCTCACCTAAATAAGAGCTTCAATGTTAAATATGTAGGTAATTTTGCTGATATCTCAGAAGATTCAGCTAATGACATTAAATTCGTCTCATTTGTTAAAGAAGGCACACAAACCAAGATCATTTTGCTTGGGCTGGGTTTATAACTTTATACCTTCTATGCCAAACACTGAAAATATATCTAGCAAACACCTCAAAATATCTAGCAAAGACAAATATAAAATCCAGATAAAAAAATGTATGCTGACAATTCTGAAGGCATTTCTACTTTAAATTCAAATAATTTTAAAGCCAGCTTGGTTAGTAAAGATTTACTTGAGTCATATAAACTTGAAAATTACTTAGACTTATTTAATTTATAAGCGCCCTTTTACTTATAAGCCAATTTGGTAGACACAATGTAACAATAAGTGTATATACAAATAAACTCCTCTAGACATGTATACACACACACAAAGATCCAATAGCTTTTAACTTGGAACTCTAGCCATGAAATAGCAATACAAGCTCATCAGTTTTACATTGTTATACTTTGTTTGCCCCCATAGGTAATCCAATGAAGGCTGTGAACCAAAGTTTTGGGTAAAGCAGTTTCCATGGCTGTTTGATTTTTACAGGGCAAACTTCCCCAGATTCCAAAGAGCACTGGGGCTAAACAGCACTAAAGGAGAGCATCATATACTAACCAGGCCAGACCCTGCTTAGAACAGTAGCACAAAAACCTGGATACATGCAACTCCATCCCACTTCCCCATTCAACAGCAAACTCCAGATTCCAAACAATACTGGGGACAAGCAGTATTGCAAAAGAATAACAGCTTACCGAATTCTAATTTCCTGTGACTATATCAAACACACACAATCACCAGAACACAATCTAACTGCTGCAGCAGCAAACAAAACCCAAGAGTGTCCAGCTTAAACAGTCGGGGTGCTTCCTCTCTCAGTTGGTCTTGATCTACCTGCAAACGAAAATTCTTTTGGAATTTCCCAAATTGAGAGGAGCTGAACCCACTCTCTGGTACCCACAAAATACACTCACTTGCCTGGACACAACACACAAACACAACTACAAACAAGCGTTCAAGAGTGTCCATTCTAAAATAGTCAGGATGCTTTCCTCTCTCAATCAGTTGAGCTTATTCAACCTGCAAATGGAAATTCCCTTAAAATTTTCCCAAATTGAGAGAAGCAGACCCTGCTGTCTGGGCCCAGAAGGGGCATTCCCCTATCTGGCTGCAGATGTCAAATTTCAAAGGCAGTTTTTCCTAGGCAATCAGGAATGAAGTTGGGGCTGGCTGCAGTGGGATCAGAGAGAAAATGAAATTCACCTCCAGCCAAAATTGAGTGGGCAGATGCTTAGGAAGGTGATATGGTCTGGCTCTGTGTCCCCACCCTACCCTCATCTTAAATTACAATCCAAATTGTAATCCCCACCTGTTGAGGGAGGGACCTCGTGGAAGGTAATTAGATGGGGGTGGTTCCTCCATGCTTTTCTCATGATAATGAGTGAGTTCTCACAAGATCTGATGGTTTTATAAAGGGTTTCCCCACCTTTGCTCCACATTTCTCTCTCCTGCTACCATGTGAAGAAGGACGTGTTTGTTTCCCCTTCCACCATGATTGTAAGTTTCCTGAGGCCTCCCCACCCATGTGGAACTGTGAGTTTATTAAACCTCTTTCCTTTATAAATTACCCAGTCCAGGGTATGTCTTTATTAGCAGCATGAGAAGAGACTAATACAGTAAAGTGATACCACAGGGAGCAGGGTGCTGCTGTAAAGATACCCGAAAATGCGGAAGTGACTTTGGAACTGGGTAACAGGCAGAGGTTGGAACAGTTTGGAGGGCTCAGAAAAAGATAAGAAAATGTGGGAAAGTTTGGAACTCCCTCGAGACTTGAAGGGCTCAGAGGACAGGAAGATGTGGGAGTTTGGAACTCCCTAGAGACTTGTTGAATGGCTTTGACCAAAATGCTGATAGTGATATCCAGGCTGAGGTGCTCTTGGTGGAGAAGAGGAACTTGTTGGGATATGGAATAAAGGTGATTCTTGCTATGCTTT